>NC_000015.10:25398086-25701116 GCF_000001405.40 Homo sapiens | reverse complement strand
TGTCCACATTGTACAGACGCCATTGTGACCCTCGCACCTTGTTCCATTGGATTCTATGATCCAGATTCCCACCATTCCCAGTCCTTTCTTCACAGCCACGCTGGCCGGGGCACCCCCTTCCTCTCACATCTATGCAAGGTCACCCTGCTTCAGAGCCTGTGCCTTCACCAGGGCCTTTTTTTTTTTTAAGTGACCTCTTTCTCCAAGAAAGTTTGCGAATTTATACTAAAGGTTGACCTGATGACCTGGTCATTGCTTTTATTTATTTATCTATAATTAGCATATAGTAAAATTGGCTCTTTTTTTGGTTATACACTTACATGAATTTTAACACGTGCATAGATCTGTATATGTATATACACCACCCTATCCACGGTCCAGGAGAGTTCCATCATCCCCAGAAAGTCTGCCATGCTACCCCCGTGCAATTGTAACTTCCCTCCTTTTCTAACCTCTGGAAGCCACCAATCTGTTCTCCAGAACTACAGTTTTGTCTTTTCCAGATGTCAAGTAAACAGAATACTCCAGTGTGTAACTTTCAGAGCCTGGCTTCTGTCACTCAGCATAACACTTTTGAGATTCACCTGAGCTGTTGCATGAACCAGTAGTATATTTCTCCTTGATGCTGAGTAATATCCACTAACACCAGATTTTGCATATCCATTCAATCAGTGAAGAACATTTTAGTTGTTTCTGGTTGTTGACAATCATAAACAGCACTTCTATAAATGTGTGTATACAGGTTTTTGTGTGAACATGTTTTCATTTCTTTAAATACCTAGGTTAGATGTGAATGTGTCTAAGTTTATAAGAAGCTGCCAGACACCAGCCTGCTTTTCAAAGTGCTGTATTACTTTGCTCAGTGTCTTTTCCAGCACTTCGCATTGTCATTGATTTTTTTTCTGCTAGCCCCTCTAATGGGTGTGTAGTGGTATCTTGTTATGGTTTTAATTTGCATTTCACTAGTGTCTAATGAAGTTGAACATCTTTCCATGTGCTTATTTTCCATTCAAATATCCTCTTGGATGAATTGTCAAGTATTTTTCCATTTTCTAATTGAGTTGTTTTCTTAATGTTCAGTTTTGAGAATTCTTTATGTTTTCTGTATGTAAGTCCTTTGTGGGCTATGTGATTTGCATATATTTCATCCCTATCTTCTTTATTTTTTAATATTGTCTTTCACAAAAGCTTTTAGTTTTGATAAATTTTTATTCTTGTTAAATTTTTATTTTATTATTTTATCTTTTTGGAGATGAGGTCTCACTCTGTTATCCAGGCTGGAGTGCAGTGGTGCCATCGCAACTCATTACAGCCTCAACCTCCCAGGCTCAAGGGATCCTCCTGCCTCAGCATCCCTAGTACCTGGGACCACAGGAGCGCACAAGCATACCTGGCTAATTTTTTATTTTTTTAAGAGATGGGATGCCCCAGCGTTGCCCAGGCTGGTGTCAAAATCCTGAACTCAAGTGATTGTCCTGCCTCGGCCTCTCAAAGTGCTGAGATTATAGACTTGAGCCACTGTGCCTGGTCTGATTGGTCATTTTTTTTAAATTTTATGTATCATGCATTTGGTGTCATGTCTAAGATGTGCCTAATTATGAATATTTTCTCCTGTGTTTTATTCTAAAAGCATTACACGTTAACATCTTATCTATAGATACAGTCCATTTTGGGTCACATTTCATGAAAGGTGTGAGGGTTAGGTTAGACTTCATCTTTCCACATGTGGCTGCCCAGTTCCTCCAGTGCCATTTGTTGAAAGCGTCTTCTTTTGGTTGAAAGCGTCTTTGTCAAAAATCAGTTAGTTACATTTGTGTGGGTCTGTTTCTAGACTTTCTGTTCTGTTCCATTCATTTGTTTGTCTATCCCTTCACCAATACGACGTGTATTGATTCATTGTAGTAGTTTGATTACTGTAGTTTTTTATAAGTCTTAAAAATTGGTAGTGTTATTCCTCCAACTTTATTCTATTTCAAAATTGTTTTGGCTAGTCTTCTTATTTGTTGCCTTCGTATATGAATTTTAAATTAATTTTTCTGTTCAGAAATTCCTGCTGGAGCTTTTATTTGAATTTTGTTAAATTTATAAATCAATTTGGGAAGCATTGATATTTTTATTATGTTGATCTTCCACTCTGTAAACATGGTATATCTCTACATTTTTTAGGTCTTCTTTTATTTCTTTTATCAGCATTTTATAGTTTTCAGCATACACATCATATACATGTTTTGTTAGATACATACCCAAGCACTGATGCTCCTCAACTTATGATGGGGTTATGTCCCAATAAACCTATCATAGGTCAAAAAAATCATAAGTTGAAAATGTATTTAATACCCCAAAAGACCCATCCAAAAGTTGAAAATTTGTAAATTGAACCATTGTAAGTCAGGGACCATCTGTACAACATTTTTTGTAGGTTTTGTAAGTAGTATTTTTAAATTTTTATTTTCCATCAGTTTATAGTACAGTTGACCCTTGAACACGTAGGGGTTAGGGATACCAATCCCTCCATGTAGTCAAAAATCCACATATAACTTTTGACTCTCCAAAAACTTGACTATTCATAGCCTACTGTTGACCAGAAGCCTTACTGATAACAAATAGTCAATTACCACCTATTCTGTATATTGTATGTATTATATGCTGTATTCTTACAATAAAGTAAGCTAGAGAAAAGAAAATGTTATCAAGAAAATCTTAAGGAAGAGAAAATATATTTACTATTCATTAAGTGAAAGCGGATCTTCACTGACTCTTTCCTTGGTCGTGTCTATTCTCCCATTGGGCCCATCCAGAGAGTTTTCAAAAATAAACTTTATATATAGAATTGTTTCAAATTTAGAGAAAAACTGTGAGGATAGTACAGACTTATTTCTCATGTATGCCATACATAATTTATTGTTACTGATCTTACATTAGCCTAGTACATTTATCACATTAAGGAGCCAATGTTGATACATCATTACTTTCTGAAGTTCATACATTGCCTTAGTTTTTACCTAGTGTCCTTTTTTTGTTCTGGGATCCCATCCAGAACACTACATTACATTTTGTCATCATGCCTCCTTACACTCTTCTTGGCTGTGACACTTCGGTAAACTTTCTTTATTTTTAATCATTTTGACCATTTTGAAGAGTGCTGGCCAGGTATTTTGTAGAATGCCCTTATATTGGGATTTGTCTGATGTTTTTCTTATCACTAAAGTGGAGCTAAGGGTTTTAGGGAGGACAGCCACAGAGGTCAAGTGCCATTTTCATCATATCCTATCAAGGGTACATGCTGTCAACACCATGTCACTGTTGGGGTTGACCTTTCAGTCACTGTACTCTTTGCCTCTTCCCATACTGAATTCTTCCGAAGGAAGTCACTGTGCACAGCTCACAGTTAAGGAGTGTGGAGTTATAGTTTTCTCCTTGAGGGCAGAGTATCTACATAGATGATTTAGAATCCAGTGAGCTTTTTATTTCAGTTAATGTATTTCTGTCACAAATTTCTATTTGGTTCTCTGAAATATCTTCCTTCTTTTTGGCCAAGACTGTCTGTCTCTCTGTTCATTTCCAGCATGTTCAATCTTACTTCTTGGAACTTTTGGATAATGGCTGTTTTCGTCTTTCTTTGTCGATAATGTCAGTATCTGTGTCATCTTGACATTGGCTTCTGTGGATTGTCTTTTTCCACAGAGTTAAGATTTTCCTGGTTCTTTGTATGCTAAGAAGTTTTGGATTGTATCATGGGCATTTCGAATATTATGTTATGACACTGGCCATTTTTAATTTCTATGGAGAATGTGGATTTTTTTTAAGCAGGTGATCAACCCTGTGGGGTTTGGGCTGTGAGCTCTGGGTGTTGGTTTCAAAGGCAGATGTGTTTATAAGACCTAGTCTTGCATTTTTGCCCTCCAGAGGTCACCTTGGAACTTGGGTGGCAGTCTGTTGCAGAGTTTGCCTCTCAAAGGCTTTGTTATGGGTGAGCCCAGGAATTCATTAACAACATTATGGGGTCAGTTAGCCAAGCTTCTCTTTACAATTTTTCCAGCGCCTCTGGTTCCCCAAGAATCCCCTTTTCAGTCTTCTGGCAGGAAAGCTGGAGTGTGTCACCTTCTTCTTCCCATATTTCCTGCCCTTCTCCTGCATCCAGCGCCAAGTGGGGGCAGAATAGAAGACAGAGCACCACAGGCTCTGTTGGAAAGGAGGGTCTAGCTCCCTTGGAGTCTGCGGCAGCAGACATTTCTGCCACTGCCATTCCTGCATAGCCACGGTAGCAGAATTGCCTGGGACTGAGTTCAAAATAATAGACGAAAAAGAATAAATAAAATTGGAGACTTCCTCATCTTCTCAGAGCACTGGGAACCCCCTTTTCACTCCTCAAGCCAGAGCTAGAAGGTATCTCCTGGAGCTCTCTCTGTCATTGCCTTGGAGCCCACGTCCAGGTTCCCTGGTGCCTTGGGCTAAGCCAGGGGCTACCAGAGTGACAGTGACATACCCACCACCCATTCAGTGTCCTTAGCACACTTGTCTCCTCTCCCGGTCCATCGGCTGCTACTCCCTCTCAGAGCTCTGCAGTAATGAGCCTATGCGTCCTGCCCAAGTGCCGCCTGAAGTCAGTGGGAGCAACGGGATGAAGGAGGAGTCTCCACTGCTGTGGGAGTCCAGGGAGCTCATGGAGTTCCTGTGATGGCATCCTGCATTCTCCTCAAGGCCTTCCCCAGTTACTGCCATATCCCACCCCATGCCCTGGAAGCAAAGCTCTCCCTCTCCTATCCATCTCCACACTTTCGCACATCCTGGTTGGTGATTTGCTGCAGCCATGAGTGTGTGTGCATCAGCTGTCTGTTCCCCCTACGGCAGTAACTGTGTCTTTTCAGTCTTCTTTTCTCTAGTCTGGCTTCATTTTCTGAATACAAAGGATCCTCAGTAAGCGTGTGTTGAACACAGCTGGATTTCCGTGGTGTGTTGCAGGGCACTGGTCACTGACCCAGCAGACTCACGGTCTGCGGAGGATCAGGAGCTGCCCAGGCTCCCCGGAGCGTGTTTGTTCCTGGAGACGGTGGTCCCTCCTGTGCCTCCAGCTCCTGCCCCTGATCCCTAGTGCTGCTACCACCGTAGGTTTTCCTCCTTTCTCTGGAATCCAGATCAAGTTTTGCCTATTAAAAGCCTCCGTAATTGTGCTTTTTTTTTTTTCTTTTCCTGGCAGAATTGGAGAACTTAGGGAGGATACTGAAAATTGCATTTCTTTAGGGGCTAATCATAACAAAGCCTTTTGCAGAGCTTTGTGTCCTGCAGTTAGTCCTTGGGGGGTTAGGTAAGGGCCTCTGAGAACTATCAAGAAGTACATGGAGGGCCTTCAGTCTAACTATCCAGCAATTTCACAATAATACAGTATGGCCTCCCAAAGTGAAGATGGTCCATTCCAACCTCTGCACTGTATCATGGGTGATCAAGTAAGATCTTAGAGAAACCTAGACCAGTTCAGTCTCTTTTTTTTGAGACAGAGTCTCGCTCTGTCGCCTAGGCTGGAGTGCAGTGGCATGATCTTGGCTCACTGCAAGCTCCGCCTCCCAGGTTCATGCCATTCTCCTGCCTCAGCCTCCCGAGTAGCTGGGACTACAGGCACCCACCACCACGCCTGGCTAATTTTTTTGTATTTTTAGTAGAGACGGGGTTTCACCGTGTTAGCCAGGATGGTCTTGATCTCCTGACCTCGTGATCCACCCGCCTCGGCCTCCCAAAGTGCTGGGATTACAGGAGTGAGCCACCCACGGTGCCTGGCCACCAATTCAGTCTCTTCTCTGGGGAAAGTCATCCTCTCCGGCTGAACTTCACAGTTTCTGGAGGGTGGCCTCTGGGCAGGCGGGTACTGCAGCCTGGAGCCCGGAAGGATGTCAGCTCCAGAGGTGTTGAGCCAGGGCGGGGATGTTTGTGGCATGACTCTGAGGGAACTGCGCTGTCCTCTCATGTCCCTTTCAGGAGGCGTGTGCAGCCCTGCTAGACCAGTGCCTATGCTACGTGCAGTCCAGAGGCCTCCAGAGAGCCCCTGAGAAGACCAAGGGCAAAGTGAGCATGAGGTTCTCCTCTCTCTGCCCACCCTCCACGTCCACTGCCTCTGGCCGCAGACCCAGCCTCGTGATCGATGGGAGAAGCCTGGCCTACGCTCTCGAGAAAAACCTGGAGGACAAATTCCTCTTCCTTGCCAAGCAGTGCCGCTCCGTCCTCTGCTGTCGGTCGACGCCTCTGCAGAAGAGCATGGTGGTGAAGCTGGTGCGGAGCAAGCTCAAGGCCATGACCCTGGCCATAGGCAAGTATCCCAGCTGGCCAGACGGCCTCCTCCCAGCTGGAC
Organism: Homo sapiens; assembly: GCF_000001405.40. NCBI lineage: Eukaryota > Metazoa > Chordata > Mammalia > Primates > Hominidae > Homo > Homo sapiens. The sequence continues at coordinate 25,694,776 of NC_000015.10, read as the reverse complement.
CCAAACTTCCTCTACCCTTCCATGCTACACCACGAGATGGGAAAACACTTCCTCACCTTTCTTTCTGTGTGTAAAATCACACCCAGTGTGATAGAGCAGGCAACATGTTCCGAAGGTAAAGTTTACATTGGAAAGCCACAAAAGAGAGTAGCAGAGTTACAGGTTCATGCTGCAAGGTCAGTAATCCGGTGCTGCTTTACGGCAACAAGATGGAGCTTACCCTGTTTCTCAGGAGACAGCACACAAGAGACCTGCCTGTCCCAGTCTGTCCTGGCCACAGCAGAGGGCACTACACACTCAGCCTTAGCCCAGGCCAACTTAGAAGGTCCTTTGCAGCTGCTTCTGGTCACCATGAGCCTCCGGGTGTCCAAGGCTTTGTAACGCCCTAAGGGCCCAGAGGCTTGGTGACCAGAATTCCCACTGCCTCCTGTCAGCTGTGCTGATGGTTCTGGGACAGGCTTCTGAGTAAATAAGTCCATCATCAGATACGCATCACTGCTCAGTTTTACACCAGTTATTTAAGGACTGTGTTTCTCATGGTGGTTTTTCCTGGCAGACACTGTTGGCCTGGAGAGCCCTGTCTGCTCCTCTCCAGGGAGGGGATGGTGGCCACTCGCCTCCTTCCAGGACATCCTCTCTGCCCACTTCTAGTGCAGGCAGAGTCTCTAGCACAGGTTCAGGGGCTCAGCAGCACCACCTCCTGGTGAGGGCCAGGAAGGAAGCAGTGGCCGTGACCCCCACATGCCAACAATTGGGCCTCCCTGTAAATAGAATCTACTCCTAGGTGAGAACTGGATCAGAAATCAAGTACCCTCGCCAATCAATCAGCCAGTGTTGGCAGTATTTTCTGCAAAAGGTCTGTGACAGCCCCTGCTTGTTGACATGGAGATTGCTGCCTGTTCACAGTGGGCACCTCACCTGGCCAGAGGAGACCGCTGTTGAGCCTGGGTTACAGTGGCAGTGAGGAGAGCGAGCACTGGCCTGAACACGGTCGTCATGGGGACCCTGCCCTACACACCCTGAGGCCAGTAACCGCTAAGGAGAGTGGGCACAGGGCACGTGTTCAGGAGGCCCGGGGAACCTAACAGCCATGGCCTGTCCTGAGGCCATCTTTGCCTTCATGTGCCTGGGGTGGCCCTCAGGTTTCCCTGAGGAGCTGGAAACGGTCTTCAGGCTGACCTGCACCACCCCTGTCCCAGCCTCCTCCTCTGAGCGTCAGCGTCCTTCCCTGGGAGCACGAGGACAACGTCAGCCCTGAAAGGCCACAGTACACAGTAAGACGTGAATGATGTTTCCCTGGCCTGGCCAGTGCCTGCCTCAGCCGCGTAGCCACTGGTGTCTGGTATTCCTGAAGAAGTGGAAGGAAATCCTTGGCAGATTAAAAAGAAAAGGAAACACAGAATGGAATCTCAAAAGAAAACGGGAAAGTAATGACCCATAAGAACATCAGCACATGGCTGGGCACGTGGTTCACACCAGTCATCTCAACAGTTTGGGAGGCCAAGGCAGGAAGATCACTTGAGCCCGGGAGTTTGAGACCAGCCTGGGCAACATAGTGAGTCCCCATCTCTACAAAAAATAAAAAAAATTAGCTGTGTGTGGTGGCACACACCTGCAGTCTCAGCTACTTGAGAGGCTGAGGTGGGAGGCTCACCTGAGCCCAGGAGGTCAAGGCTGCAGTGAACCGTGATCACACCACTACACTCCAGCCTAGGCAATAGAGTGAGAGACCCTGTCTCAAAAAAAGAAAAAAAAAACTGCTGGGGCAACATGGTGGGCGAAACCCCATCTGTACTAAAAATGCAAAACCTGGCTGGGTGTGGTGGCATGTACCTGTAGTCCTACCTACTCAGGAGGCTGAAGTGGGAGGATCACTTGAGCCCAGGAGGTTGAGGCTGCAGTGAGCCATGATCATGCCACTGCACTCCCACCTAGCCTGGGTGACAGAGTGAGACCCTGTCTCAAAAGAAAAAGAAAGAAAGAAAGAATGCGTTAAAGCATCAATGTGACCTACTCCTAGTGCCCAGTGGTTTATAATGTAGAGAGCATCGTTGCATACCATATCTCATGTTTTACCGTATCTCATTTTAAATGGGACATTCTGGGGAAAGCTGTACAGATTTTTATTGCTTCAGAGAATTCCAATTTGATATATATTAACTGATCAGTTAATATTGGTCTCAACATTATAAAGAACAGGAAAATCACAGGGAAGAGACATCCTGTAGTCACACTACAAGTCATTCTAACTTTGTGTATCTGCACCTTTTCTCATTTGTGCAACTTGGGATGTATGCCCTGATTTGGGCTCTTCTGCTGCCCAGTTCCAAGAATGGTGACCGTCACGGAGTGATAACAACTTTATGACTCTGCTGTCCTTTCCCCGAAGGTGTCCAGATATCTGACCATGCTCTGTGTTCCTAAACATTTTCTATCAACAAATTGACAGAATGAAGAGAAGTTCTCCTTTATTGCACCCCTAGAGGGCCCCAAAGTGAGCACAATGGCTAATACTGTGGCAATCCATATGCAAAAAAAAGAGCTCCACAACGTGCTGGGCTGAATTTAACCTCCTTCCCTTAGTTTAGAAACTGCCCGGGAAGTGTGGCTGGGAGTAGCCTTGGCTGCTTGGCTGGAGTGGCTCAGTAACTAATGATGATGAAGATGATGATAGCATCTTTCCTTGTGCCAGACAGCAGGATGAGGGTTTTACTGGTGTAAGAGCGGCACTGCAGAGCAGGCGCCATGTACCAGGTGGCTCAGCTCCAGCCCGCTTTCCGAAACATCTCCTGGTGTCGCTAGCTTATTCTGAATGCTTAACTCTATTCTCCCAGGGTGGATGCTCTACTCCTTTTTCCCCCATCTTCCCCAGGACGCTTTCACAGGACTGAGTTCAGCGGGGACTCCCAAGAAAATCTAGCACATTGATTTGATTCTGTGCTGTTTCTAGAATCAAACAATTCTTCTTGCCTGTGCTGTTTCTAGGTGATGGAGCCAATGATGTCAGCATGATCCAGGTGGCAGATGTGGGTGTGGGAATCTCCGGCCAGGAGGGTATGCAGGTAAAGACCAATCAGGCTATTCTGTGTGACCAATTGGCCCTACTGACCTCTTGTCCTGTCACCCTGTGGGCTGTCCCCGACTTCCTCTGGGCTCTACTGAACGAGGCTAAAGGGTTTGCCCTTAATATAGCTGATGCTCAATACAGCTGCTAAGCCACTAGTGGAAGGTAAGGAGGAATGCCATTCTTCCTGTTTATGAAGCAGTGTGCAATAAGCATGTCTTCCCATGTCACAAGTCTATTTTTGTGAAATAAGTGGTTCAGAGAGAGGCAAGGTGAGTCATCGCCTTCTGTCTGGCTTTCGATGGCTCGGTCCCAGCAGGCACTTTTTACTGTCCGTGAACACGGAGCAATACCATTTGAAAAAATGCCTTTGATGTAGGTGGAGCCTGGCGTCACTGTACAGGTGGAATGTAGCCATCCTCACTCACATGGAAGTTCACCTCTGCATCTTTCCTCTGCCACTGTGTTCACTCTCGGTCTGGGAGTCAGACATTGAACAAATGACTTAACTAAAAATGTGCTGCTTTTGGATTTAGTATTACAACAGTTTCCAACATTTGATTAAGTATGAATCACAACATTTTTGGGTTGGTGGAGATTTTAGGGAACAATTTATCCGAAGTTCTAAAAACCAGGATGTTGATACCACTTACTCGCTGGTTGATTCATTTGCTGACTCAGTGGTTCGATCAGTAATGATCTGTTGGGCATGTGCTACATGTCAGGCCTGTGCAGAGCTCATTAATAGTTTTAGCTGATGTTCCACCCTCAGATGGAGGGTCCCAAGCTAGATGCACAGTAGTTCCGTCACGGCTGGTCCTTGACACTTGCCTTACTCCCCCCGCCGTCATCTGACTGGAATCTCCGTGTTACGTTACTCGCACATTTTTTCTTCCTCCAGAAAATTGAAAATGGTGTTCATGTTTGACTCACCTTTGTGTCTTCACAGTGCCCAGTGTGGCACCTTGCACAAGGGGAAGCTCAAGAAACATTTGCTAAGTAAATGTACAAAATACAGTGGACCCTTGAACAACACGGGTCTGAACTGTTTGAGTCCACTTATATGGGGACATTTTTCAATAAATATTTGGAAAATTTTTTGGAGATTTGTGACAATTTGAAAAAACTTGCAGATGAACCACATAGCCTAGAAATATCGAAAAAATTAAAGCGGGCCAGGCATGGTGGTTCACACCTGTAATTTCAGTACTTTGGAAGGACAAGACAGGAGGATCACCAGAGGCCAGGAGTTTGAGACCAGCGGGGCAATGTGGTGAAACCCCATCTCTACTAAAAATGCAAAAACCCCAGCGTGGTGGCCCATGCCTGTAGTCCCAGCTACTTAGGGGGCTGAGGCAGGAAGATCACTTGAGCCTGGGAGGTTGAGCCTGAAGTGAACTATGATTGCACCACTGCACTCAAGCTTGGGCAATACAATGAGACCCAGTCTCTCTTTTTTTTTTTTTTTTTTTAAAAAAAAGGAAAAAAAATTAAGGAAAACGTAGGTGTGTCATGAATATGTGAAATACATGTAGATTCCATTGTGCGTGTTTATCAACTGTTTGTGTGATCAGTAAGGCTTCCCATCAACCGTAGGCTATTAGTAGTTAAGTTTTGAGGGAGTCAGAAATTGTATGTGGATTTTCGACTGTTCGGGGGAACCCCTAACTCCAGTGTTGTTCAAGGGTCAACTATAGTTCATTCATTCTGACTTTGTTGGCATTGCTTCTGTTTTCACTGTTTCCTCTACTGAAAATCTGATGGGGGCAGTGCCTATTGACCTCATATGCTTGGAAACTCGTCTAGTAAACATCTTTTGGATCAAACACTTGAATGTTGAGCATGTGGCTGGGGAGGGGCCGGAGCTGCCATGCCTGCTCTCCTCCTCAAGGTGGGAGCACCAGCCCAAGCCCTGGGGCTCTACATGCAAGGTGATGGGAACAGCTGAGCCATAGGGCAGGTGCCCAGAGATGCAGCTTTGAACAGGCGTAGCTGCTGGGGAGGAGGTTGCTGGGCACTTCTGCACATATGTAAAGCTGTGCATCCTCCCTGGGGATGTGTTAGGTGAGATGGGGACGAGGCTTGATACCTTTCCTTACCATCCTATGCACTTGGGTTTTCCAGCACTGGGACCCTGTTGCTTGCATTTTAGTCAGTCCCTGCTGAGCCCTTTGAGAGATGAGCTGTGGGTTGCTGAGGGAGAGGGATGCCAGAGATGTCAGAGCTGAGCCGTGGAGGATCAGGCAGGAGGAGCAGGCACTCCCCAGCTCAGCCAAGGTGGGGAGACTGCCCCAGGCAGGGGGCAAGAGGAACAAAGGAGATCCCACAGCTCCTGGGAAGTTCTGTCTTCGTGAGCTCTGGCTCATCTGGTTCACCCTATTTGTCCTGCACCCTCTAGAGCCAAGGCTGACTGGGAGCCAGGGATACAAGGTGACCCCAACATCTCTGATCCTGCTCTCCTAGAATTCCCAGAAAAGCTGGGAGGCTTTGGAAAGGCCACTTTGACGGAAGGACAAGCATTGTATTTGAGGCCTGGATTTAGGGGAGGAAGGAGCTGCAGAAGGCTGGCAAGCCAGGCGTCCTCAGAGGGGTTTGACTGTGGTTCTCAAGGGCGGGGGTTTCTTCTTCAAAGGCAGCCTAGAGTTTGGCCTTGTAGGCCATCAGCCTCTTTTTAACACTGGTCCCTTTTGACTGAGCTTTTCAGACTGATTCTGTGGAGGACGGGGACTGTGTCTAATGGTATCTGTTTCTCCAAGTCTGTGGCTGGCAATAGTGGAGTCTTAATAAATGATTTTTGAGAGAATGAATCATGGGGTTAATGGGTAAAGCATTACAGAACACGAAAAACCTTTTAAGCCCCTATGTGTTGACAGCAAGAGGTAGAGGGACATTTGCTTTGAAATCCTTAACTTTTGGTTCAGAAAATTGATGTTCTAAGGTTTTGTGTATCATGACACTATTCCATTTCAAGCGTACCACTTGAGGCATAACTTACTGCTTTCTACATATTATTTGAATATAGGGAAACCAGTTAGATGTTAAAGGCAGGTTGGCATTCTGTTTAGAATAACCTTCTGTTGATAAGCAGAAATCTAGCTTTTCCTGCCACTTTGTTTGATTTTTTTTTCCAAAGACATTTATTGTACAGTGGGTTTCAAATTATTCTGGGGACAAAAGGTATCATTTTGATGGTGTTTTCCAGCCTAGTTGGCTTCACTGCGTAAGCACCTTGCTTGATGATATGCAGGGGAAGCTTCCATGGCAGGCTCCTGCCTGTCCATGGAGGAAACGTCTTCTCCACTCCCTCCTGCACACGGCCACTGCCCGCACCCGGCGTCCTGGGTTGGGAGTATGTGGGAGGCCAGTGGAGCTGTGGGCCTGGCTTTGCCCATCACCAAGGCTTCTGGGGGGAACAGCCCAAAATGCACCTCCCAGGACAGGGGAATGTCTGTCTCTGATACATACGGCAGGAGCAGCTTTGGGTCATCCTTGGGTTGTGACCATGGACCGATTTAGAGGAAAATGACATCCGGGGCAAAGAAAGGCAGATAAACACCATGTATCTCTGTGTGTTTTCATTTGTTGAGAAAACAGCAGGAAAAAAGAAAACCTTTTAAACCCCATTAGTGACACATATTTGAAAGCGTAAATGAATCTTATAAGGTGACATCCCTGAACTAGCGTGTTGGGTGAGATTGCCTCTTTTGTAACGGAAGGAGATGCTGAGGGAGACGACAGCGATGGAGACCCTGGCCGGCCACGCTCGCACTGTGTTCAGAATGGGGATTTTCCTTCCCTGTTGTGTACCTTGCATTTTGAGAAGAGAAGACAAATCTGACGCCAGGTCGGCATCACCAGTAACAGGAATCCCTCTCCCTTTGAAGGCAGTGATGGCCAGCGACTTTGCAGTGCCGAAATTCCGATACCTGGAGAGGCTCTTGATTCTTCACGGGCATTGGTGCTACTCCCGACTTGCCAACATGGTGCTGTACTTCTTCTACAAAAACACAGTAGGTATTGGATACCTGTCTAGAGTTTTGGGATTGGAAGGTTCGGTTCTTAGGACCATCGCCTGAATGAGGCGAAGGAGGATGGAGCAGATGGGAGGCCATGGACAACCTGCTCCATCCTCCTTCGCCTGTGTAATTGTCCCCTGTCCTGGGCTGGCTCTGCACTCTGTAGGCTCAGAGTCTAATTCAGGGGCATGAGAGCAGCTGCATCTCTAGGGAGAGGTGGTGGAAACAGGTGGATAACACTAGCAAGTCCACTGATGGCTGCAGAGTGAGAAGGGGCATAATTATGAGGCTAGCAGTTTGCACAGGGGCACACAGCTGGTAAACCTTCAAGGCTGCGTTCACCCCAGGCCACCCAGTCCTGCTCCCAGGCTCCTAACCACTCTGTCCATAGGTTTCTCAGGAGCATGCTGCTGAAATATCCCCAAACAGGAGTCCTCTAATCAGCATTTTCTCTAGAGTAGACGGAAAATCCAATGATAAGCACAAGTGTGCTTTGTGGTCTGGGATCAGAATAAGGGAACTTAGCCTCACTCTGATTCCCATACTGAATGGCCTCTGTTGGGACACACCCACACCAGGACAGGTGACAGGCGGCAAGCCCCTAGGTCAGGGAGGCTCAGACCCAGCAGGAAGGGGGTGCCCTTCGGGCCTTCCCACCCTCTCCCACCTCCCAGGCTTGCAGAGCAGACACACCCCTCTCGGATGAGCTCATTCTGTAGCTAAAGTGACCCTGCTGTAAAGCCACACCCAGGGCAGATTGGCTGCAGACATTTCTGTCTCTCTGAGGGTTCTGCATGGTCATTTCATGTGGATCTTCACGTTGGACTCTTCGTTCCTTCTTCACTGCTTCTTTGGCAGATGGGCTCCTCCATAGCCCTGCAGGATGGACCACATGGCCGTCTCAGAGTTCTGCCCCATTTGTAAGAGATTTCTAGATATTTTACTGAGGAGTTGCTAGGCTGCTGCTGCTTTTGGCTGAATGTACAAACAAAGAGACAAAATAAACTCTTAGGGTAAGTGATCTTCCAAGGTAGTCCCATAAATCTACCTGGCTAAACACCAGAACTCCAGTGTCAAGATTATCCTATACTCTTCTGAAAATAAAATAAAATAAAAGGTGTATTCTTTTTCCAGTTCTGTATAAAAACTCTCCAGTTAGCTAGCTCTAAACTGTCAGTGGTTGTTCATGTTCATTTTATTTTTATTTTTTGAGACAGGGTGTCACTATTGTCTCCCAGGCTGGAGTGCAGTGGCACCATCATAGCTTACTGCAGCCTCAACTTCCTGGGCTCAAGTGATCTTCCAGCCTCAGCCTCCCAAGCAGCTGGGACTACAGGTGCGTGTCACCACGCACATCTAATTTTTTTTTTTTTTTAATTTTGTAGAGGCAGGGTCTCACTTTGTTGCTCAGGCTGGTTCTCCATGTTCTTAATTGTTTTTCTGGAGGCTACACCTGCCTTTCTTTTCCCAACCTCTCTTTCCCCTTCACACTCACCCCCTTCATTTTTCGGAGCGTCTTCTAGCAAATGCATACAGCTGCTCAGATCCAGTCAGGGCATGTTTAACTTGATAGGTTTGGTCCCAGACATTAATTCAGATTAGGCTGTGCCTGGGACTATCTGAGGAAGGCTGTGTCACACCACTCCTGGGCTTGCCGGCTCATACCTCCTTTCTCCCAGCCCTGGCATTAAATCCCCAGAACTTTGAGGCCTCAAGTGCACAGTTGTAAGCCTAAAGGTTCTCAGCTCCCGAAGGAGTGGAGGGATGAATGGGGGTGGGCAGGGAAGAATCCAAGCCCCCTTTCTATCACTTGTTAGCTGTGGGTTCTTGAGCAAGTTAATTCCTGCTTTGGATTTTTTTTTTTTTTTTTTTAAAGACAGGGTCTGATTCTGTTGCCCAGGTTGGAGTGCAGTGGCGCCACTCTAGCTTACTGTATCCTCAAACTCCTAGGCTCAAGCAATCCCCCTACCTCAGCCTCCTGAGTAGCTGGGACTACAGGCCACCATGCCCAGCTAATTTTTTCTATTTTGTAGAGACAGGGTGTCGCTATGTTGCCCAGGCTGGTGTCAAACTCCTGGCCTCAAGCTATCGTCCCATCTCTGCCTCCCAAAGTGTGGTATTATAGGCATGAACCACCATGTCCAGTCTTCTTTTAAATCTTAAAAAAACAAAGCAAAGCCTGTGAGTTGAGCCAGCTGATCCCTAATTCCCAGTTAAAATGTCTCAGATCGAAGGGAGGGCAAGAATGATGTAGGCCAAATCATTAAACACTTCAGATGCAAACAAAGGCCCTAGTGGTCACCTGGAACGGGCACAGCCTCCTGCCTGCTGCGATGAGTCCCTCCCCATTGAAGGGTGCAGAAAGGAGAAGAGGACGCCTGTTTTTATTCCATAAAAATGCCAGGCCTTTGTTAACAAGCATTAATCTACATGAGGAGTTCAAGGATAATCACTCTGCCTCCTGAAATGAGAAATTCATTAGTTTTAGGAATAAGGTGGCCTTTCTTTCCAATAAAAAGCAGAGAAGAAAGGTTTCCATAACAACAGTGGTTTGGGAAGAAAGCTTTTTGGTACTATAGGAAAAAAAATCTCAATTATCTGAGTACTTATCTTCTCTTTCTCTTGACTGTATTTGCTACCGATGACTCACTAGGCCAAGCCTGCGGGGGTGAGTGAGCGAGAGCCAGCCGTAGGAGTGAGGAAGGGAAGAAAGTCAATGAATAAAAACCAAATGTTCGTTTTCAGCATGTAGGGAAAGGCTGCATATTAAGACATTTAAATCATAGTCTGACACAGGACTTGGAGGCTGTGTGGCATGGTGGGTTATTTCAACATAAGCTATTATTTCTTATGATCTTCACAAGTCACTTTCAGGTCAAGAAGCCAAAAGCTCAGGGAGGTGAAGTGACTGAGTCAGGGTCAAAAGGGTAGATAGTTGCAGCTCCAGAACCAAGCCCAGGCCTTGCGGTGCCCAGCAGAAAATGTCTGTCTAGCGTCAGAGTTCCCTGCTGGGACTGTGCCTGCCCTCCAAGCCAAGACCCATCGCAGTTGAACAAGTTGGGTTCCTTACTCACACCGTGACCTCAGCCAAGTCATTTGATGTCTTGGAACTTCAAGTTCCCTCTCTGTATGTGGGATAAGAGCACTCGCCCTGCCTGAGTCCCAAACAAGGGAACTAACGATACCACTCACCACCATACACCGTAGGCGATCACCTATAGCTCTCCAGGGACTCTGGTGAGTCCTCTAAATGTACTGGGTCGCTTCACGCTCACAGCAGCTGCATTGGCTGAGTATCATTGGTATGCCCATGTCATGAGCAAGGAAAGCGAGACTGAGGAGTTCATGCTCTGTGCCCAGCTACATAGCTCATGAGTGTTAGAATGCTTTGCAATCACTAAACTGTCATGTCCACCGTATAAATGCACTCAGGCTGCTGATATTCAGGAATCTAGCAATAGTGAGAAGAGATCTGACCTTGCTCCCACCCCAGTGAGCAGGGGCCAGAGGTGGCTGTTCCACCTCCCTGAATCTCACTTTCCTGTTCTGCTGAGCTGGGTAGCTGTAGCTATGAGGATCAGAGATGATGCCTCTCCCTCTCCCCCCAGCAGAGGTCCCCGTGGACAATCAGGTCACTGCAGCGATGTTGATGAGGTCATTGGCTTTGCTATTGTGCTTTTGTGTGTCCTCCCCTCAGTGGGAGTCAGTCACTGTCCACTGCACCTCCTCAGAGAGTATGCAGGTCACTAAAGAAGAGACAGGAGCAGAGATATAGCCACAGGTAGGCTTTGTCTGGGGTCACAGACAGAGGAGGGCCACTAGGGAAGATGCCACAGCTCATACTCAACTGGCCCTCTTGAAATGTGAGCAGCCCTACACCCCTGTGAAACCTTGATTTTGTTTTATGTTAATGATCCAGAGCTTGTCAAGCACAAAAATCTCATCCCCGCAAGTGCTGCTCCTGGGAATTCCCAATTCCCACTGCCAGTTCTTCTTTCTTAAGGGAGTGAGGAGGGCGAAGGGAAAGAGGAAGAGGGAGAGGCAGAGGCCAGCAGCAGGGCTCAAGGTCATGGCTGTCTTTGGCAGAAATCGCTGCCAATACATTTAATCTTGACTGTGAAACTCTGCAGGCCTGTCAGCTCCCTCGGATGAGAATCCTCAGCAATGGCTGAAGACTCGCCTGTTCCTGTTCTTCCTTTCTTGATTTCAGATGTTCGTGGGCCTCCTGTTTTGGTTCCAGTTTTTCTGTGGCTTCTCTGCATCTACCATGATTGACCAGTGGTATCTAATCTTCTTTAATCTGCTCTTCTCGTCACTTCCCCCGCTCGTGACTGGGGTGCTGGACAGGGATGTGCCAGCCAATGTGCTGCTGACCAACCCGCAGCTCTACAAGAGTGGCCAGAACATGGAGGTAAAGCTCCCCCGAGTCTCCGCCTTCCACCTCCTGAGCTCTGCCCTCCACGTTCACTCTTCCAAAGTGCCAGTCCCCCAGCCTCCCTTCAGATGGACACCCTGGACAAACTGAAATTCTAGAATTCACCATTCTAGAGGATGGAGAAAAAGGGCTGCCCTCTGCTTGGCTGCAGTGCATCAAGTGTTGTAAGCGAAACTGTCCCCCCTCCAAGAGTCTCCAGGAGCCCAAGAAAAGCCCAGAGTCCAGTCAGTCACAGGGGATCACTGAAGCTAGAGGGGGGATTTTTCTAAAGCAAGGAAGAAAATGTGACTTATTTTGAACGGGAATTAACAAGAAGACAAACCCACAAGGAAGCCACTGAGCCACTGAAAGAGCAAATAGATTTAAATACATACTGGCATTAATATACCACATAGATTCACACACTGATGACCAGCTGTTTCTAGCCAGCCATTAAAATAGACAGCAAGTGCTTTTCTTTGCCTTGAATTATTCCATGTGGGCAAAAAGAACATGGAGTCTCATTTCTCCTGCAATAATCCCTAATTCCAGATTCATTCACTGATGAGTTAACTTCCCCTGGCCACCTCTGAGAATGTTCAGTTCCCACAGAAGCAGGCCGCATGCACGGGGTGCCAGGAGGCGAAGGGCCAGGGAGGGGAGCAGGGCCTCTGCTTGTTATCTGTTGCTTCAGGGGAGTTCCCATCCTTGGCCAGGCCTCAGCCTCCTCGGCCACCTGTGGGACAAAGACGCTGGGAGTGTGTCCTGTCCTGTGGAATTAAGTGGCCCACAGGAAGAGCCTAGCCAGCACTTTCCCTAAGTGCTCAGCCAGAGCTCCTTCCCCAGTGTGTGTTTCCTGCAGGTCCCGTGCCAGCTGCTCTGGTACTTGGCAGGGTCAAATACACATTTGGTCACCCGGGTAATAGAGACTCTATTCATCTATATCAAGGTTATTTTCATTTCTGCCCATGGGTATATAGCTGTTTGCTTTTAACATTGGGACACATCCATCGTGTAATTTTAAAAGTGAAGACTCGCTCTTAAGAAACATTCTAAGGGACCCACCACCAAGAGAGGCAAAAACTGGTCAAAGTGGAAGGAATAGAAGGGCTCAAACTGGGGGAGAATGCCCGGAATTTCAGGTGCTATTCCTACTTCCTACTTGAGAGACATGTTCCCTGGGAAGATGCAGAAAGCAGTTTCATCTTTTTTTTTTTTTTTTTTTTTTTAAGACAAGGTCTCGCTCTGTCACCCAGGCTGGAGGGCAGTGGTGTGATCTCGGCTCACTGCAAGCTCCGCCTCCCGGGTTCACGCCATTCTCCTGCCTCAGCCTCCTGAGTAGCTGGGACTACAGGCGCCCACCACCATGCCTGGCTAATTTTTCTATATGTTTAGTAGAGACGGGGTTTCACCATGTTAACCAGGATGGTCTCGATCTCCTGACCTCATGATCCGCCCACCTGGGCATCCCAAAGTGCTGGGATTACAGGCGTGAGCCACCGCACCCAGCCAGTTTCATCTTTTTACTGTGAACCTGGAGCTACTGAAGCTCGTCTTTTTGGTGCAGGTGTTCCCAGTGAGTGACGCAGCTGCAGATAGTTTTGTAGGTGTTTGGTAGTGCTTTTCATCGGGCCTCTGGGGCCTCGCGTCTCCAAAAGTCCTGAGAGAGTGAGTTTTCCTTGGGTGCTTGCCTTGTGCATTAACTTACGTGTAGCATCCTAGGAAATGTCATTCGAGGTGTCAACCTAAATAGCAAACAGAGAGAGGCTCTCTAAAAGAGAATGGTGTTTATTCGGGAATAGGGCACTGCAATGGGAATGTGTGTGCTGTAGTAAGCTATGTGCATATTTAGCGAGGTAAAGGAAGACAAATGTATTTAAAGGAAAAAATTTCATGATCGTTTTGAGATGCTCTTTCCTTGACTACAAGGATAAACGACAAAGATGGTGCCTGTTTGAGGTTGGACAGACAGTTGCTGGGCACATGTCCTTATAGATATATTTTTCTGTGGATATGATCATTTTTGTTATCAGGTATTTATGCATGAGAACCCTCCCTTCATGGCCTTTCCCAGCTCTACTCCTCAGGGTGGGTTTTTGTTGTTATTGTTGTTGTTTTTAACACAAGTGACTCCATTTTTATTCTAACTGCTTTCACAGAGGATGCCAATGCTTCACTGTAACATCACTGATTGTTTTTGTGTCCCAGGAATACCGGCCACGAACGTTCTGGTTTAACATGGCCGACGCCGCCTTCCAGAGCCTGGTTTGCTTTTCCATTCCTTACCTGGTAAGTTGGCCCCTGGGTGCAGTTTTTCTTACCAGCTGGATCCGGGGACCTACAGATCCAGGACCCCACTGTCTTTCAGGCCTACTATGACTCGAACGTGGACCTGTTTACCTGGGGGACCCCTATTGTGACAATCGCGCTGCTCACTTTCCTGCTCCACCTGGGCATTGAAACCAAAACCTGGGTAAGAGCCGCCTGCATGGCCACGTCTCAGAAGAGCACTGATGCCGTGGACCCCACACTTCCCTGCAGATTCATGAGGTCTGGGAGGTCGTTTTGAGTAGACAGGAGACTGCAAAGCTGACCTCAGTGTGATGAGAAGGACAATGACACATTCCCGAGCCCTGTGGTGTGGGGAGCCGCTGCAGCCTGATGCTCGCACTTCCCCGGCCATGCTCATCTCCCTCCCGCCTCTTTCCCGCTTCCACCACCACATTCTCTCCTTTCCCTCCTGTCTTGCCCTCTCGCCCCTGACTCCATCTCACCTCATGTGCATCTCCCAGGGCGGTCCATGGGTTCTGGAGGCCTCATTGAGCCCCACCGGTTACCCGCGTCATAGACCGCAGTGTGTCTGAAGGCCTCAGAACCTCACACCTGCTCATTGATGACTGGCACGTTTTTGTTATTGTCATTGTTGTCACTTTTAGGTGGAAATAAAAGCCCTTTCTTTCTCATTCCCCCTCAGACCTGGCTCAACTGGATAACGTGTGGCTTCAGTGTCCTTTTGTTTTTCACCGTGGCTTTGATTTACAATGCGTCTTGTGCCACGTGCTATCCTCCGTCCAACCCTTACTGGACTATGCAAGCCTTACTGGGTGACCCAGTGTTTTACTTGACTTGCCTGATGACGCCTGTCGCTGCACTGCTGCCCAGGTGGGTGTCGGAGCGGGATAGTGCCTCTGAGCCCCGAGTGAGCCCAGACGACATTGGCATTGCTTCTGCTCTATGTGGGTCTCTGGAAGCTCAAAGACACCACCGACAGGAATATCTAACTTTTTGTTTTAATGTACTTTTTCTAGATTGTTTTTCAGATCCCTCCAGGGGAGGGTTTTCCCCACACAACTTCAGCTGGCACGTCAGTTGACCAGGAAGTCCCCCAGGAGATGCAGTGCTCCCAAAGAGACCTTTGCTCAGGGACGCCTCCCGAAGGACTCGGGAACCGAGCACTCATCAGGGAGGACAGTCAAGACCTCTGTGCCCCTGTCCCAGCCTTCTTGGCACACACAGCAGCCGGTCTGCTCCCTGGAGGCCAGCGGGGAGCCCAGCACAGTGGACATGAGCATGCCAGTGAGGGAGCACACCCTGCTGGAGGGGCTGAGCGCACCGGCCCCCATGTCCTCTGCGCCAGGGGAGGCTGTCCTGAGGAGTCCAGGAGGGTGTCCTGAGGAGTCCAAGGTGAGAGCTGCCAGCACCGGCAGGGTGACCCCCCTGTCTTCCCTCTTCAGCCTGCCTACCTTCAGCTTACTCAACTGGATTTCCTCCTGGTCGCTGGTCAGCAGGCTGGGGAGTGTCTTACAGTTCTCCCGGACGGAGCAGCTTGCAGATGGACAAGCGGGACGTGGACTTCCTGTCCAGCCCCACTCAGGCCGATCAGGACTTCAAGGGCCAGACCACAGACTACTTATAGGAGCATCTTCAAGGCGGTCACAGTGAAAACCTTGAAATGGCCTTTTTTAATATATATAAATAAATGTTAATATTATTTATGTTTATTATTTGCACAGAAGAGTTCTAGGGAGATGTATTTCTAAATGTTTCCCAGGCTAATACAGGAAACAAGAGGTACCAAAAAAGAAAGTTTATTTTTTAAAATTCTAAGTAGAGTATATTGAAAAGAAAAAGAAGAGCCTTAACATATATAAAAGTTTAAAGAAGAGTAACACTTGAAAAGTGTGTTTAGATTTATTTTTTCATCTCATTTTTAAGAACAAGCAGTACGATTTGTTTTCTTCAACATGTGTGACTGCGCACTGAGTACAAATGTGTGACTGCTCATGGTTAATGCAGGCAGGTGTGAACATGGGGGAACAATGAGCAGAGATGGCAGAGGGCAGAGCACATGGCCCCCAGAGGCTTCCAGTCTCACTGACACAGGAGGGCTGGGCTCCACTTCATCCAGATGAAGGAAAGGAAGACCTCAAGAAAAATTCACAGTTGAGTGCATCCCAGCATTCTGTTCCGGGCAGGCATTTCAGGAAGACCGCCTTGTAGGTATTACATCCCTGGTGTCGTATTTTGCCTGTTAAATCGTAACAAGCAATAAACAACTTTCACTTTGCAAAGACAGTGTGTCCAGTTACCACTGGTGTATGAAATGATTAATACCTGACCTCACAGAGTATGATCTCAGGGCACTTCCGTAAGGCAAGTCCTTTTAGAGGCTATGAAGAAAACAGCTGCATGGCACATACCAAAGCTGCTGCACAGCTGGCCACCATGGCACCCTGCACCAGGCCATCAGCACCACGTGCCAAGGAGCTCAGCGGTCTTCAGGCATTTTTGTAATGAGCCATTAGTTCTGTCCCTCTAAAACTAGAAAAGGAAGGGCAGGAAATGATAACAACCCAAGGCAATGATATGGCATGTCATCTTCCGAGCCCTTCTTTCTACTTTGTCAAACAGTTCTTAGTTGCTGGCTCTGCTCGGCACCGGGACTGTGAAGGGTGTACTCCCTGCTGTGTGGGAGGGACCTAGGGCCTCTTTGGATGCTGTCTTCGAGGACAGCAATGCAGAGAGGGCATAGGATCTGAGGACAAGGAAATTCCTCAGCATGGCGTATCAGGAAAGCATGGCTCATTCTGCAATGAGCCATGAGTGTGGGCCATCGCAAGTCACAGAAAATGCACCTCATTCCAGTCAAGCAGAAAAACAGGCACAGGCTCAGTGTAGGTCCCAAGAGAGGGTGCCTGGACTCAGCAACTCAGACCTGGGCTTTTCTCCCAGCTTTCAGGGACAGCTTTGTCCTGAGTCTGCCTCTGTTCACGGGGATGCTTGGCTGGAGTCACCCCCAGGACTTATCCATGCATCACTATTCAGAAGACACAGAGGGCCCCTCTCTCCACATTCCAAACAGAGTCCTGGTTTCCTCAGCCTCACCCTGCATAGCTTGCACAACATCCTCAGAACCATTCACTGGCAAATGGAGGGGAACGTGCTGACTGGGACTCCCAGCTGGAGCTGGGAGGAGAGGTCCACTTCCCTTAGAACACCTGAGCTGCTGCATGAGTGGACGTCAGAAGAATCTCTATGCCCTGTTAAATGGGGAGACAAAGGGGTGGTGGGGGCTTCAGCCAGTGATTTCGGACCGAAGGTGACAGCCGTCCCAACCCTGCCCAGCCTGATGCCACCTCCTCTGTTCTTGGAACAACGCATAGGAAAAGAATCTCCTTTGGAAGGTGACACTGCTCCCTGAATTAAGGTAATGGTTGCGAGCACCAAGTACAAGGACTAGACGCATATTTACCTGCGTATCTGAGAGTTCCAGATTCCCAGCTTCCAGATGATCCTTGCACAGACAACCTACCTTCTTTCCAGAGGATGTCTTTCTCCTCTGGAGAGTAGATGCTTGCTCTTGGGAAACGGAATGACCTTGGCGCTGGCTTCAGGAATATGCATCCCACAGCCAGTTTAGAGAAATACATGTTGTAAATGGCATTGACAGCTGCTCTTTAGGATGGGGAGTATTATGGAAATCCACAATAACAATCTATGGCAAGCAACTAAGTTTGGTGTCAAAATGAACATAATATGGGGGCGAACTTCATGATTATCTCAAAAAAGCAGTAGGTGAAATAGGTTACCAAATCCTAATAACAAATCTAAAATAAGTAGGAAGGCTGGCTTCCTGAGGCTTGGTAACAAAATAGCTGGGTTAGTCATTTGACATTGTACAGTGTGCCCAGCTCAAAGTCAAAATCAATTAATTCTAAGTTCTCGGAGGTCAGATACTATGTCCTCTTCACTTTGGATCCCTGGCACCTTGCACAGAACCTAGCAGTTTGAATGTGCTGAGAAAATGTTTGAAGAATCAAAGAATGAGTGGTAATCCTGAAACACTGAAGGCATTCCTGTGATAATCAGAGGTAAAGGACAATTGCTTGCAGTAACCCATTATGATTTAATATTTTCTGTAATCTCTGGCTAATATGACAAGACATGCATTCTTCAAAAGAAGGCATGTGAAGTATAAAGATAGTGGGTTGAAAGTAAAAGGATGCAAAAGGATTTAATATATAAACAATATGTAAAAGAAAGGAGACATAATTATATTAATATCAGACAACATAGACTTCAGGCCATAAAGAGGGACCTGAAAATGATAAAAAGGCCTTCTCAGGACATGAGAATCGCCCAAGTGATGTACTCCTAATAACCAGAGCTTTAAAATACGTGAAACTCAAATTTACAAAAAGGAGAAATAGACAAATCACAAATATACCCAGACTGTCTTTCAGTCATTTATAGAATAGATAGAGAAAAAGTGGGTGTAGGAGTTAGAGAGACATAGGCAATGTCCTTATTTGTGACTAGAAAATGCAGGCCCCAGCTGTAAGTGTGCATGGCTGCAAGTGCTTGGATGTAACTACAAGCAGAGCTTCTCCCCTGCACATGGAAGTGGCCCAAGCCAAGCAAGGCCAGGGAGGCGCGGGGAGAGGTGCAAAGTGCAGAGAGGAGCAGGGAGAGAGACCTGGGAGAGGAGTGAGCACAGAGAGGGTCCCGGCTCCCTGACTCATTGGCCAGGAGGCACCTGCCCTCATCGTATCTGTGCCTTCGGTAAGGGGCCGGGACTCAGCTTTGCCCTCCTCCTGCTTTCCTCGCATCTCTACTGAAAATGCACCTGTTTGGACCTGTTACCTCGAAGGCATGAAGACTTTCATAAGTGTTCACCCTGCCACTGCTGCAGAGCCCATGTCCAGGGGAGCTTCCCACACTCAGGGTGAGGGCACATTTGTGGATCACAAAATCAACTTTGTCACCACCAGCTTTTTGGTCCCTTCCTTTCCCCTCCTCCTCTCCCTCCCCTTTCCCCTCCCCTTCCCCTTTCCTTTCCAACGGGGTCTCATTCTGTTGCCCAGGCTGGAGTGCAGGGGTGTGATCACAGCTCACTGCAGCCTCTACCTCCCGGGCCCACAGGGTCCTCCTGCCTTAGCCTCCCAAGTAGCTGGGACTATAGGCACCTGCCACCATGCCCGGCTAATTTTTGTATTTTTTGTATAGATGGGCTTTCGCCGTGTTGGCCAGGCTGGTCTCAAACTCCGAGGCTCAAGCAATCTGCCTGCCTTAGCGTCCCAAAGTGCTGGGGTTACAGGTGTAAGCCAGCGCCGCCTGACCTTGTTTTTCTTTAATGAAATGATGGCCTTTGGTGGTCTGAGCAAGCTCTGGGGAAGACAGCCTGGTTGCTCCCTCCCTCCCAGCCCCTGGGGTTCATCTCACTCAGAAGGGAAGCCATCTCCAGGGCCTCTCAGTGGTGTGGCTGCTGTTACACGGGCCCTGAGATCCCCACCCAGAGGATCTTCCTGTTGCAACTCCTTTTTTATCTCAACCTAGCCTGTTCTCACACAACGTCAACCTGGTGTCTTACTGAATGAATCCCTTCTCATGTTTGTATTTAAAAGCACTAAAATACTTTCGAACTACTTGACCTTAGTTTATACCTAACCTGGGGCAAGTGTTTTGGAACAACAGAAGTGACAAGAGTGCTTACAGGACGCTTAGAATGGTACTGCTGTTCTCTGGTCCTCATTAATCAAACCACAGCTGGAGGCCTTCGCTGGAAAGTGTACGACATGGCTCAGACTTGGGATGGCACAAACCAACACCTTCTGAGCCAGGCCCAGGCTCAGGCCCAACCAGTACACGATGTGCCTCCAACTTTGCCGGGAGACCATCCGCGGCTTCCAAAATTCCCCGAGCAGCGTGCGCACACCCACAGCCATCCAGCCAGGGCAGACTTCGGCCGGCTCTTAAGGTTTTCTTCCTAATGAGGAATTTTCAGCATCCTCAGTTCTTGTTTAAAATGGCACACAAAGCCCAGGTTGTTCCCTGAACTGCAAACCTGTCTGCTTTTCACCTTTTCCCAGCCTCTCTGGCTGGAGGGCGACAGCAACCCAGGTGAGACTGGGGAGGCCCCAGGCCCCGGGCTGTCCTCCCATTTCCCTTCCAGCTTTCAGCACAGCTGCCTTCTCTAATGCCACAGGCAGATTCGTGCTTTACTGCAGAAAGTGGTATTTCCTAGCTCATAATTTAATTATTTTAGAAAAGGCTATCTTTTTAGTTTTACAGATGTTAACTTTGCATCTCAAAGTTAAATGACAAAAAAATAATAAATAATGTAAGACAGACCAGCTGTCCAGCAAATAATCCAGAGAGAAATGCAAAAATGTTCTGGACAGCCAGGGCTGACCCATCTATGCCTTCAGAATGAAGCTGTGAAGTTTCTTTTTATTTATTTATTATTCCCGAAGCCGTGAATTTTAAAGAGGCCTGGCCAGGGACACAATCACTAAATAAAACAAAGAAGGGGATCCTGACTAGCTGGGCCGTCTGAGTTAACCAGACGTCATTTATTATCAACAGCAGTCCCTACGCTGGGAAGACAGCAGAGGTGTGTAGACAGGTAGTGCCAAGCGTCTTTCTCATCCTGAATCTCCTTTGTCCAAGCTCAAGGCCTGTGATGAAGACTCACTCTCAGGCCTTTGGGGTACAAGAGGCTGCCATGGTTATTCTGTTTGGAAAACACTTCCAGAGCCCTGACCCCACGGTGCATGGGTGGCTCTGCCTCATCACCCAGCAAGCCTGAGGGGACCTGGGTGAGCTTCTTCTTTGCCCTCCAACCCTGCAGGGGCGTCAGGGCACCATGCAACTCATGCCCACATGCACTTTGATGGAGAGCGTCCCAGGCTGGGGACACACACCAAGGCTTGCCATCACGTTCTTTTCATCAGTGTAACAGCGGTAACTGTCCAGGGACACGCAACCTCCTTGTCTCCCATCACACTCCGTGGCCCAAACACAGCACAGCTGGAGCCGGGAAATATCCACTAGGTGAATGCCCATCACTGCTACACACTCACAGCTGTCTCCCTCGGCACCTGCACACGCAGGACAGCTCTGGACAGGTGGGGCACTGAGGCAGCCCAGCCAGGCTGCCAAGACAGGGCTAAGAAGCCCAGTGGAAATTGTGGATTTCACCAAAGACTCCCAGAGAGAAGCATTGCCATCCCCTCCCTTCTTTAAATGCAAAGAAAAAAAAATAGTTTGTTGTTCTCAGGACTTCTGGGCATGGCAGTCTCAAAAATGAGCCAAAGCAGACAAGAAAGGGCATGCAAGGCCTTCTCTGGGTGACAGTGACGAAGGGTGAGTCCTTCAGAACGCTCTACTCTGGAAGCCCGGCCCACTGCAGAGTGACATCTCCGTCACTTGGAAGGGCAACGTCGTCCCCCAGCTGTCGGGTCCAGTTCATGCTTGTGAAAGTCCTATGTGTGTGGCCACACATGTGAGGACACATTAGAGTAGTTTGAAACTGAAGAGAGCAAATTGCAGAATGAGGACAGTTCTGACAGAAATGTACCTCTTTTGCAGCTGATGTAGCTGAAAGCCATTGGCTGCTGCACGGGAGCAGCAGTTGTATAAGACCGACACCCAGGAAGCCCCACCTCTCCTCGACGCTTGTTTGAAATTTCTGCCAAGGAGTGTCCATGACAGTGGGTAGCAGGGGCCTCCTCCGCCCCTGCCCAGCGCATAGGGGGAGTCCAGCAGGTTTTGCCTGAGCTACCTCGCTCAACCGGAGTGGGCTGCTCCTGTAAAACCCACCCTCCACGTTGGAATGAGATTCCAGTTCATCCTGACGGCTGACCACTGGAGTGGCAGCCCACCCTGCAGCCCTCAGAGCCCCTGAGGGGCCCTGGGTATGGTTTTGCATGCTGCTCACTGGCCCTGCTCATTGGCCCTTGCCCCTGTGACCCTCCTTCTCCTCGTCCCACCCCAGGATGTTACGCTTGGGATGTGGCCGTGCACACATCCGTACAAGTGTCTCAGGAGCAGTGACCACAGGTTAGTCCTTAAACTAGTAACCCTCCGCACACCTCGTCTTGCCCTAGGACCCCTTCTCCCTCCCAGGCACCATGATTTCCCTTACCCTCGGTCTACCCTCGAAAACAACCACCAAACATATCCTACAAGAGTTTTTTCCATTGTTTTGGTAATCATTCATATAAAATCTCATAACAAGGATAGTCAAGGCATACTCAACATCACTAATCAATAGAGAAAGACAAAACCACAGTGAGATAGCACCTCACCCCCATTAAGAAGGCTTTCTGGATCATTTAAACAATGAAGAAATGACAAGAGCTGGTGAAGATGTGGAAGCTCCAGAGCCCTGTGCACTGCTGGAAGGAATGCAAAATGGCACAGCTGCTGTGGGAAACAATGTGGCAATTCCTCCCAAAATTAAAGGCAGAATGACCATCTGATCCAGCAGTTACAGTTCCAGGTACCTACCCAAGCAATTCAAAGCAGGGACTCACACAGATATTTACACTGCCATATTCATAGCAGCATTCTGCACAATAGCCAACAGATAAACATAGCCCATGTCGGCCGACAGATGAATGAATAAACAAAAATATGGACTCTACATAGAAGGGGATATTATTCCGTCTTAAAAGGAGGGAATGTCTAACACATGTACAACACAGATGAACCTAGAGGACAGGAAACTGAGTGAAGGAGGGCAGTCACGAAAGGACGGGCCGGGCACGGTGGCTCACGCCTGTAATCCCAGCACTTTGGGAGGCTGAGGCTGGTGGATCACCTGAGGTCAGGAGTTCGAGACCAGCCTGGCCAACATGACGAAACCCCGTCTCTACTAAAAATACAAAAATTAGCTGGCGTGGTGGTGGACGCCTATAATCCCAGCTACTTGGGAGGCTGAGGCAGGAGAATCACTTGAACTCAGGAGGTGGAGGCTGCAGTGAGCCGAGATCGTGCCGTTGCACTCCAGCCTGGGCAACAAGAGTGAAACCCCTTCTCAAACAAACGAAAAAAATAGGACAGATGATGTGACTCCACCTACATGTGGTGCCTAGAGTAGTCAAACTTGTGCAGACAGGAAGTAGAATGGGGGTGGCCAGGAGCTGGAAGGGGAAAGGGGAGTTCGTATTTAATGGGCACAGAGTTTCCATTTAGGTTGATGAAAAAGCTCTGCGATGGATGGTGGTGCTGGTTGCACAACAGCATGAAGGTACTTCAGGCCCCGGAACCAACTATATGCTTTAAAGCGGTTAAAATGATACATTTGATGTATGTGCAAGTTACCACAACAATTTTTTAATTAAAAAAAAAAGAGGCAAGAGCACCTTAGGGAATACAATTTTAGATCAAAATATTTTCAAAGCACTCGATTCCGAGACAGAGCTCAGAGAGGCTTCCAGAGCCTCCAGCCTGAGCCTGCTTGGTGGCAGGGCTTGCCTCATCACCCTTCACTTTCAGAGCCTCTGAAAGTTCATCTCCTTGTAAAATCAACATGACAGCAAATGTGTCTGCTCTGACTGGGAAACCCTGAGTAACTTGTTGGAACCCAGGTGGCCATAAATCTCTGTCCTGAGTTATGGCCGGAGATGCAGGAAACACGTGGATGTGGAGGTCCAGTGCAAGTCATTCTGCTATTTTTAGCTCCCACTTTCTCTCAGAGAAAACTGGGGGCTGACAGCCAGGGGCTCGGAAGCCATCAGAAGAGCCACGCTGGGCAGGACAGCTCCCCTGGGGCACCCGGCCGGCCTCTGCAGACATAAACTGGGACACCTTCCCCAACCCTAAGCCAGACACTTCTGCTGTACACACACTGTATTTCCTTTGCAGGAACTACTGCCTCATGATAGCATCTTGTATACTTTATACTCGCTTCTTATTTCTCTGCCCCTTATCCCCTCCCTTCCCACTAAGATGGGGAGTTTCCATCTCAAAAATCCCATACAAGAAATGAGAGAGGAGAGAGAGGGAGAAATTATCTGATAGACGAGACAGTATTTTTCACGGTTAATTGAGGATGATTTTCATAACTGGCAAATGTCATTTTGATCTTCGCTATTAGAACATCTGCACCATCTCACAACAGGAAGCACAGCTATATTCCTTGGGATTTACCTATTCTTAGAACTAAGAGCACACATTCCACCAGCTGTCTCGTGTTGAAAATGTTAGCTTTCCAAATCCACGCAATTGGATTGAGCGTTTATAAATAGATTCAATAAAAGGAGGTTCCATTAGGTCTATACACTAAAACTGGAATTTTTTAAAGATCCTCCAAGGCCCCTTTTATTTGGTCTGTTCTTGAATCATGCCCTGAGAGCAAACCATGCAGTTTTATTGCTGAAGATAATATACATTGTTTTTTGAAAAAAGAAAGGTAATACGATATTCCTCTGTGTGAAGAAGGAGCTCAATTCTCGGCTACACCTAAGCATGCAGCCGCATAGTGATCCCTTGAAAGGAAGTGTACGTGACACATTCAGAGACTGGGAGCCCTCCTGCTGGAAGAGGCTGTGTACACAAAGCCTGGTCTCTGCAGGGGCTTGGGGAGAGGTCTTCACAGCCCCCGAACCCAGGAAATGCCCCCCCGCCCCGGCATTCCTCAATGCACATTCCAGATTTATCAGAAGGCACTGGAGTTAAAGGAAAAGCAAGCCTGCGGTGTATTCCAGTGACATATAAGAATAAGCCAATGCTTCTGGTGTGCCGCAATTTCATCAGTGCTCTCCTAACGCTGCTCTGAACCCTACAGGAAAAATCGTGCCTCCCTGAGCTGTAGAGTGTGAGGCTCTAGGCTATTTTCAGCCTGGATTTCTCACGCGGGCTGGCCACGTGGGGCTGCGGCTGCTGCTGTCTGCAGCCTCCCTGCTGGGGATCCTGCACAAGGAACCAGGATCACATGTCCCCTCCCTCTGGTGGTTCCCTCGTTCCCTCCCCCAGCCCTGACAGGGATTCCCAAATCCAGCCAGGGGTGGGAATCAAATGCAGAGACCCCAGCCCAGGGCTAAGAGTGGTCTCTTTAAATGAGGATGTTGTCTCCAAGACAACTGTCCCATGTTTTCCTAAATGCACATATATATGTAGTTACATATAATCACCTTTTTTAAAAAGCTGTTTCCATGTGCTCTTATTAAGCATAGCACAGTGTAAAGCACAGTCTAGCAAAGTGATGGTGAGTGAGTGCCCACAGGCTGAAGGTGCATGTAAGTAACCTCTGAGAGGGCTTTACCAAATGCCACCCTCAAACACACACACACACACACACACACACACACACACACACACACCATGGCTATACGTGTGCTCGGTATGCGGCTTTAACAAAAGTGTTTAAGATGGAGATGATATGAACTTGGTTCTCTCGAAGCAGAAGCACCAAGGTTTCTCTGTGTGGCAGCTTGGTTCTTACACAGTTAGGTGGAGGGAGGAGCAGCTGGATGCTAACCGTATTCTTGGATCTAAATAAATGTATTTTATACACGGTTTCATCTCTGCCTGCATCCCTATGCTTTGGAGTCAGCTGACTGCGGTGTGGGGAGGCTGGGATAGGAATTCAGGTCCTTCCCTTAGGGCCATTAGATCGGCCACCTAATGTGATGTGACACCCACACATTTCAAAACCAAATGAACCAGCACCCTCCAAGCGCCTGCCTGACGTGTCTCTCATGATGAGGCAGACATCCATCAAAGTGATTTATGCAGATGGACCGCCTCAGCCCTCACAAAAGCCTGTAAAATTTATTCTAATTTCACCCAATGTGCAGATGGGAAACATCAAGTCCCAGAAAGGGTAATTAACGTGCTCAGGTCACATGGCAGTAGCGGTGCAGCTGGGACTAGAGCCCAGGCAGGCTGGTGCATGAGTCTTCCTGACTACATTCTAGGATCTTGGTGGAGGAAAGGTTCTGCAAACAGGAATTTCCACATGTAAGTCAAAAATATGAATTCCATTTGTGCATAGACATACCGATTGTCTTTCTCAAATCCTGGCCTTTGGAGATAAATTAAAATAAACACTTTAAAGGTAATTCCTGTGGGCCCCATGTTATTTCTAAATCAGGGTTCATGTGGCACCTACTGTTTAATTCAATTCACTCATCCATTCATTCACGCATTCAACAAATGTGCACTGAGAAGCACGCCTGTGCCAGGCCTGGGTGCCCCTGCAGCACCCTCAGTGCGCTCACGGCTTCACACTTGGGCCCTGTCCTGGGTACGTTTGGTGCGTTACTGGAGACACGAGCTTTGTGTCAGGTGTGTCAACAAGCGCTGCGAAGGGGCCACATGGGGCAGAGGCTGGCATTGGTGGGGGAGGAAGGGAGGGCAGGCTGGGGTGGGGGGAGCTAAACCAGAGTGGGTGAGAATGTGATCTTGGCATCAGGAGAAGGCACTGGGCTTGGACCCAAAGCAAAGTAACAAGAAGGGGCTTAGCATAGTGGAGTTGTGTGGGAGGGAAGGAAGAAAGGAGGGATGAGGGAGGGAGGGAGGGAGGGAGGGACGGGTTTGCCCCAGGGCTCCAGACATACACAGAGATAAACACAGTGGTATGCACCATGAGGACAAAACTGGGACCAGCAAATGTGGTGGATTTTCTCTAGAATCATCTGCCCTTCCTGCCCGTCTGCTCTCACCCACTGGGTAGCAGGAACAATTTAATGTTTATCCCGTCCCCTCCAAGCAACTCTTCGGGCTGCTCCTCAGTAGGGCTGCTTCTCCTTGCTCTCATCCCCAAGTCTCCTCACCCTGCCCAGCCTTTAAGACGAACCTTGGCTCTGTGAGGGGAAGGTTTTGCAAGGATTGGGGCGGTGGGGGCTCCTGGACCCACTGGAAGGTGTGCTAGGACTGTCATCCACGTGTACAGGCTGCGAGGCTCCTGCTACCTTGACTGCCGACATCAGGGCTGTCAACATGTGGGCTCTCAGGGCCCGCACAGGATCCGGCAGCCTTCCCCCAGGGCCAGCATACTGCACAGGGAGTGTGGCCTCGGGGGCACGTGGGGGATGCCGTCAGGCCTGTGCTCATGGAGAAGGGGTGACGGGTACTGCACTGCTGGAGCTTTCCCTGTCTTCATGCCGTGGATCCCCAAGGTCGTCTGCAGAAGACCATGGACTCCTCACACTCATGCTTCTAAGTGCATGAAATTAACTATATCAGGTGACAGAGAAAACCAATGACACTGAAACAGCAAAATAAGTTTTAAAAAACCAACTTGCTATATGACAACATATGTGCATCATTAATGCATTAAATAATCTGGAAGCTGGTTTCATAGCTGCTGCAATTTTGGAATAGTGAGCACACATGTGTGTCAGGATAATTGCAACAAGCATAATGTGAATGGAAATAGCTGATTGCTGTTGGGGACAGAGTCCCCAGGACAGAGGGTTGCCAGATACAATACAGGACACCAGTTAAATTTAAATTTCAGGTAAACAATGAATAACTTTTGTAGTGTAAGTATGTGTCAAATATTGCGTGAGATATACTAAAAAATTTTGTTTATCTGAAATTTATTTAGGCATCCTGTATTTTTTATTTGCTGAATCTGTCAAACATTGCCTCCCAGTACTGTAACAGTCGTTTATTATGCACATTTATAACTGAAAGAAATGCTAACTTTTGGTTAGAGATTAGTGGCAATAAATATTTTTTTCCCACCCAGGTGTATGGACCTCCCTTGGTCAGGAAGCCCTGGACCAGCACCATCCCTCAGCAGACATTTGGGTGCAGGGCGTCAGCCCACGGCAGGCACCTGTTTTCTGTTCTCACCATCATGCTTCATGGGCTCTAGACCCTGTTTACCTGCTGGCCTGGCCTCACTTGGGGTCTTGCTAGTGTCCTGGACCCTGAGTGTCTGCGGGATGATCCAGAGACTGTTGGGCTGACTCCTCATTGGGGCCTCAAGCCCATGGTCAGTCCCTGTAAGACATCATCTCTGCCATCTCTGAGTGTGTCTCATCTGGACCACCCAACACTCTACCGGATGGAGATTCTTCTCTTATTGGGATCCTTTTCTGGATTATAAGTCCCATGAAGACTGGAGTTAGATCCACCATTGTATTCCCAGCTACTAAAACAGTGCCCTACGCACAGTAGGTGCTTAATATTTTCTGAACGAACAAATACATAAAATAACAAAGAATTACAGACTTCTTATTATGTTGCTGATTATGATTATGTTTGTCATTTGTGTGTAAAATGTGCCCAGAGAGGTAAAATGGAGCCATTTGATACAGCCTTAAAAACCACAGGGATAGGCCGGGTACAGTGGTTCACGCCTGTAATCCTAGCACTTTGAGAGACCAAGGCGGGCGGATCACGAGGTCAGGAGTTCGAGACCAGCCTGGCCAACATGGTGAAACCCCGTCTCTACTAAAAATACAAAAATTAGCCGGGCATGGTGGCATGTGCCTGTAATCCCAGCTACTCGGGAGGCTGAGGCAGGAGAATTGCTTGAACCTGGGAGGCAGAGGTTGCAGTGAGCTGAGATTGTGCCATTGCACTCCAGCTCTGGGTGACAGAGAAAGACTCTGTCTCAGAGCGGGGGAAGAAAACTATAGTGATAAATTTTAATTTCATGAACTGGGAACTTCAGAGCCATGATGAGCTTCTTGGGAGAGAGGGATATATTTGTAGTGTCAATCGAGAAGGAGTATTTTGGGCATCACTCCTGGCTTTCATGAACTGGGAACTTCAGAGCCATGATGAGCTTCTTGGGAGAGAGGGATATATTTGTAGTGTCAATCGAGAAGGAGTATTTTGGGCATCACTCCTGGCAGAGCAAGTGGGAACGAGGAAGACAGCATGGTGACTTCTCTCAAGACTACTGTGCACTAGGAAATCTGTTCCAAGCTCCCTTCCATATGGAAGTGATGTCATAGAGTCCTATTTTCTTCTCTTGGGTCTTCCTAAAATCTGCATCTGAAGCGGCTTCCATAATGCTCAATATAACCTTCCTCCCCAGATCTGGAAGATGAAAAGTCCACCCCCTCCAAGACAGTAGCTGAAGTTTCACATTAAAATGAAAACCTGCCTCTGGGGCAGAGAACACTGAAGTTGGGAAGGTCATGATTTTCCAGCAGTAATTGCCTATCTGGTCCCATCATCTTTTTTGTTCGTTCAAATTCTCAGTTAGTCGGATACATTCAACATATCTGAGCCCAATATGAAAGGGAACTGTAAAGATCACAGCAGCAAATAAGCTCTGGGTACACCCAAAGGGGTCCAGTTGAATCTGAAGTGTGCAGACATTCGGACGTGGTACCACACATGGCCTGGGCGAAGTGAGAAATCACCTTTCCATTCCACACAGACACCTCCTGAGCTCACAGGCCCACACCCCAAGTCAACCCCTACCCCATTCCTCCCCTACTGTCCCCATCTCTGACCCCACCCAATCCTTTCTGAAATCTTCTTAGTTCAGCTTCAAAATGTGTCCAGATGCAATTGTCTCTCCCCACCACCACCCCCAACCCCTGCACTGACTTCCCTGGGACTGCACTCACAGTCCGACATTTGCTCCCAGCAAAGGGGGCCAGATCTCCGTGACCTCCTGCATATGGAGGGGCACACTCCACACTAGGGAGCTGCAGGTCCTGCTCCTCCATGCTCTGTGAGGCCCCTGCACCCTGCGGAACACTCATGATCACCCCACCTGTTCTACTAGGCTCAAGCTTTTCTCTTTCCTCCATGCCTGCCACCCTCTTCAGATAAACTCTCCAATTCACTTTTACACAGATGCTCCTTGGTCCTTGTCTTTGCCCTGCCATGAAGTTAGGGGGTTATCTTTGTCTTTGTTTTGTTTACTTCAGTATCCCAAGTGCCAAGAGCAGTGCCTGGTACACACAGAATGTTCCATAATTATTTCTATGATGAATGAGTGATGGAGCAAACGAATGAATGGATTCAAAGATGAGTGAGACAGATGACTCAGACTTAGTTTCAGGTCGTTTCCATCTGGCTAACTACCAAACCAGCAGACTAGCCGTGTGAAGGATACACCCAATGTCAGAGGAAAGACTTGGGCTGGGCACATTCTCTCATTCCCACAGAGGAACACTCAAGTTCTCGGCAAGCCTGTGCAGAGTGAGTTTGACCGTCAGAGGCAGTTTGTCCCTCTAGGCTGGGGTCATGCCAGCCTTCAGGGTCCACCTGTTATCATAGAAGAGTTTCTTACTCCATAGTTAGAAACTTGTGTGTCTCTCTCCTGCTTGTGATGGAGCCAGGGCCATCGCATCTTGTGTAAAGTGAGAGATTCTTAGAAAACTGCTCCTAGGAATATGGATGAGCCTTGAGGACATTATGTTAAGTGAAATAAGCCAGGCACAGACAGGTCAATACTGCATGTTCTCACATGTGGGAGATAAAAAGGTGCATATCATAGAAATGGATAGCGGTTACTAAAGGATGAGAAGAGGTAGGATAGTGAGACATGAGTTAACAGATACGGAATTACAGCTAGATACAAGGAATAGATTCTAGCAGTAGGGCCAGGTATAGTGGCTCACGCCTATAGCAGATTGGGGGGCCAAGGCAGGCAGATCACTTGAGGCCAGGAGTTCGAGACCAACCTGGCCAACATGGCAAAGCCCCGTCTCTACTAAAAATACAAAAATTATTTGGGTGTGGTGGCACACACCTGTAATCCCAGCTACTTGGGGGGCTGAGGCACAAGAATCACTTGAATGTGGGAGGCAGAGGTTGCAGTGAGCTGAGATTGTGCCACTGCACTTCAGCCTGGGCAACAAGAGTGAAATTCTGTCTCAAAAAAGAAAAGAAAAGAAAAAGAAAAAAGAAAAACCCATGACATGCTTTTTTATTTGACGTGGCGTGCCCACCCTGTCCCTGTATTTTCCACCACCCTTAGCCCCATTCCACAGCAGAGGATGTGGGAGGATGTGTGAGGCTGTGGGCAGGAAGAGGGTATCTCCTCAAAAGGTGTAATATTGGCTTTTAGGGAAGATCAAAATGGCAATGTCAAAATGTCTCACACTCAAGCAAAGCAAGACGTTCTTTCCATCAACCATCATCACCTGGGCACCTGGAGATCCCTGGTGCACAGAGGGGTATCCACCATGAGGCCTGTCAGATGCCTCCATTTGGAAAGCAAAAGGCCGGCGAGTGGGTTGGGTGGGAGGCAGTGAGATGTGAGTTTTGAGTGGTGATTCTTCTCTACAGGCCCACAGAACATACAGGCCATCTGTCGGGTCAAGTCTTGTTTGCAGTGAACAGTCAGCTGGTTTAGAATGTCCACCACTGAGTAAGTGTTTCCCAGATGCCAGCTGCTGTCAGGGACTCTCTCTCCAGACCCAAATTAGAGAAAGTGGCTGAAATTCGATTGAGAAATAACTTGAGTACAGTATTAAGAATCTCTAAGTACTACTTCATACCCGTTAGGACAGCTATTGTATTTTTTGTTTAAAAAAAAAAAAGGAAAGAAAATAGCAAGTATTGGTGGGGATGGGGAAAACTTAAACACTTGTTCCACTGGTGGGAATATTAAATGGTAAAATCACTGTAGAAAACAGTGTGGCAGTTCCTCAAAAAACAAACAAACAAAAAAAAAAACAAAAACAAAAAACACATAGAATTACCATATGATTCAGCAATTCCGCTTCTGGATATGTACCCAAATGAATTTAAGGTAGAGATTCAAGCAGATATTTGCACATCCATGTTTATAGCAGCATTATTCACAACAGCCAAAAAGTGGAAGCAACCTACGTGTCCATCAACTCAGCGAATAAAGAAGATGTGGTGTACGCATACAAGGGAGTATTAATCAGCCTTGAAGAGGAAGAGCATTCTAACACGTGCCACGACATGGGGGAGCCTTGAGGACCAGTGAAATAAGCTGGTCACAAAAGGAAAATGCTGCACGATTCCACTTATAAGAGGTACCCAGAGTAGTCAGATTCAGGGACAGAAAGTAGAAGGGTGGTTTCCAGGGGCTGACAGGAGGGGGAATGAGGATTAGTGTTTAATGAGCACAGAGTTTCAGTTTAGAAAGATGAAAAAGTTCTGGAGTTGAACGGTACTGATAGTTGTGCAACAAGGTGAATGTGTGATACTTAATGCCATTGAACTGTACACTTAAAAATGGTTAAGATGGTAATATTTATTTTATGTATATTTTACCATAATAAAGAAGAAGAGGAAGCAAAGGAGGAGGAAGAGGTAGAGGAGGAGGATCAGAATCTCTAAGTGGATTTGCTACAGAGGAAGCATGCAAAAGCTTTTCCCCTTAGCCCTCCCTTTCCTGATCCACTGTCCAGTAGACTTGCCTGAGCTCCTCCCCACTTCTGGAGTACGCATCGCCTTTAAAACACAATCTTTTTGCCTACCCAAGGACTACGTGCTCATGGTTTAAGGTGCCCAAAAGGACCTAAACCATGACATTTAAAAAAGGCAGTTGCCAACGCCTCCCTCCCTGCCTGAGGTTGAATTCTACTTTCAACCTGGTTCTTCCAAAGTTCTAAATAAAAATGCTTGTTGTCCTGTTTATTGATTGATTATCCATCCACTGTCTGCTATGAGATGAAAACTTAGCACTTACCTGCCCCTCCCACCCCAATGCTTCCAGTCTATCCCCATTTCTGTTAAATCAGTTTTCATTGCTTACATTTTCAACACTGAGCCCAATATACTGCTAGGCTAGTCCCATTTGCTGTCTCACGTAAGTTTTTTATACTTGTTTGGAATTAAAACTGACTGTTCCCTTTGCCTCATTTTCTATATAGCTATCCCAAATTCATCTTGTCCCACCTAATGGGACAGCAAAATGCCTCTCAATGCTGTTTTCCACACAAACACATCAGGTAATGGACTGGTTCGGGCAGTGTACTCGTGCCACCTCCTACTGGCTGAAAGAATCTGCTGTTAAATATTCAGGAATTCTATAATTTAGTTGCTCAACACAGCATGGTGAGAGCCTTTACAGTACAGAAATCAGCCAATGCTACAAGTCAGGTTTTGATTTGTTTTTACCAGGGAGCCGTTTCCCCACATAGCAGGTATCAGTTCTGTCTTTCCCTGCAGGGCTCTCTTCTAGCCCCCTCCTGCTGCTGCAGGCAGCAAGCCTGCCCCCCTGGCCTTCACTTACCACCTGGAGCGGTCCCCTCCACCCTCCCCAGCATTGTATTCCATTTCTCAGTCAGATATCTCCTTCTTCTTCATTTACTCCCTATTTTGGGTGAAATCTTCCAGTAGCTTCCTTAGCAAGAGTGTACTGGAAATAAATTGTGTGATCTATTAAAGAGAAAAATACTCCTGGCACTTGTTAAGTAAAAGGTGGTAAGGAAGACTTTATTCAAGGGGGGCTGCCACAGTGGGGTTTTGTAGTAGGCAAGAGACACTGGCTCAATTCTGACTACAATAAGCAAAAATGCAGATGTATAGGCAAGAAGCAGGTGTGGGGGGCTGGTGGATGGAAAATTACCAAGAGTCATTCTTTGCTAAGGCAGTTCTTTGCTAAAATGACCTATCTGAATTTTTGCTGAAGGTAGCCAGGGTGATAAGATAGCAAGAGGGGTCGGACTAAGGGTGGGGGATTTTCACTAAGTGACTCAGGAGGATTCTTGCTAAGGTCAGAGTAAGTGGGCCAAGAACAGAGCCCAAGGTCAGGGCCCAGTCAGAATTCAGAGGAGCCGGACTAGAGTTAGATCAAGGTAAGAGCATTGGTCAGGTCCTTTGCTTGCTTTATCCTTGCTCATAATTGACTGATAATAGCTTGACAATGAAATTCCAGGTTGAAAATAACTTTCCCTTGGCATTTTGAAGGCCTTCCAGTGCCTTCCACCTTGCAATGTTGCAGCTTAGAAGTTGGTTGGAAGCCATCCTCGTTCCCAGTTATTTGCATGTGATTGTTATTTTGTCTTTCTGGAAGTGTTTATGATCTTTCCTTTATAGCTGCGTTATAAAAATTTTACAGTGACATGAGTTGCCTTGGAAAAAATACTTGAAAAAATTTTTCAGTATTTTCCTGGGATACATAACTGACACTTTAAATCTGAAAACTCTTGTCCCTTCCTCTTGACAGTTTTTTCTTATTCTATTGATAAATTCCTCTTCTCTCTGTTTCTTCGGTTATTCCTTTATGGAATTTATAATTCTTTGTACATTTAGAGTCTACTTTTTCTCTTTTCCTTTATATTTTCACCTTTGTCTTTTTGAATCTATAAATATTTTCTAGGATATTTCGTTGACTTTTTCTACTCATTAAAATTTTTAATTTGATATACTTTTAATTTCTTATTTTTAAAGTTCTTTTAAAAATTTTCTTTTTCCTTTTAATTAATAGAGATGGGGGTCTCACTATGTTGCCCAGGCTTGTCTCAAACTCCTAGGCTCAAAGCAATCCTCCTGCCTTGGCCCCTTACAGTGTTCGGTTCACAGGCATGAGCCACTG
This sequence comes from Homo sapiens, assembly GCF_000001405.40. Classification (NCBI taxonomy): domain Eukaryota; kingdom Metazoa; phylum Chordata; class Mammalia; order Primates; family Hominidae; genus Homo; species Homo sapiens. Next base: position 25,660,556 of record NC_000015.10, on the reverse strand, counting down.
TGCCCAGCCTATAATTTTAATTCCTAAAAGCACTTTTTTGTTCTTTATTATTTGTAATGCCTTCCTGTTTTTTTTCATAGGTGCAGTATTTTGGGGGATATTATGTTTTTCCCTGTTTGTTTTGAGCTCTAACTTTCGTGTATGATGCTTTCTCAAATGTTTGATGATTCTTTGTATATATTTAAAAGTAAATGATTGAAATCTAATTGGAGATAACAATTTTCCTTAGGGTGATTGAGCTGGGACCCAAGTTAGAGAAGTTGCAGGTCTTTACTTTGGGGCTATTTAGTTATTATAGTAATGAGGCATCCAGTCTGCACCCTGGGGTGGTGTGGACCAAGCACAGGTGTGTCTACCTGTGCTGTGGAGCAAGCCGGGGCAGGGCTGGAAGCTCTCCCCTTCCACAACAGACAGGTAACCTGTTCTCACACCAGTCTCTCACCCCTCTCTCCCACTGCCAGAGTTCACAGGCTTCTGGATGCGTTTCTTCTGTGTAGGGGGAGGGTATGTGCTTCTGCAGTCAATGCACCCTCTCCTGGTGTTCTGGGGTTCCTGGCGCCCAGGCTTCCCGGGCTCTGCAGGGAGACTCCGGGCTCTTTGCACATCTCAGTGGCGACTCCTTCTCTGTTCTTTCCCTGCTGCCTTCCTTTCCTCTAATCATCGGATGCTCTTGTCCACTAGGTCGGTCTATACACTGTTTTCTCCCCGACTATAACTTCCTGCGGTTCCGGAAGGAGCTGAGATAAATACGGGTGTTCAGCCCGCCATCTTTAACTGGACGTGGATTTATCCACCACTTTTCTTGCTCTTTTTGTTTTGCATTCTGTCCCTGGTAGGAGCATCCCTACGCCTTTGCCAAGGAAATCCCTTCTCCTGCACTCTTGCCCCATCTCCCCCCGATGCCATAGTCTTTCTTCTTTTTTGTTTTCCACCTCTCTTTCTTTACTGACTCCTTCTCAGCCTGCAGGTATGCTCGCTCCCCCACCTCCCCTCATTCAAAGCTGATGAATTTTCCTGGACCTCTTCTATGAGACGGACACTGAGGCTGCACAGATGAGCACAGCACATGCCCGATCCCCGCCGGGCGCGGAGGCAGCTGAGCATGGGCAGGGAGAGGAGAGCCAGGCCCCGGCTGCGCAGGAGAGGGCAGTGGGCGCTACACACCAGGCTGCAGGAGTAGAGGCTCCTGGGGCGCAACGGGTGGGGAGGCCTCCAGAGGGGAGAGCCCAGGGGAGTGAGAAATGCTCTTCCAGATTATTTTACATACTAAGGAAGCTAAGGAATTTCTTTTCTTTTGTTTTTTTGTTTTTGTTTCTTTGAGACGGAGTCTCGCTCTGTCGCCCAGGCTGGAGTGCAGTGGCGCGATCTAGGTTCACAGCAACTTCCACTCAAGCGATTCTCCTGCCTCAGCCTCCCAAGTAGCTAGGATTACAGGTGCGTGCCACCACGCCGGGCTAATTTTTGTATTTTTAGTGAGACAGGGTTTCGCCAGGTTAGCCAGGCTGGTCTCGAACTCCTGACCTCATGACCCGCCCACCTCGGCCTCCCAAAGTGCTGGGATTCAGGCGTGAGCCACCACCCTCAGCCGGAAGCCAGGGAATTTCTGAGCTGAGGAAAGAGCTTGTGTGAAGCCCTTTGAAGAAGGGCCTTCCACCTTTGGCGGTGTCTGCCCCCACAGCTGCACTGCAATTGCTCTCTCAAATATCGCCAATGATTTCTGAGTATCCCACGGATGTCTCCTTTTCGAGTTCATGGCTCCCCCGGCTCCCCCGCGTCCGCCAGGGCTGTCCCTGAAGCTGAAGCTGCTCCGTGGAAGCTTCCTCCCCTCGGTGTTCACGCGCGGCCCGCTGGCTGCCCCCTGCATCTCCACCTGTGTGTGCCCGACTTCCAGCCAGAGCCTCCCTCTCACTATGTGCCCTCTGTCTCGGGGTGCCCACCCACCGCCAGCCCTTCAGCAGCCTCCGAAGATAACTCTCAACCTAGCGCCTGGGGCTTCTGCCTTGCGTGTCAAGGAGACGCGATGTCTTGGATGCCCCAGGAATCTCAAACCCCAAGCGTCCCAGATCCAGCTTGTCTCCCCTTGAGCCTCTGTTTCTGCTTAACCTTTGCTCTTAGTCATAAAATCAATGGCCTCAGCTCCCAACTGAAAACCCTCCACCCTGTCTTAAATTCCTCTCTTGACAGAGCAAGTCTTTCACCAAATCCCACTGATTTTACCTCAGAAATACCTCTCAAATTCATCACCTCTCCTCCACTTTGTCCCACAGTCAATGCAGAATCTTCCTCCCTGTCCCTGGTTGCTGAGACCTTCTCCACCCCACCACCAGCATCCTCTTTGGGAAGCTTAAACATACCTTGTGTGTCTGAGTCTGTTTATGAGAGGCCTTCCACAGCTCCAGGGTCTGAACTATGGAGCCTGTCAGGGCACTTCACAATCTCACCAGCCTGCTTCCATTCACCCCTGCCACTTCTGACCCGCCATGAAGGGTCAATATGCTTCGAGGCTTTCATCTATAGCGTTTCCTCTCATTCTGGATATATGGCAGGATGGCACGACCCCATGCCCTTGAAGTTAGGTGTGACCATGTTACTTGCTTTGGCTACTAAGATGTGAGCGAAAGGGACATGTGTGGCTTCTGCAGAGAAGCTTTGAAGAGCATGTGATTCACTGGGTTCTCCCAGACCAAGGAGACAGCGATGCCATAGATGGTGGTTCCATCAGCCTGGGAGCAGAGCCCACTGCCAATAAAGATGACGTGAGCGTGAGAGATACGTCCACCTTGCTGCCTTAAGCCATGGTAACCTTAGGGTTGTCTGTTACTCAGCATTATCTAGCCTGCCCTGACTGAGAAATCATTGATGTCTCTCAGTATATTAGAGCTCTCCAGAGAAGGCCCATTGGATATACATAGATCTATATTTATATTCAATTTATATAGCTATAGGAAGAAATTTATTATGAAGTATTGGCTCATGTGATTATGGACACTAAGAAGTTCCATGGCCTGACTACTGCAAGCTGGAGGCCCAGAAAAGCTGGGAGTCTCATTTAAGTCCAAACCTGAAGGCCTGAGAGGAGCCGATGGCATAAGTCCCAATCCAAGACCGAAGGCGGAGAATTGGAGGTCCATGGTCTAAGTCCTATTGTTACGGGTGGGTCTTTGTTCTTAGAGCTGCCAAGAGGGTGGCAGCCGCTCCCAAGATGGCGGCCAGCCTTTTATTCTCTGACTTGGGGTTCTTGGCCTCACGGATTCCAAGGAATGAAACCTTGGGCCATGCGGTGAGTGTTATAGCTCTGTTAGAAGCCGTGGGTCATGGAAGAGAACGTGGAACCCAGTGACTAGTGTTCAGCTTGATTAGCAGAAACCCGAGCCTTAGCCGTGCAGGAACAATGGCGAACCTTTAGCCCGAACAGGAGTGGCAATGGGCGCCTCGCTGGATCGGAAATGCAGCAGACACCCTGCCGGATCCGGAGGGGTGGAAGTCAATGGAGAGTCTGGGATGCCGGCGAACAGCAGTGGTGGACGGTGAGAGAAAGCTCAGCTCGAGCCAGAACAAACATGGACCAGAAGAGTGTGCAGTTGCAAGATTTAATAGAGTGAAAACAGAGCTCCCATAAAATGGGTAGGGACCCAAAGGGGGTTGCCCACGCCCAGCTCGAATGCCTGGGGTTTATATCCCAATCATTGTCCCTGCCCCTGTGCTCTCAGGTGATAGATGATTGACTATTTCTTTACCTCCTGCTTTTAGCCTAATTTGTATTTTAGTGAGCCCTCTTTACTACCTGATTGGTCGGGTGTGAGCTGAGTTACAAGCCCCTTGTTTAAAGGTAGGTGTGGTCACCTTCCCCAGCTAGGCTTAGGAATTCTTAGTCAGCCTAGGAAATCCAGCTAGTCCTGTCTCTCACTATTTGAGTCTGAAGGCCCAGAAACCAGGAGCACTGATGCCTGAGGGTAGGAGAAGAGGGATGGCCCAGCTGGAGGAAAGAAAGCCCATCTGCCCTTCTTCTCCCTTGTTGTTCTGTTCAGGCCCTCAGCAGATGGGATGATACCTGCCTGTACTAGTAAGGGCCATCCACCTTACTCTGTGTACTGATTCAAATGCCAGTCTCTTCCACAAACACCCTCACAGACACACCCAGAAATCATGTTTTACCAGCTATCTATGCAGCCTGTGACCTAGTCAGCCTGGCACATAAAATTAATCCCGGCACTCAGCTTTGTCCCCTCTGCCTGGAATGTCTGCTAGCCTCATCGTCTTCTCATAACAAAGTGCCTCTCCTTCCTCAAGCCCCCTCTCCCCTTGAAGTTCCCATAACGGCTGGATCACCCCTCATGCTGCCCTAGCTCCTTGCCCACACTTGAAGCCTCAGTGTTCATCTTATATCCGCTTCAAGTGCTTTCCTTCGTGTGTCCCCTTCTCAGCTGTAACTTCTGCAAGAGCAAGAGCAGCTTCTTTTTCACCATCAGCCCACAAAGAACCTGCCAAGTGCAAGAAGACCCCCCCCCCCCCAAGTAGGCACCATGGCCTGTTTTCAAAACTTTATATTCTGTCCAATTTGACTAACCAGCTTCTCAAGCCTCCGGAAATTATTTTCAGAAATCATCAGTTAGTCTAAAACTGGCCAACCAAATGGATTGTTTCTAATTTTAAACAAATTCAAAATATAAAAATTCTGGCTTTATATAATGGATCAATTAGGGGGAGATTGCATGATATACATAACAATTGTTTTCTTCACCAAGGTTTATTCTAGAAGCTTTTGAGCCTATTATAATACAAAATCCAGAGAGCTCTGGGAGGCAGGCAAGGGAAAGCATTTTATTCGTGTTTCCTAGAAGCTAGCACAGTGCCCAAGCTAGAGGAGGTACTCAGTTGACATTTTCTGAATTAGATTTAATGAACAGGAAAAACGGCTTATAAAAACGAAAGCGAAGTTTTTCTTCCTTTTCCCTTCTACCTGCCTGCTTCGTCTTGTCAACTGAAGAACGACAAGGTTCATACATTTAGAAAGGAGAGCTTTTTCTCATACAGTGTTGAGCCTGCAGGGTGGCCATTCTGACAGGCTGAGAAGCGTAGCCTCCGGCCAGAAGCCAGAACAGGCACCTAGAGAGTGAGAAGAATAAGTCAGGGATTTATGCTAAGCAGTGTGCCCAGATATGCATAGTCAATAAGCATAGGAGGAGTCATGAATATTTATGAAAGGAAAAATGTGCGCATGCGTAGTCGAGCTTCCTGGCTCTCCATAGGGCCCACGTTCAACAAACGGTGTTGTTAGCATGATCCGAGGGTGGAGCTTTTGGACTTGTGATGTCAAAAGGTGGACAGAGGACCCCTTTTCACTGTGCATCCTCCCTCGACTGGCCAGAGCCACTGGTGTTCTGTTTTCAGGAAGAAATGCTGGTTGGTTGTGCCCAGGCACGGTGGCTCACACCTGTAATCCCAGCACTTTGGGAGGCCGAGGTGGGTGGATCACTTGAGGTCAGGAGTTTGAGACCAGCCTGGCCAATATGGTGAAACCCCGTATCTACCAAAAATACAAAAATTAGTAGGGCATGGTGGTGTGCACTGATAATACCAGCTACTCGGGAGGCTGAGGCAGGAGAATTGCTTGGTGGAAGGTTGCAGTGAGCCAAGATCGCACCACTGCACTCCAGCCTGGATGACGAAGGAAGGAAGGAAGGAAGGAAGGAGGGAGGGAGGGAGGGAGGAAGGACCGGCGAGCCAGGAAATCAGTTTTCTTTCTCTGGGGGGCCTTTGGCCAAGAGGAGATTCCATCCAGTTTGTTGTGGGACTTTTGATTTTATTTTTATTTCTCAGTCTTATGCAAAGCCTTGTTTGTTCTTTAATTTCTGAAACCAAATACAGGGAGGGTGTATCAATTTATTTGTTTTATAAAAATTGTAAACCAAAAATAAAATCCTAAGCCCTCCAACCAAATGAATGGGCCCCCTTCATTGCTCAAGAAAACTTGCTCAAGAAAACCCCAGAGAAACTTGAGAAACTGAATTCCCAGTTATGATGGGAAGGGAGGTCAGACACACCTTGTTACACCCCCTGTTTTTTGGCATTTAGGTTAAAATAGAGATTATAAGACTAGCCAAACAGACTATTGTGCCAATAAGATACCAAATTATAAGCAAGACCTGAAGCCATGCAAGTCAGGGATTCAGTCACTCCTGACACACCATGAAATCGCGTTAGACAGTTTTCTATTAGCCCAGTACAATGTGGCTTACTTTCCATCCTGACCCTGGTGTATCATCACATGACAGCCGACCTGAAGGAGATCAAAACGTTTTACCCCAAAATATGTTTCTCTGACACATTCTGAAATGGCTGGCTGGGTGTGGTGGCTCACACCTGTCATCCCAGCACTTTGGGAGATGGAGGTGGGAGGATTACTGGAGCTCAGGAGTTCAAGGCTGCAGTGTCCTATGATCACGCCACTGCACCCCAGTCTGGGTGACAGAGTGAGACCTTGTCTTGAAAGAGAGAGAGAGAAAGGGAGGGAGGGAGGGAGGGAGGGAGGGAGGGAGGAAAGAAAAGAGAAAAAAAAGAAAAAAAATTTTGGCTGGGTACAGTGGGTCATACCTGTAATCCCAGCACTTTGGGAGGCTTAGGTGGCAAGATTGCTTGAGGCCAGGAGTTCGAGATCAGCCTGGGCAGCATAGTGAGACCTTGTCTGTATGAATAATTTAAAAATAAAAGTAAATTTTAAAAAATAAATGAAATGGTTGCCACAAGGCTGACGGATTGAAACAGCCCTACAAAGCCATCTTTTGTGGGGAAAATTTGCATCTGTAGAAGATCGCCATTAATGCAGCCAGATCTTTCCTTTCTAGGCCTTTCCCTGATCTAGGAGAGATTAACTGAGAGCCTGACACCTTTAAGGTCTGAGAGGAGACATTCACCATCTATTCTTCTCTCCAAGGCCTGCCACCTATGAGCCTTCCTCTACATAACAAGAACTTTGGCCCCACAACCCCCTTATCTTAACTCAACCATTCCTTTCCACTGACTTCAAGTCTTTAGTCAAAGCTAAATCCTTTCAACCAATTGCCAATCTGAAAATCTTTGAAACCACTTATGACCTACACCCCGTTGCTTCAGTAGTGCCTGCCTCTTTAGGCTGAACCAATGTGTACCTTCTATGCATTAATTTATTATTTCACCTATAATTCCTGTCTCCCTAAAATGTATGAAACCAAACTGTAACCAGACGACCTCAGGTGGACTTTCTTAGGACTGTTCCCTGGGCCATGGTCACTCATATTAGCTCAGAATAAAACTCTTTAAAATACTTTACAGAGTTGGGTTTTTCCATTAACAAAATTATATGCTGAATGCCTTTGGGAGCTGCAATTGAAGAAGAAGGAAAATGGAGAAGAACGAGGAGAACGGCGGGGAGGAGGAGGAGAGAGATGAGGAGGAGAGAGAGGAGGAGGAGAAAGAGAAGGAGAAGAGGATGAAGGAGAGGGAGGAGGAGGAGAGAAAGAAGAAAAGGGGAAGAAGATGATGATGACAAATATGACACAGCAAGAAAATAAGTGAGGAAAGGGGTGCAGCAGGTCGTGCACAGTCATAATAAAAGCTGTAACTTCCTGAGCTCTGAATCCTTGGGGCACCTCTCACTGTAATCTACAAGCCTTACATCAGCCTGGTGGTGAGTGCTCCTGCTGCACAGATGAGGAAGAGGACTCAGGACCAGACAGCTGCTCCAGGCTCTGAGGCCTGGAGTGGAGGCTCTCTGTTACCCCAGAGTGTGCCCTCTGTCTAAACCAAAGCTTCCTCCACTCCTGGGAGCTGACTTGCAATACCCAGTTCTGGCTCCTAACTAGAATTCTTCTTCTAGAGTGGATCGGTCACCCTGAAGCCTCATCCCGGGGTGAAAGTCAGTTCGTCCACTCTGCTTGGCTCTGATGTAAAAGAGAAGGCTACTGGAACAGCCATTTTTACATTCTATGCCTGTGACCCCCTAGCTGGCCTGAAGCCCCCACCTGCCCTCCATAGCCAAGCTGCCAATGGTCCTGCCCTCACCAGCTCCCAGCAGTCCTAGAGCCTCCCTCTCCAAGCCTTGGGTAGTCTAAGGCCTGAAGTTGTCAGCAGAATCAAAGGAGGAGCTAAATTGTCACCCCGAACTTTCATTTGTATTGAGGTATAATTTTCATGCAGTTAAATGCAGAGATGTTAAATGTACGATACAGTTCATTGGTTTTTTAATGTAAACACACAGCCACATCACCACCACCCTAAACAAGGTATAGAACATTTCCATCAGCCCAGAAGGTTCCCTCTCGCCCATTTCATCAATTCCATTCCCCACACTTTTCACTGATCTGATTTCTGTCACTATAGTTATGTCTGTCCCAGAACGCATATCAACAGAACCACGGAGCATACATTGTTTTGTGTCTGTTGCTCAGCACAGTGAGATGTACGCATCTCAGCATAGTTATTTGGAGATTCATTCATGTTGTTAATACATATGAATAATGCGATTTTTATTGTTGATTAGTATTCCATTGCGTGACTATATTACAGTGTTTATTAATTCTCCCTTTTTAAAAAAAATTTATTTTGTTTTTCTAATGAGAATTTTTAATTTTTTTATTTTTTACATTTTGTTTCTCTAACGAGATTCTTTTTTAATTTGAAATATGCATACAAGCTGGGTGCAGTGGCTCACGCCTGTAATCCCAGCACTTTGGGAGGCTGAGGCGGGCAGATTACCTGAGTTCGGGAGTTCAAGACCAGACTGATCAACATGGAGAAACCCCATCTGTATTAAAAATACAAAATTAGCTGGGCATGGTGGCGCACGCCTGTAATCCCAGCTGAGGGAGGCTGAGGCAGGGGAATCACTTGAACCTGGGAGGCGGAGGTTGCGGTGAGCTGAGATCCTGCCATTGCACTCCAGCCTGGGCAATAAGAGCAAAACCCTGTGTCGAAAAAAAAAAAGAAATATGCATACAAGAGTGCCATGCTTTATATATGATATACGGTATATGTGACATACATTATGTAAATATGTATTATATTGCGTGTGTGTATATATATGTATATATGCACAAATACATTTTTAAAAATAATGATAAAATAAACTGCTATGATCCCGTGAGCCAAGTTTAAGACAGAGAACATTACCAATACCAATGACCCCCTAGTCAATGTGCCCTCCTCTGACAGCCTGCCACCCCATCCCCAGGGAAATACTCTGAACTTGGTTACTTGTTTCCTTGGCTTTCTTGGAAGCCATGTCCCACATGTGCATATTCACAGACAATATAGTGCTCAGTTGTGCCTATTTTTTAGCTTCATATAAACCAGATCACTTGTATGTATCCTCTGCAGCCAGTTCTTCCTGCCCAACATTGGTGAGATCCTTCCTGGCTCATGCCTGGAGATGTGCTTCATCTATTTTCACTGCTACACAGTGTCCCCCAGTGTGAATGTGTCTTGTGTGTCTGTCCATTCTGCTGCTGTTGTTGCTAGCAGTGCTGCTGAGAATGTTCAATGCACCTGTTAGGTCACGTGTACGTATGTGTCTCTAATGCATATGTAGAGGGTCAGAATTGCTGGGTAGCAACATATGTGCATATGTTAGTCAGGGTCCTCCAGGAAAACAGAACCAGTGGGATGGGTGAATGGATGGATAATAGATAGACAGATTTATTAGGAGGTATTCACTCACACAACTGTAGAGGCTGAGAAGTCCCATGATCTAATGTCTGCACACTGGAGACCCAGTAATGCAGGTGGTATAATTCAGTCCAAGTCTGAAGGTCTGAAAACCAGGGGAGCTGATGGTGTAACCCAGTCTGAGGGCCAGAGAAGATGACAGGAGAGGAGAGGAGAGGAGAGGAGAGGAGAGGAGAGGAGAGGAGAGGAGAGGAGAGGAGATAGATGAGATGAGATGTCCCAGCTCAAGCAGTGAAGCCAGAAAAAGGAAGCAAATTCCTCCTTCCTCCACCTTTTTGTTCTATTCAGGCCTTCAAAGGATTGGGTGCTGGAATCAACCTCCCTGACACACCCAGAAATAAGGTTTATTCTGGGCACCCTGTGGCCCAGTCACATTGACACATAAAATTAACCATCACTATGTATCTTTAATTTTACTAGGTGCCATGGGCTGAATCATTTCCCAAAAAATGTGGATGTTGAAGCCCTAACCCCCAATGTGACAGTATTTGGAGATGGGGCTTTGCGAGATCACTGGGTTTGGATGAGGTTATGAGGGTAAGGTTCTCATGGTGGGATCAGTGCCTTTATAAGAAGAGACCAGAGGCTTGCTCGTTGTTTCTCTCTCCGCTCTCCATCCCCCCTTTCCCCATGTGAGAATACAGCAAGAAGGCAGCTGTCTGCAACCTAAAAGAGAGTCCTCACAAGGAAATGACCATGCTGGCACCTTGATCTTGAACTTCCAGGCTCCAGAACTGTGAGAAATAAATGTCTGCTGTTTATGCCACTCAGTCTATGGTATTTTGCTATGACAGCTGAGCACACTAAGACATTAAGCCATGCCAAATTGTCTTCTAAAGTACACACCCTCTAGAAGAATCCTTACTTTTTTAAAGAAATTTTTTTTCTAGAAAAAAAAGAAAAAAGACCTTTTCTGCAGACTCCCAACTCCCCATGCTGATTGATAATTGCTGTGGTCTGGAGGTCTCTTCCCCTACCTGATTCTCTCTCCCATTGGCCACACTCAGTAGTCAGGCTTCTTTATTTGAGCTGCTTTCATTTCTAACTTCCCATGAGAGCCCTGGGGGATTCACCACTGGGGTCACTGTCAGCACAGCCTCCAAGGACAGTGCAGCAAAGCCCTACAGCATATACTCACAGAGATGTTTAATTCCTCTCAAGGTCTCTAACACAGATCCTTTGTGAATCCAATAAAACTGATAATCCCTGTCCCTCGGAAAATGTACATATACACACAGCTTTCATCTAATTTCAGAAGGTTCAGAGCCTCCCAGCCCTTCCCTAAGTGAATAAGTCATATTAAGCCTGGAGAAGAATGCTGTGTTGGCATTTGGTTCTGGATAGAACAAAGGCTGAATTTCAAAGTAAATGATAAATGGATAAATGTTTATGTGCTTTTTAAACATCGTATTTTTAACAGAAAAAGCTAATGGCAAGAGAAGATGAAGTATTGTGATTTCCCCTGCTTGAAACCCCCCTTAAAATTGTGACATCTCAATCCTGGTATCCAGCCCTACTTGGTCAAGGATTTAGACTAGGGTAGGAAGGAAGCAGCAGGGATGGATAAATACCTCCTCTGTCTTTCTGCTAGGGTTGGTGGTAGATGAGTGTGTGGATCAAGAAAAGGCCATTATCATAGTTCTGAATGTCCCCAACCCTATGCCCCTGAAGACCCTCCTCTTCTCCCCTACACAGGCAGCCTTGGCAGTCTGGAGCTCTCTCCTTATTTTCCCTTTGTCAACCAACAACTTGCTAGGGAACAACTTCACTTGAGTTCTTAATCCTTTGGTGTGGGAGTCAGCAGATGTGACCTCTTGCAGGTGTACTTCTTCGTAAACCTCATCACTGATTGTGGACAGGGTAGCTCACTGGTAGCTGAGAGCATCTGGGATGAGAGAGAGAGAGACATTTTTTAGGACAGGGTCCATTTCTTGAGGGCCTGCAGGAGGACCAAATCTCTTGTCTAAGTCCTTGCTTTGTTTCTTGCGAGTTGTGTGATTTTTGTGCAAGTTACTTAACCCAGGTATGGCATTCTCATCTATAAATTCGGAGTAATTATGACAGTAGCTGTTCAAGAGTACTGCAAAGATTCAGTAAAATCATGTGAAGTTGGAGTGCTTTGTGGACCATACAAATGCAATTTATCCATTCATCTGTATACCTGCCTACCTACATAGCAACCTATCCGTCTTTCTTGTGTATGGAAGGATGAATATGTGTGTGAAGGCATGTATGAATGTATGCATATGTCCATCCTATGCATGCATTCATGTATACATCCATCCATCCTCCATCTGTCATCCTCTCCATCTCTCCACCCACCCATCCACTTAGCCTCTGTCATTCATCAGGAAGACAGTGGACTCTGGGCTCTGGGATGCAATATCACTCATCCAATGGCATAAACCTGTCACTCATGGTCAGAGGAATTAGTAAAAGTAAAAACAATATGATGAATAAACTGTTTTGCAAGTATCAAGGAAAAAGATGCCTTAATTTTTCAGCACTTGAATGTTTTCAGCTGCCCTGGGAGATCTGTCATCTTGCTGAAGCACCACTCATCAATGTATCTGCTCATCCACAGATCCAATGTACTGTGCCTCCTTCCTCCAGGGGCCTCGAGGGGAGACCTGGAGCTGCTGTGCGAATGATCATGATTGAAGATTTCACACTCCGTTGTGGAAGGAATAGAATGTGTATGTGTATAGGCTACGGTAATGATTCCGTACCTGGTGTTGAATTTGTTAGAACCACTTAGAATGAGGCCTTGTGAAAATGTTATAAAGGTGACAAATTCATGGGCATTTTAAGAATTACTGAATTTTTCTGTACAGTTCCAGAATTTAAACTAAAAGAAGCAACAACAGCAACAACAACAACAAAAACCACTGTGAGAGAGCACCTATTTGGGGACAAAATAGGTTCAGAGTCAACCCATCCTTTGTGAGGGTGACATTGCCGCAGGGAACCAGGACAGGGGGGTGCTCTTCTCTTTCCCCTCTCTGTCCACAGGTCTCCTCTCACCTGGGTAATGTGAGCTTCTCTTCCGCCTTACCTGGCCCCATGCCATACCTGGAAGAGCCGTGTGTTATGTTTGTGGAGGCAGGCATTCTTTTCTTGCTCCTCTTCTCCTGCATTCTTTCCACAGCCCAACTCTTTGTTTGTTTGTTTGTTTTGAGATGGAGTTCTGCTCTTGTTGCCCTCACCGGAGTGCAGTGGCACGATCTTGGCTCACTGCAACCTCGGCCTCCTGGGTTCAAGCGATTCTCCTGCCTCAGCCCCCCGAGTAGCTGGGATTACAGGTGCCCGCCACCACGCCCAGCTAGATTTTTGTATTTTTGGTAGAGACAAGGTTTCACCATGTTGGCTGGGCACAGCCCAACTCTTGACTATCCCAGTGTCTGCTTGGCTGTCTTGCAGGACTCCAGGGTCCTGTGAGGTGCTTTGTGCAAAGGGCTTCCACAACCAAGTACGAGCAGATGCTGCTCCTGGAAATCAGCGATTCTCAATCTTGAGTGCCAGTCAGAATTACCAGGATGTTTAAAAATGCCTGTGTGCCTAGGTTCCCCACAGACAGCTGGGGCGGGCCCCAGCAAGTTGAGAATTCCTGCCCTAAATCAAGACTTCCCAATCTCGGCTCTCAGCTGGTTTCTTAGAACTAGAACAAAATATCTGCCACTACAATGGGTAATAGTCTTTTTCCTCCCTCAAATTAAGCAGAACAAAATAAAATTAGTGGATAAAATTTCCCAGATTTAAATTTTCCGCTCCTAAGTTTTCTTAAAATTAGGGAATCCAATTTTTTTATCCAGCTAAATTTAAGATTTAGGGATCTAATTCTGTTGTTACGAATTAAAATATAGCCAAAATATTATGTCTGATTTAGACCATATTGTACATTTAAATTTTAAAAAACTTAATTGTGGTAAAAAAGAAAACACAAAATATGCCATCTCAACCAATCTTTAAGTGTATAGTTTAGTAATGTTAACTATATTCACATTGTTGTATAACAGATCTCTGGAACCTTTTTATTTTGCAAAACCAAAACTATAGCTGTTGAACAACACCCCATTTTTCCCTTCTCCCAGTGCCTGACAACCACCATTCGACTTTCTGTCTCTATGAGTTAGACTACTTTTTAATCTTTTTAAAAATTTTTATTTTTAGAGATGGGGTCTCACTATGTTAACCAGGCTGGTCTCAAACTTCTGGCTTCAAGTGATCCTCCTGCCTCGGCATCCCAAAGTGCTGGGATTATAGGCATGAGCCACCGTGCCTGGCCCAATTAGACTAATTTGGATAACTCACGTAAGTGGAATCACACAATATTTGTCTTTTTCTGTTACTTACTTATTTCACTTAATATAATGTCTTTAAAGTGTATCCATGTTGTAGCATGCGACAGGATTTCCTTCTTTTTACAGGCTGAATAAATATTCTGTTTATGGCTAGACCACATCTTGTTGATCCACTTATTCTTCCGTAGACACTTGGGTTGCTTCTACCTCTTTATTATTACACCTAATGCTGCAGTGAACAAGGGTATGCAAATATCTCTTCCAGATCCTGCTCTCATTTCCTTTGGATATATACCCAGAAGTGGCATTGCTGGATCATATAGTAAATCTATTCATAATTTTTTGAGGAACCTCCATACTATTTTCCATAGTGGCGGCAGCATTGTACACGACCACCAACAGTATACAAGTGTTCTAATTTCTTCACATCCTCACCAATATGTTTTCCACTTTTTTGATACTGTCCATTCTAACGACTGAGAGGTAATATCTCATTGTGGTTTAGGTTTGCATTTCCTTTTGGTGATCACTGATGTTGAGCACGTTTTCATATACCTGTCGGCCATTTGTATGTCTTCTTTGGAGAAATGCCTGTTCAAGTCCTTTGGCCATCTTTTAATCAGATTATTTTTTTGTTGTTGTTCTGAAAAACATTTCCAGGAATGGAGATTCTATCAGCAAAGTCCAACTGCAACCTTCTGACTCCCTCATCACAGGAACATCTGCTCGTACTTGGTTGTGGAAGCCCTTTGCACAAAGCACCTCACAGGACCCTGGAATCCCGCAAGACAGCCAAGCAGACACTGGGATAGTCAAGAGTTGGGCTGTGCCTGGCCAACATGGTGAAACCTTGTCTCCACTAAAAATACAAAAAATTAGCTGTGCGTGGTGGTGGACGCCTGTAATCCCAGCTACTTGGGGGGCTGAGGCAGGAGAATCGCTTGAACCCAGGAGGCTGAGGTTGCAGTGAGCCAAGATCCCGCCACTGCACTCCAGCCTGGGCAACAAGACCGAAACTCCATCTCAAAACACAAGCGCATATGCACACACATGTGTGCACACACACAGATACACATAAACACACATACATGCACATGGACACATAAGCGCACACACACATGTGCATACCACACGTTTGCCAGCTTGTTCCAGTGTTAAGTCATTATCTTAGTCCATTTGCTATAACAAAATACCATAAACTCAGTGGCTTATAAAGAGCAGAAATGTATTTCTCACCATTCTGAATGTTGGGAAGTCCAAGATCAAGGCACAGCAGGTTTGCTGTCTGGTGAGGGCCCATCGTCTGGTCCATAGACAGCACTTTCTCACTGGGTCCTCACATAGGGGAAGGGACTAGCCAGCTCTCTGTACTCCTGCTGCCTTTTTGTTTGACTCTAAGTGGAAAGCCCAGAAGACATCCCAAAGGATCCAATGTGTCCTCAGTGTGCTGCCTGCACAGTTGTGCATATACAGACTGCCTTCTTCAGGGATGCAGAGGACCGGCCTCACCTCCATGCCCAGCGGCTCTATTGGGCCCAGTCTGTGTATCAAACCAAAGCTCAAGAAATGCTTGCTGGTGATGATGACATCAGGAAAGCAAATGGGCTGTTTTCTGGTTTTTTCCAAATGAGCTGCCATTTTAATCAGGGCCTCACTATTTTCCAAGTTTAGAATTTTTCTAAAAGGAGTTTTATCCTCAACATGGAAACTCAGAAATTTGGGGCTTTTGAATTAAAAAGAAAAAAAATCAAGAAACAAAGGATAATTTTTTTTGCAATAGATCATCCAGACACTGTTACATTTTCACTATGGTATACCAGAAAAGAAGGTTTTTTTTTTAAGTTAAAATAAACTCACCACAGCCTTATAATCTATTTATAAGGTCCTCCCAGTCTGCCTGATTGTCTCTTGCCACTATTATAAAGTCATCTTTGGTCCCAGTTTGTATAATACAGAGAATTGCTCACCTGCAGTCATTTAGTTCTGAACATTGTCCCCTCGGTGTGAGGGGGCTTTTATGAAACTAAGGCTCATGCAGACTGAATGCAGTCTTGCAATGGGGCACAGGATTTAAATAGAACACGGGACTGAGTGAGGGCGGCAGGGCGGGGCTTTCCTTTGTTCCAGGAGCTGAGCGGGGAATGAGAAGCCCCCTCCTGCCCTGAAGCCCTTGCGGCAGGCTCTCTCCCTCTCCGCCCAGTCCCTGGGCTTCCTTTTCTTCTCCCTCCTGCCCAGTGTGGTCAGGCCATTCCTGGTGTGATTTCCAAGGACTTCAAGGGCAGCCCTGGCCCGTTTCCGCAGTAACACAGACTGTCCTTGGGAGAAGAGGAATGGCCTGTCCCCATGATCTCTGCAGCCCTCCCTTCAGTGCCCGGAGCCAGGCGCCTAAGCCCAATGCTGCCGAGTTTCCTCCACATCACATGTGGTCTCAACTTCCTGGGCTCCTGGGCCTGGTGATTATTAAGGAGCTGAGTCACTGGGGCTCTTGTGGTCAGTGTCTCCATCACTGATCACTGGCCTTCCCATGATGTTTCCATTCATATTTTCTTTCTTCTTTGTCTCCCAGGAGTCCTAGCTTCTTCTGAGATTTCATGGAAAGGGTTATATTGACAATTTGCATTTAGAAATATGATTTTTCTCCTCTTTAGAATAGTTTCTTTCTTTCTTTCTTTCTCTTTCTTTCTTTTTTCTTCCTTTCTTTTTCTTTCTTCTTTTTTCCTCTTTCTTTCTTTCTTTTTCCTCTTTCTTTCTTTTTCTTTCTTTCTCTTTCCTTCTTTCTTCCTTTTTTTATTTTTCTTTTTTGAGACAGAGTCTCACTCTGTCACCCAGGCTGGAGTGCAGTGGCATGATCTTAGCTCACTGCAATCTCTGCCTCCCTGGCTGAAGCAATTCTCCTGCCTCAACGGCCCTCCCCATCATCCCGCCCCCAAATAGCTGGGACTACAGGTGAGTTCCACCATGCCTGTCTAATTTTTGTATTTTGGGTAAAGACGGGGTTTCACCATGTTGCCCAGAGTGGAAGAATAGTGTTTTCCATTGTCTTCACAAAAATAACATCTGTGAGGTTTAAAAAAAAAAAACGCAGGGGCTTTTATGCCTATTTCATAGTCAGGGGAACCTAAAACCAGCTAGAAGGCAAAATGCTCAAGTCCACACAATGGAACAAAGGGGGTCTTGGCTCTTTCCCCTAAACCAGGAATTCCCAACTGTGAGTTGCCGACCCCAGGAAGCCACAGAGTTGCAAAGTGGCTTCAAATTAGTTAGTGCACCAGGCCCTCTGCAGATGGAAGGGAGGGTTAGTGCACCAGGCCATCTGCAGAGGGCCATTTCATTAACATAAGGTGAATTCATTCTGAATAGTAGCTTTGTACGTTGTCTATTTTCTCAATTGGCAGATACTAAAAGAACACTCCTCGGCTAGGGCATGTCCACATGCTTATTTTTCCTCTCATTCCAAAGGGCTCCTCATGAGGGGCTGCGAATTCCAGGAAAGGGCCAGAGGCCTAGCATCACCATTTCGCAGAGTGTGGTGTGCACCCAGCCGCTGACGCACGGGACAATTTTAGGGACTCCATGGGCAACATCTTTTATTTAAGTGTGTAGCTTCTATTTTTTGATAGCAAGTATTGATTGTTCTGTTTTTTAAAAAGAAGACCCCGTGTGTGTTGTTCTCCCCATGTGTCCTGAACTTAACATAAAAATTGAAGAAAAAAAAGAATATGTAAAGAAAAGTCAGGTAGATACGTGGCTTGGCAGTTTTTTGGGAAGTGCTAATGGCAGGCAGGAAGGACATCTGTATGCTGAGGAAGAAAGAGTTGGTAAAATGAATATGTTACAGTCCCTGGGATGGGTGATGTCCTGTGCAAAAGTGTCTGTGTGCGGTGGGGCCACCGGTCGGATAGCTGAGCAGGTCCCTGGTCCCATGACTCCTGTAGCCTCCCAAGGACACCACAGTGAGGACAGTGGCAGAAAAGAAAAGCCTGTGGACAGTTCTGCCAACTATTCATCTCCTCAACACACCCACCCTGCTGAGGATACCTCAGCACCCAAACCAGAGATTCCTCCTGCTCCCACAGCCAAGCTGGGCTCAGAGCTCACAAGCTCCCCTGTGCAACGATGTATAAGGGTGAACGTGAGAGATGTGAAGGCAAAAGTTCTCTCTATCCCCAAAGACACACCATTTTCACCATCACCAGGCTTTGAAATCCAAGACTCTGTCTTGGAGTTCTGATCCTCGCAGGATATTCCCTTTTCCTAATGTTAAAAGAATCTGCACCTTCACAGCAACTCAGATTTGGATATGGAACTCTGCCAAGACCAGCTCAGTCGTGGAGACCCTAACCCAGCAGCGCTAGAGGAATTAAGACAAAGACACAGAAATAGAGTGCAGAGTGGGGGTCAGGGGGCTGACAGCCTTCAGAGCTGAGCACCACGAACAGAGTTCGACCCACACATTATTGACAGAAAGCCAGGATAAGCATAGTTTCTACAGATTATAGATTAACTAAAAGCATTCCTAGTGAGGAGCAGAGAAAGAGGCTCTGGCTGATTTTCTGCAGCAAAAGCATGTTGTTAAGGCACAGGCCGCTCCTGCTATTGTTTGTGGTTTGAGCAGTTTTCCACTCTGGGTGGGCCAGGTTTTCCTTGTCCTGCTCCAGTAAACCAACAACTTTTAGCAGTGTACGTGATAGCCGTCACTAGCATGTCACATTGCTGCAGAAATCCTGTTTATGGCCAGTTTCTTTAAGGCCTGTTTATGACAGGCTTAGAGCTCGCTACCAGCATGTCCCTCTTTATTTATTTATTTATTGTTTTTTTGCAAAGCAATAAAGGCAAAGGCAGCTTTGTCATGGTGGGCTCCTTCTCACAGGATTGGGGATCCCCATCTGCAGACTGCACAAAGACAAACAACACAGATTAAAGGCACAATCACCATTGAAATCACAGACCCTCCAAGTGTCTTGATCCATTTTAACGGGTTAATAGCTGCTAATCCGTCTGCAGCTCCTTCAAGCACTTCAGTTCCTGGCATTAGCGTCAGATATGCCTGAGAGGCTTGAAATGCTTGTTCCTTCAGTTTTGCAATATCCAAAGATAAATTTCCAGTATGACCCTTTAAATGTCTCTTAACTCTTTCCCACTCATGCTCTGTTTCTTTATACAGATGAGGAGTAATGCAAAAATCAGAAGTATCTCAATCACATTGTAACTGCATTCTATATTCTAGACTAACTACTCAATCTCCTAGCCACATTATAGTTTGTTGGAGATCATTGATTTGATTAGCTAGTTTCTGGTCTATATTAGTTTGGGAATTCCACAGCAGAGTAGAAATTTTCTGCCAATTATTTACATAGTCTGCTGTTTGTACTGTGGAATGCAAAGCAACTCCAGCTGCCGTGGCAGTAGCTGTGACAGCAATCATCCCATAATGACTAAAATTAAAGCAGCAATTTAACGCCAAGAGTGCCTCAAAATCTTTTGAAGAATTTCAGTAATAATATGCACAGAAGGAGAGGCTTTCCAAGGACGGGAAAGCCTTACAGGTATCCATACTCCTTCTCGGGCTCTTACCACTAAAATAGAATGATCAGGATTATACAGGGAAGAATTCACACAAGAAAACAATCTACATTCTTGACAAATCACATCAAAAAGCTCCTCTTTTTGAGCTGAAGTATAGCTCAAAAAAAAAAAAAAAAAAGCTTGATCTAGAGAGATCAAGTTTTAAATCACCCACTACAAACAGGAAAGGAGGCCTTATTGTCAGTCTGGACTTGGCTGCAACAGGGTGGTCCTTGGGTCCCTCGCAAAATCTCTTCCTCGGCATCTGGCTCATGATAAGGTTTCAGGTGTCTTCATGGTATCCAAATCAGCTGCTGGTTTTGGCCTGGAGAAACACAAGCATAACCTCTACCGTAAGTTATTATTTTACCTATTTCCCAACTTTTTGTTAACGGATCTCTCCACCAAACCTGTTGTTCTGCTTCTGTCTTTGCAGCGGGTTTCTGTAGATGCTGCTCAGCTGCTGATAGCACCTGGCCTTTAGGCAGGCTCAAAAAATTTGAAGTTAATAATGCTAGATTTAGTTGCATGTGTGGAGTCCTATAATCACTGTTCCCCCCTTTCTGTTTTTGTAACTGCTGTTTTAGGGAGAGATTCATTCTTTTCACAATGGCTTGTCCTTGTGAATTATATAGGATACCAGTAATGTGTTTAATATTCCATATAGAGAAAAATGTAGCTAGAGCTTGGCTAGTATAGCCTGGGGCATTATCTGTTTTAATAGAAGCTGGAATGCCCATCACCACAAAACACTGCAAAAGATGATGTTTAACACAGGCAGAAGACTCTCCTGACTGGCATGTAGCCCAGACAAAGTGAGAAAAGGTGTCCACACATACATGTACATAAGCTAGTCTCCCAAACCAGGGAACATGTGTGATGTCCATTTGCCAAAGAGAATTAGGTTTCAATCGTCCAGGATTAACTCCTTCTGTAAAAGATGAGGAATGTACCATTTGGCAAGTTGGGCATCGCTGGATAATAGCTTTAGCTTCTTTCCAGGTAATGCTGTATCTGCGTTTGAGACCAGAGGCATTGACATAGGTTAAATTGTGAAAGTGTCTAGCATTAGATATTGCAGTAGCAACTAGGTGATCAGCCATTTGATTACCTTCAGTTAAAGGTCCTAGAAGAGGTATATGAGCCCTAACGTGAGTAATGTAAAAAGGGTGCATTCTATTCCTAACGGCTGTTTGCAATTGGGTAAATAAAGTCATCAGTTGCTCATCTGTGTGGAATTGTAGCTGAGCATTTTCAACTAACTGTGTAGAATGAACCACATATGAAGAAACAGAAATTACATTGACAGGAATCTCAAAAGCAGTCAGTACCTCAATTACAGCTACAAGCTCCATTTTTGAGCTGAAGTATAGGGTGTCCGGAAAACTTTACTTTTTGATCCAGAATAAGAAGCTTTACTATTACCAGACCCATCTGTAAAAACATTTTCAGCACCTTCGATTGGTTTAAATTTAGTTATTCTAGGGAGAATCCAATTCGCTAATTTTAAAAATTGAAATAATTTTGTTTTCAGAAAGTGATTATCAAGAACACCTACGAAATCAGCTAAATGGGTTTGCCAAGTAAGACTTGTTGTATTTGTGTCTTTGTAAGAGGGACAATAATTTTTCCAGTGTCATATCCGTGCAATTTAACAATTCGAGTTCTCCCATTTCCTATCAGAGTAGCAATACGATCCAAATAAAGACAGTCTGTGAATTCGTATGTGGAAGAAAAAGCCATTCTACCAAGTCCTGCTCTTGGACAATAACACCAGTAGGTGAATGCTGAGTCAGAAAAATCAACAAGTCAAAAGTATTTTTTGGATCTATTCTATTTATTTGAGCTTTATGCACTTGCTTCTCCGTCAGCTGTAACTCTGTCTCAGCCTCCTTTATTAATTGTTGAGGGCTAGTGAGACTAGGATCTCCTCTAAGGATAGAAAATAGATTACTCATGGCTTAGGTAGTAATGCCTAGAGCAGGTCGTGTCCAACTAATGTTCCCTAGTAATTTTTGACAGTCATTCAGTGTTTTTAGTTGATCCCTACATATAGTTACTTTCTGTGGCACTATTATTGTAGTGTCATTTACTAAGGTCCCTAAGTAGGAGTAAGGAGTAGTAGTTTGAATTTCGTCAGGCGCTATAATTAAACTGGCTTGAGAAATCGAGTTTTGTTAAGTGATCATAACATTGGAGTAATATTTCCCGAGTGGGGGCAGCACAAAGAATATCGCCTATATAATGAATAATGTAACACCGTGATAACTTTTTACGAGTAGGTTCAATTGCTTGCCCTACATAAGTCTGGCAAATTGTTGGACTGTTTAACATGCCTCGTGGCAACACTCTCCAGTGAAAATGCTTAGCAGGCTGCAGATTGTTTACCGCAGGAATTGTAAATGCAAACCATTCACAGCCTTGCTCAGCTAAGGGGATAGTAAAGAAATAGCCTTTTACATCTATGACTATTAAAGACCAATTTTTTGGAATCATAGCAGGAGAAGGCAATCCTGGCTGCAATGCGCCCATAGGTTGCATAACTGAATTAATGGCCCTTAAGTCAGTTAACATTCTCCATTTACCTGATTCTTTCTTAATAACAAAGACTGGAGAATTCCATTGGGAAAATGTTGGAGCTATGTGTCCTTTTCCTAATTGTTCAGTAAAAATTAGAAGTCCTCTAAAGCCTCTAGTTTCTCTTTAGTCAGTGGCCATCGTTCTATCCAAATTGGCTTATCTGTTAACCATTGTAACGGTATAGGTTCTGGAGGCTTACCAATAGCCGCCATCAAAAATGATATCCTAAACCCTGACGAGAATTCTGTCCTTCCACTTGGAGTAGTTTCTTTAACCCTTGTAAATTTTTTCCTAATCCCGTGCCAGGCACATTCCCCATCTCTTGCATCATATGCTGAATTTGAGGGCTATATAATTGTTCTGGAATTAACACTTGTGCTCTCCATTGCTGTAATAAATCTCTTCCCCATAAATTTATAGGTACAGAAGTTACAATTGGTTGAATAGTCCCAGATTGTCCATCGGACCCTTCACAATGCAAAATATAACTACTGTGATATACTTCAGGGGCTTTACCAACTCCAACTCTGTTAAATTGAGAGGGTTGAATTGGCCACGTGGACGGCCAGTGCTGTAGAGAAATGATTGAAATGTCCGCTCCTGTATGTACCAAACCTTTAAATTTCTTTCCCTGAATAGTTATTTCACAGGTAGGATGTTTATCAGGAATTTGATTCACCCAATAAGCTGCTTTACCTTCTTTATTTGTGCTTCCAAATCCTCCTGTTCATTTAATTTCACTTTTCCCCATTTCCACATACGGCACAATCAGGAGCTGCACTATGCGATCTCCTGGCTCTGCTTTCCAGGGAACAGAAGTAGATATAACAATTTCGATTTCCCCATTGTAATCTGAATCAATGGCTCCTGTTTGTACTTGTGCTCCTTTTAAATTTAAATTAGACCTACCTAGAAGTAATCCTACCATCCCCGCTGGCAACATCTGACTGGAGACAGCAACATCCTTTAACAGTCCCATTACAAAAGGAGAACCTGGTCCATATTGATTAATAACTTGTTTAAATTCTTTAAGTAATTTAAGAGGAAAAGTCTCAAACATAGCTATAATATTCCCCTGTTGATCAGGTGGATGTATTCTAACAGGGAACTGCCAAGCATCCATACCACCCTCTTGTCTAGCTTGCTGGATTCCTGCCTGAATAGAACTGAGAGAGGTCACTCGAGGCGCTGCTTGAACGGTCACCAGGGCAGCTACTTTTTGCCCCCGTCCTCCAGAAAAGAAAGATCTGGAGGGTCAGGCCACTCTTCTTCAAAATAATGGGGGGTGCAGAGGGGTAGGGACAAACTTCTCCCTCCTTTGCCGCTTTAGCTGGCAAGCAAACCTGCTCTGTCACCTCTTCTGTTACTTCATTACACTCTTCTTCTTCCTCTGATTCCTCCTCATCATCATCTGTGTGGAAAGATTCCAAGGTGGAGCAAACCAGAGCCCACACTGACCAGACAGTTACAGGAATATCCTCAGCACCATCCTTATATGCCTTTTTCAGTGTGCCGCCTATCTTTTCCCAGACCTCTACATTCATAGTTCCTCAGTCCAGAAACCAGGGGCAATATTTCTCTACTGCACTAAAAAGCTGCATAAGTGCTAACCTTCACTCCTCCTTTTCTGAGGAGATGCTGAAGCCGACTCAAATAAGCCTCTTGTCTGCTCGACCCTTGCCCCATTGTTACCCTGATGCTTCCAAGCTCCCCTTCTTACTCACCACGGGGATTGCTTAAGAGTACTCGGGTGTTCTCCAGCTTACTTCCAGGTTCTCCAACCACCGCTCCAGCGACTCTTCATCCTGGGTTCAAGCCCCCATGTTGAGCACCGCTTGCTGAGACCAGCTCAGTCGTGGAGACCCTAACCCAGCAGCGCTAGAGGAATTAAGACAAAGACACAGAAATAGAGTGCAGAGTGGGAATCAGGGGGCTGACAGCCTTCAAAACTGAGAGCCACGAACAGATGTTGACCCACACATTTATTGACAGAAAGCCAGTGATAAGCATAGTTTCTACAGATTATAGATTAACTAAAAGCATTCCTAGTGAGGAGCAGAGAAACAGGCCCTGGCTGATTATCTGCAGCAAAAGCATGTTGTTAAGGCACAGGCCGCTTCTGCTATTGTTTGTGATTTGAGCAGTTTTCCACTCTGGGTGGGCCAGGTTTTCCTTGTCCCGCTCCAGTAAACCAACAACTTTTAGCAGTGTGCGTGATAGCCATCACGAGCATGTCACATTGCTGCAGAAATGCTGTTTATGGCCAGTTTCTTTAAGGCCTGTTCATGACAGGCTTAGGGCTTGCTACCAGCAGATCTCTAACAACAGTTTTGGTGAATTCAGTTCATGTAGACAACTTGATGCTAGTCTAAGGAAAGGAGGGTCAGGAAAGGATGGCAACGAACCAACAAACCTCAATAAAGCAGCAATGCCCCTAGAACCCTGCAGGATGTGGCACGCACAGGTGCCACCCTTACAAAGGCCCAGCCCAAAGGAGCAAAGCAGGCAACCTGAAGGGCCAGCCTGGCAGAAACCTGCACCCCAGGCTGCAGAACAAAGAGGGGCAGAGAGAAAGTCTTTTCCAGAGCACAAGGAGGCAGCCTGAGTTGCTGCACAAAAAGCTCTTTCCCTTCCTGGCTGATTTCCAAGTATAGCATGGCAGAAACAGAGGTGCACATTTCTTTCTTGTTCTATTTTTTTTAAATAGTTTTCAATTTTTATTTTTGTAAAAACGGGGATCTCACTATGTTGCCCAGGCTGGTCTTGAACTCCTGGTCTCGAGTGATCCTCCCACCCTGGCCCCCCAAAATGCTAGGGTTCCAGGTGTGAGCCACCACACCTAACCCCTCTATTATTTTTAAGAATGAAAATATAAGGTAGAACTTTGTCATGGGTTGAATTCATTACCCCCATTCATATATTGAAGTTCTATAGCCAGTTCCTCAGAATATGACCTTATTTGGAAACATGCAGTTATGTATAATTGGTTAGGATGAGGTCATGCCACAGTAGGGTGGAGCTCTATCTAGTCTGATATGACTGGTAATATGACTAGGAAAAGAATGCCATGTGAAGAGACTAAGACAAACCTAGAGAGAAGAATAGGTGAAGAGACACAGGGAGAAGGTGGCCATCTGTGAGGCAAGGAGAAGGACCTCAGAAGAGACCAACCCTGCCTATAACTTGATCTTGGACTTCCAGCCTCCAGAACTGTGAGACAACCAGTGTCTGTTGTTTAAACCCTCCCAGTCTGTGGTGCTCTGTTACAATAGCCCCAGGAAACTCATATAAGCTTCTTGTAAATTCTCTATGTTATCCATGAAAAAAATTTCTTTTTCTAATTCGAAACAGAAAACAATTAGGGAAAGTTTTACCTTTCCCACATTGACTCAAAAATCCATTTCTATTATATAATCTAAAATTAAAATTACTGGCAGGGCATGGTGGCTCACACTCATAATCCCAGCACTTTGGGAGGCTGAGGTGGGTGGATCACTTGAGGTCAGGAGTTCGAGACCAGCCTGGCCAACATGGTGAAACCCTGTCTCTAGTAAAAATAAAAAATAGCTACTTGAGCTTGAGGCATGAGACTCATTTGGACCCAGGAGGCAGAGGTTTCAGTGAGCCAAGATCACGCCACTGCACTTCAGCCTGAGCGAAAAAAGACTCTTGTCTCTAAATAAATAACTTAAAATAAAATAACTGTTATTCCAAAACACCTCTTGATCGAGAAGCTTTATTCTGGTAGCTGCATGGATTACACACACTCTCAACCATTTATTCAGGTACAATTGACATACAATAAGCTGCACATATGTAAAATATACAATTTGATGGGTTTTGCCGTATCTATATGGTGGCACTGTGAATTAGTTGTATTTTCTAGGATTTTATATACATCTTATAAATTTATAGAATATATGGAATCATACAGCACCCTCCCCTTTCTTGGGGGAAGGGGCCTGGCTTCTTTCACTCAGCGTAATTATTTTGAGATTTATTTTTTCCCCATATGATTACGCGTATCAATAGTTGATTCATTTTTATTGCTGGGTAGTCATCTATCATGTGGATAAAACTGTGTGTTTCCAGTTTCTGGCTATTGCAAATGGGCTGCTAAGAACGTTTGTGTAAAAGCCTTCGTACAGACTTATGCTTTCTTTTCTCCTGGGTAAGTACCACAGAATGGCCGGATCATGCAGTAGGTGTATGTTTAACTTTCTAAGAGGCTGCCAGGCAGTTCTCTAAAGTTTCTGTTTCATGTGACATCTGCATCAGCGGTGTGTGGGTTTCAGTCCTGCACAATCTCACCGTCACCTGTGTGGTTGGCCTTTATCACTGTCATCATTCTCATAGGGGTGCAATGGCATCTCACTGCACAGCCTGTGGACTATGATGTAAGCAAAGCCCCTGGAATCCTGTAATGTAGAAACTGCAGCACCAAGGCCACAGGATACATGACAGGCCAGCCTTTGCTACTCAGTGAGCACAAACAAAAACAGTGCAATCAATAGTCCTGGAAAATCTGATGAGCCACTTGATGCCTGCCTTCTAGCACGCAAAATAAATTCCAGGTGCATTTAATCAGACCTGCATTTAATCTCAGTTAAGCACAACAGGGTGACTAAAGTCAACCATAATTTATTGTATATTCAAAAATAATGGGCTGGGCGCGGTGGCTCACGCCTGCAATCCTAGCACTTTGGGAGGCCGAGGCGGGTGGATCACGAGGTCAGGAGATCAAGGGCATCCTGGCTAATACAGTGAAACCCTGTCTCTACTAAAAATACAAAAAATTAGCCGGGCATGGTGGCAGGAGCCTGTAGTCCCAGCTACTCGGGAGACTGAGGCAGGAGAATGGCGTGAACCCGGGAGGTGGAGCTTGCAGTGAGCCCAGATCGCGCCATTGCACTCCAGCCCGGGCGACAGAGAGAGACTCCGTCTCAAAAATAAATAAATAAGAATAATAATAATGAAAAGAGTGGCATTGGAATGTTTCTAACATAAAGAAATGATAAATGCTTGAGGTGATGGGTACCCTAATCACCCTGATGTGATTGTTACACATCGTATGCCGGTATCAGAACATCACATGTACCCAATGTGCCTATGTATCCATAATAATTAAAATTTTAAAACTTCAAAAAATCTGTTAAAAAGTATTATTGTTAGCTGGGCGCTGTGGCTCACGCCTGTAATCCCAGCACTTTGGGAGGCCTAGGTGGGCAGATCACCTGAGGTCAGGAGTTCAAGACCACCCTGGCCAATATGGCAAAACCCCGTCTCTACTAAAAATACAAAAGTTAGCTGGGTGACGTGGCAGGCGCCTCTAATCCCAGCTACTTGGGAGGCTGAGGCAGGAGAATCGCTTGAATGCAGGAGGCAGAGGTTGCAGTGAGTCAAGATCGCACCACGGCACTCCAGCCTGGGTGACAGAGCAAGACTCTGTCCAAAGAAAAAAAAAGTATTATTGTTTGTTCCATAGGAAAATTAGTATGTGAGGAGAACATAAATATACAAACACATGAGTGTTCCTGTCCACTCTGCCTCTCCCTCTGCAGCCTCTGTGCTTCCTGCCTCTCTGATTCCATGCACAGGCCTCCAGTCACACTGAATTGCTGATCATTCCTGAAGATAGCTGAAGCCTTCCAGAAATCAGTGGCTTTGCCTAAAGGTCACCGGCTGGGAAGGTGCCTCCCCCAGTTATTCACCTAGATAATTCCTACTCATTCTGCAAGATATGCCTCAAATTCATTCTGCAAGACTTGCCTCAAATAAATGTCACCTCCCTTTGGACTGTGCCCTGCCTGCCTAGGTGGTCTCTCTCACCTGCACATTCTCACAGCACCTATCTCGTTGCTTGGGATAGCTATTTACAGATTGGTGCCATGCACCTGTGAGTCCCTCTGAGGCAAGGACTTTGCATTCTGGGGGACTGTATTTTCAGTGCCCAGCACAGAGAAACCTAGTGATATGGGCTGAGTGACGGGAGTGAGCGTGTGCACCTCTTAAAAACATACATGACACCGCAGTAGCTAGACGTTCAACATTTTGCATTTACACTTACTCAAGAGAAACTCTCCTAAAGACCCTCCCACAATGGCCTCTCTGGGCTGGCAGGGCTCTTCCAGCTTCCTGCACCTTCCCGAAGGAATCCTTGGGCTGCAGCTGAGGTCCTGGAGCACCAGGGAGCAAGCCCCATGCCTGATCCATCAAGATGCTCGCCGCCTTAGAGTCGGTGGCGTTGGTGCCCGGCCCTAGTGCGCCCAGATAGTGTTGTCATGTGATTTAGTTAAATATTACCTAATCCCATGACAATATGAGTGGGGAAAGAGTTACTGTTTCTATGAAAATGAAGTTCAAAGCTTTGGAAAGACTCAATCAAGGTGAATCATGAAAAAACATTATGTCCAATTAAGTGTGTGGGAAGAAACTCTAACAAATGGAGGGAAGTAAAATTCCATAAGAATTCCACGCTTAGAGTCTGTCCAAAAGTCTTTAAGCTCTCATGTCACTTTAAATCTGTTGAAACTGATAAATATGGACAATGTATTACAACTGTGTGCTCTGAACAGGAAGTCAATATAGATCTGAAATCACCAAATCAGATGACCAGCACGTACATCTATGTCTTTAGGCTTCAAGTTAAAATAAAATGTTATACACACACACACAGACACACACATACATGCATACACACATATACATATAGACACGCACGTATACCTATGTATGTTCACATATGTAACTATGTTTACATGTGATGTGCATATGTGTGTGCCCACGCACATACCTGCACATGCCTACATAGACACACACATATACACATCACATATATACACATGTGCATGTAATAGATATATATATATATATATATGCTCATATATAATGATTTTCTACTTTAAATAATTTTGGCTGTATGCTTACTCACTACAGGGTTCACAGGAATTAGATAAGAGAGCTCCTAGTAAATACTTTAAATACTTTAAAAATACTCAAATAATTAAATATGTGTGTAGATGTAAATACATACTTTGAATATTTATGTTTATACATTAACATTTGTGTAAATATACTTCGTATGTTGAATATGTTTTTGCAGATATACATAGTACATAAATTAAACCTTTTGCTTCCTCAGTGTTCTGCCTTTGAGCATTTTTAGGTCAGATGGTTGTCATGGTCAGCCCTGGAAGCCGATGCTGAGATGAAGCTGGGCACACAGGGTGCTTGCTAGGGATCAACACTATGGGAGGAGAAGCAAGAAGTGGGATTTGTTCAGGGGAAGTTGGGCTGAGGGGTGACCCAGAAGTGGCTTCAGCTGGCCCTAGGGGGGCTCCTTAGCTAGTTAGTGTTGTTTCTAAGGTGGACAGAGATGGACAGGCCTTCCTATAACCACTTGGATCCATCACTGGGTGTGGGCCACCCCAGGGAGGGATGCATCCATGGACAAGGTGGCTCTGAAGCAGAGGCAGTCCCCAAGGGTCTGGCAGCTGGAAACCACCTGCCACCAGCACTCCCTGGAGCTGGGCAGAGAGTTTGTCATTGAAGGGACTCTGGACAGCACCTCCCAGGGGCCATGACAAAGCTGATTGGGTTAGCTCTAGAACAAGGCATCTGTATCCTGTGGAAGACGTCCCAAAGCAGCTACTAGAAGCCTCTGGATTAAAAACTCAGTGCTTTACTTATCATATACCATTTCTCCTTTTCTTGTCCTCAGAATGCCATGCTCCTCCACTTTAGGATGAAGAGAGTATTCAGGAAGCCAAACTTTTAGTGGGAAATCCTGGAATTTTCACTGAGAGCATGCTCAGCAAGAGCTGTAAATGGTGGCTAATAAAGCTTTTTGGCCCCAGACTATGTCATCAGATAAACACAAACTTTTTCTCCAACACATGTGAATTCTAATGCCCAGTTACTCCTCTCTTAATAAAGACTCAATAACAGTTATTCAAAGAATGATAACACTTGCCCATTGTAGAGGTGGGTTCATCTCTGATGCCACCACTGGCTGGTCCTAATTCAAATAGGCCTTTGGGCTGGGGACTTTCCCAGTTACCATGTGCCCTCAGCCATGCTGCCCAGGAGGAGGGATGGATGCCAGCTGGGGCTGCCTGGCTCTTGGGAACAAACACCCTGTGGCCCTGTGGTGATGGGGGTCATGAGGTTCTGTATCCCATAGTTTTGACAAAGTTGTGCTTCAGACCGTCCTTGCACTATGCACATGCAATTTACAAACTGGGTTCTAGAGCTTGGAAGATCCATGTAGGCTCTGACTCCGGAGAGGTTCTCTCGGTCTTCTCTGACCCTAGGCTGTCTCATCTCCCCCCATATCCCATCCCTAATCATCTTTATTTCAACTTTTCTTCTTTCTTTTCAAAATTGCTGTTTATTTCTCTCTTTCAATTTTCTTTATTTTTTTAATTTAACAAAGCAAAGCATGCCTCTTGTAAAAAGAGACCCAGCAGGAAAAATGTATGAAGTGAAAGTTAATGGAAATTAAACAACTTGCTCCTGAATGACTTTTGGGTAAATAATGAAGTTATTGTAGAAATTAAGAAATTCTTTGAAACTAATAAGAACAAAGATATGACATATCAGAATCTCTGGGACACAGCTAAGGCAGTGTTAAGAGGGAAATTTATAGCCCTAAACACCCACATCAAAAAGTTAGAAAGACCTCAAGTTAACAACCTAACATCACAACTAAAAAAAACTAGAGAAGCAAGAACAAACCAACCTCAGAGCTAGCAGAAGACAAGAAATAACCAAAATCAGAGCTGAACTGAAGGAGCTTAGGACACGAAAAACCATTCAAAAGACCAAAAAATCCAGGAGTTGGTTTTTTGAAAAAAAAAAAAATAATAAGATAGGCCACTAGCTAGACTAATAAAGAAGAAAAGAGAGAAGATGCAAATAAATACAATCAGAAACAACAAAGGGAATATTACTATTGACCCCACTAAAAATATAAATAACCCTCAGAGACTACTATGAACACCCTTATGTACACAAACTAGAAAACCTGGAAGAGATGAATACATTCCTGGGCACACACACTCTCCCAAGACTGAACCAGGAAGAAATCAAATCCCTAAACAGATGAATAATCAGCTCTGACATTGAGGCAGTAATAAATAGCCTACCAACCAAAAAAAGCTCAGGAGAAGACTGATTCACCAAATGTACAAAAAAGAGCTGATGCCATTTCTACTGAAACTATTTTTTAAAATTGAGGAGGAAATCCTCCCCAACTCATTCTATGAGGCCAGCATCATCCTGATACCAAAACCTGGCAGAGACACACACAAAAAGAAAACTTCAGGCCAATATCCTTGATCAACATTGATGCAAAAATCCTCAACAAAATCCTTGTAAACCAAATCCAACAGCCCATCAAAAAGCTAATACATCACCATCAAGTAGGCTTTATCTTTGGGATGCAAGATTGGTTCAACATACACAAATCGATAAATATGATTCATCACATGAACAGATCTAAATACAAAAATCACATGATTATCTCAATAGATGCAAAAAAAGACTTTCAATAATATTCAACATCCCTTAATGTTAAAAACTCTCAATAAACAAGGTATTGAAGGAACATACCTCAAAATAATGAGAGCCATCAGTGACAAACCCACGGCCAATATCGTGCTGAATGGGCAAAAGCTGGAGGCATTCCCCTTGAAAACTGGCACAACACAAGGATGCCCTCTCTCTGCCCCTCCTATTCAACATAGTTTTGGAAGTCCTGGCCAGATCAATTAGGCAAGAGAAAGAAATAAAGGGCATCCAAATAGGAAGACAGAAAGCTACCCCTTTTCGCAGATGACATGATTCTATATCTAGAAGACTCCATTGTCTCAGCCCAAAAGTTCCCTCAGCTGATAAACAACTTGAGCAAAGTTTCAGGATACAAAATCAATGTACAAAAATCACTAGCATTCTTATACACCAACAATAATCAAGCCAAGAGCAAAATCAGGGACACGAACCCATTCACAATTGCCACAAAAAGAATAAAAATACCTAGGAATAGAGCTAACCAGGGAGGTGAAAGATCTCTACAAGGAGAATTAGAAACCACTGCTAAAAGAAATCAGAGAAGATACAAACAAATGGAAAAACATTCCATGCTTACGAATGGGAAGAATCAGTATCATTCAAATGGCCATATTGCCCAAAGCAATTCACAGATTCAGTGCTATTCCTATGAAACTACCAGTGACATTCTTCACAGAACTGGAAAAACTATCTTAAAATTCATATGAAACCAGAAAAAGTCTGAATAGCCAAGACAATCCTAAGGAAAAAAAAAACAAACCCAAAGCTGGAAGCATCACATTACCTGACTTCAAACTATACTACAAGGCTGTAGTAACCAAAACAGCATGATACTGGTACAAAAACAGACACATAGACCAATGGACTAGAATAGAGAACCCAGAAATAAGCCCACACACCTACAACCATCTGATCTTCAACAAAGCTGACAAAAAGAAGCAATGGGGAAAGGACACTCTATTCAATAAATGATGCCACAATAACTGGCTAGCCATATGCAGAACACTGAGACTGGACCCCTTTTTTACACCACATATAAAAATCAACTCAAGATGGATTAAAAAGTTAAATGTAAAAGCCCAAGTCATAAAAACCCTGGGAAACAACCTAGGCAACACCACCCAGGACATCAGAACTGGAAAAGATTTCGTGATAAATACACCAAATGCAATCACAACAAAAGCAAAATTTGAGAAATGGGAACTAAATTAAAGAGCTTCTGCCCAGCAAAAGAAACTACCAACAGAGTAAACAGACAACCTACAGAATGGGAGAAAATATTTGCAAACTATGCATTTGACAAAGATCTAATATCCAGTATCTATAAGGAACTTGAATTTACAAGAAAAGAACAAACAACCCCATTAAAAAGTGGGCAAAGGACATGAACAGACACTTCTCAAAAGAAGACATACATGTGGCCAACAAGTGTATGAAGAAAAAGCTCATCATCACTGATCACTAGAGGAATGCAAATCAAAACCGCAATGAGATACTGTCTCACACCAGTCAGAATGGCTATGATTAAGAAGTCAAGAAAATAACATGCTGAAGAGGTTGCAGAGAAAAGGCAATGCTTATACACTGTTGGTGGGAGTGTAAGTTCCCAGCAATCCCATTACTGGGTATGTACCCAAAGGAATATAAGTTTTTCTATTATAAGGATACATGCACTCGGAGTTCATTGCAGCACTATTCACGATAGCAAAGACATGGAATCAACCTAAATGCCTATCAATGGTAGACTGGATAAAGAAAATGTAGTACATATGCACCGTGGGATACTACACAGCCATAAAAAAGAATGAGATTTTGTCCTTTGCAGGAACATGGATGGAGCTAGAGGCTAACTATTGGGTACTAGGCTTAGTACCTTGGTGACGAAATAACCTGTACAACAAACCTCTGTGACATGAGTTCACCTATACAACAAACCTGCACATGTTCACCTGAACCTAAATTAAAAGTTAAAAAAAAAAAGTTAAATATTCACCAGCCTCCATCACCATCCCTCAAGGTAAACTTCACCATTTCATCTTGAAGTTGAGCATTTACTCAAAATTTTGTCATCCCCAGGAATCAGGGGGAGTACAGCACCCAGGCCAATCTGTTTTTATTGTATTCATTAGCATTTTATTCCTAGTCATTGCTTTTAAATATTTATTTATTTAATTTGAAGTGGCACAATCATGGCTCTCTGTAGGTTCATCTTCCTGGGCTCTAGCAATCCACCCGCCTCGGCCTCCCGAGTTAGCTGGGACCACCATGCCTTGGCCTCCCAAATTGCTGGGATTACAGGTGTGAGCTACCATGCCTGGTCAGTTATTATTATTAACTCTGTTTATTTCCAGTGGCTCAGACAGAAAAAGAGAATTACTGCTCACAGCAGCAGCCACTCATGGGTTAAGGTCTAGCCACTGTCAAAAGACAAAATTATAACAAATTTAGTTTAAAGATCTCAACTTGTTTTATTTGCAGTTCCAGAGTTGGGCAACACCTCATTCCATAATGCAGGATCAGTGCTCCAATGAGCTGAGCAGAGGAGACAGAGAAGGGCTTTGTAGACAGAGAAGGAAGGGCTGAAGAGAGCAGAAACCAGGACAAAAACAGATTGGTCATTTCACAGTTACTTGTCTTATAAGATGAGGACAAGGAGGCAGAACAATAGAAAAATAACTGTTTGTTGCCAGCAGGTGACTTCAGTTAAGGATGAAAACAGGGGCAGCTTCATGACCTTGTCAACAGAAGATGGAAACTGGTCTGTTTGGGAAATAGGGTGTTGTCACTCCTGATTTTGCAGAAGGTCAGATAACAACTTACTTTAGGTTTGCTGAGCATGGCTGATTCTACTTTGATTTCTAGACTTAGTCCACAACAATGGCCTCCTATAATCTTCATTTACCACCAGCCACCCTCCTTGTCTTCAGATTTGTGCAGCTCAGAGCATCTGGACCAGAGAATGATCTTTGTTCTGCAATGGAATGGAAACTTCACAGAGGCAGCTTCTGAAAGATTCAGAACAGGCCCACATGTGTAGGGTGCATGGGGGACCCGACATAACCTCTTTTTCTCTTTTTTTCTTTTCTTTTTTTTTTTTTGAGACGGAGTCTTGCTCTATTGCCCAGGCTGGAGTGAGTGGAATGGCGCAATATCAGCTCACTGCAATCTCCGCCTCCTGGGTTTTAGCAATTCTCCTGTCTCAGCCTCCTGAGTAGCTGGGATTATAGGCACCCACCACCACACCCAGCTAATTTTTGTATTTTTAGTAGAAGCAGGATTTCACCATGTTAGTCAGGCTGGTCTTGAACTCCTGACCTCAGTTGATCCACCCGCCTCACCTCCCAAAGTGCAAACATAACCTTTTTAAAGCCAGGAAACAGAGCCCTGTGGGGCAGTCCATGGAGGCCCCAGACACACCTCGCGGCTGGCCCTGGATGGACTTTTCCTCCTACCCAAGACTGCTCACAGAGGCAAATCTTGAGTCTGTGGGGATGGCAAGACCCAAACTCTCTGTGTCCTCATTCATACTTAGAAATGTCTCCTCTAGAAATTAACTTTCTCTGAAAACTCAGCAACATAAGTTGGTGTTTCTCAAAGTCTCCATACTGCCTGAGAAAGGAGAAGAAAAATGAGATAATAATACACGGCCACACTAGGCTAATTTCAAACTGTGATAACCTTTCAAACCTCTTCTCCCTACCCTGCTCCATTCCTGCCCCTGGAGACTCTAGCCTGCTGCTTGGCAAATTAAACAGATGGGAAAGACAGCTGCCATCTTGAGCCTGCAGCCTTCCCCTCAGCTGCCCGGTGTCTGTCTACACTTCCGAGTCATCGCCTCTTTGAACTGGAAGAGAGCAGCCCCTCATGGCATGGGCCATAGGCCTGAGGCTGCAGAGGTGACTGGGCTGATCCAGAGTCCCCAGCAAGCTGTGCAGAGCTGAAGAACGGCATGCTTCACACTCACACAGTGATGTCGGCTTCCACTGTTGTGATGCTGAGAAACAAAGGGAAGACAAAACAGAGGCTACTTCTGCTCAAACCAAATCCAGCATGCCTGTGGCAGTGTACATGCCTCTGTGTTCCCCAGAGCTGAGCTCAGCTGTCCTCAGCTGTGGGCTCAGTCCACCACAGCCCCAGAGCCAAGCTGGACCGGAAGTCAAAAACACTCACGCCCACTGGTTCCACGCCTAGCACGGTTCCTCCAACTGGTGTTCCTCTTCTGGGAACTCCAGCTCTGCTTCCTTTGAACCGAGCTGCTGATCCGGATTTCTTTCTCCAGGCCAGGATGCCTGAGACCCAAGTCCACTTTAGAGTTGGGCTCTCCTTCTTCTTGGCTGGCCTCTTTTGGAAATCAGAGCCCTTCCCTATGCCCAAGACAATACTCAGGGCAACAAAACTCAAGACAAATGGTCAAATCAAGAGGAACCTTCCTCTGCAAAATTATACTACATAAAAGCTGATGTTGTCCAGCTCAAGTCTGGGCAAGTGGCCTTGCAAAGGGCCTCTTCAGTGCAACAGCCAACCTCTCCACACCACCTTGGAAGATGAACCAGATCTTACTGGGCTTTGAGGCTCAGAGTCAGGTGCTTGCCTGGAGTCTGTGAGCAGCAGGCTTCAAGTAACTCAGTCTTTGCTCTCCTGACCGTCCTGGACTTTCTCCAGCCATTGCTGAGTTTCTCTTGGCTTGAAATGCTGCCTGACACATCCAGGCACTGCGGTGGTCTTGCCTACGAATGCATAAGCCTAAACATCCACCTCGTCCCCCCATCATTGCCAAAAGGAGTACATCTATCACTGTGCTCAGAGGTGTAACGGCGAAAGTAGAAGAACCTTCTCTGCCCTTCTGTCCAGCAGCTGGAGAAACCAGACACACGTATGAAGTCCCCAAGCCTTTACAAAGCAGGGTCCTGCTGAGGGCAGCAGGGAGTGGTGTAGAGAACCAGTGAATGAGGAGTGCTGGGGAGGGGCTGGTGATGAGGGTGCCGGGAAAAGCTTTTCAGAGCTGGGTGGAGGCCAGGGGGATGAGTCCTGGAGGATGGCCAGGTGTGAAGGAGCAGAAGTCAGGTAGGAGAAGTCAGCATGAGAGAAGGCAGGGTAAACCCATTTTAGGATTCAGGGAGGGAGCCACTCACACTGTCCTGGGCACAGCAAATGGACTCCTTCCAGGCCTGTTCTGAGGTACCCATGTGCCCTGGAGCCACGATTTTGTGCCTCCTTGATCTTTTCAGCCCCTGACAAATAGCTCTTGAAAATATTGCTTGGATTCAATACTAAGCAAATAAAAGTGGGGAAAGTCCTTTTTGCACAATAATCACAGCAAGCCAGACGACAAACGTAGAATATCTGGAAATGAGGATCCCACTGAATGGTGCACTCCCCTCTGCAAGCTCCCACGCAAACCCAGATGACAGTGGCCCTTTGTGCATTCAGTCCCAAGGACACTCTCGTCCCTCCTGAAGCCTTGGCAGTTTGACCTTCTACACTTTGCTGTTAGGGGCAAGTAACCTCTTGCTTCTCGGTGCATGTTCTTGTTATTGTTTGCCCAAGGCTGCTCACATTGCTACTGTAACTGTCAGGATCTTGCAAGACTATGTCCCTGGAGGTGGCTTCAAGAAGCGTCCAGGTGTAAACGGAAGAAATGGCAGTTGGACCAGCATCTTCCAAGGAGTTAACCAAACCAGCGGCTGTCTGGTTCCAACTGCAAACTCCAGTAGACACAAAGGGCTTGCCCAGACACTCGACTGGGAGCCTCAGCCACACTCCAGCCTGCTTTTCGCTTGCGCTGGCCCAGTCCCTTAACATGACCAGCCCCCACGTTGAGTCTTTGCAGTTTGCTGCCAAACTGCAAAATGTACATCGTCCCAACCCACATCGCCAAAACAATTTCCAGTAATCCCCTGCTTACTTCAATCCTGTAACTTTTCATTTCCCCACATCCCCTCTCGTCACCTTTTTGGTTCTCCCTTTTATACTTCTCATAGCCTGTTTTTGTTCCTTCTCTGTTCTCTTCTTTAAAACCCCTACCACCTTTAGGTCTTGGTTGGAGTTGAGTTCATTTATGCTGGTGTCCCTTTCCCCCATTGAAACAGTCTGAATAAATCTGTCTTGCCACCTTTAACAAGTGTTCTGTGCTGTTTCTCGTTGACATAACCAGCTGGGATACCAGACCCTCTCTGGGACTAACTGAAGATGCTTCCTGACCAGCAAGTCAATTGGGACTCAATGTGACCAATTAGTTAATCCGAGCTGGGGGCCAGCCTCAGTCCTCCATTAGCATGGCCACAGTAAAACCTCTACCATCAGCATTCCTGAACTTTCCCTCTCAGAGACTCAGGTGAGCAGACTTCCTCACTGGTGTGGGAGCCCTTGCCTGCGGAGTAAATTCCCAGCTCCACTCGCTGACCCCTGGGGCACCCAGGGTCCTCCATGTGTTCAGGGGAACATGGGCTGTGATTCAGGACGGGATCTGCCCTACCATGCTCGGGATAAAGAACCAGAGACCTAGGCCGAACTGCAAACACCACCACTTAGAGCTACCATTGACGCACCCCCTCCTCTGCACCCTACACTGTGGGACATTCACACGTATCTATTTTCATTTGATTTTCCTCCAACAACTCTACCAAAGAGGAAACCAAAGCCCGTGAGGTTGAGAACCTGCCACAGTCGCAGAGCCAGGACTTGGAAAAGTGGAGGTTCCATGTCATGTGCCTCTGGTCCCAAAGCCACCCCCACCCCACGCTGTAGTGTCTTCTTGCCCAGTGCTCCATCACTGGGGCAGTGGACACTTGAATAGGAGAGCTTTCCCCAGATGCACCTCTGAGGTTTGGAGTGGAAACACCGGGGGCATGGTCGGGCGCAGTGGCTCCCAGCTGTAATCCCAGCACTTTGGGAGGCCAAGACGGGTGGATCACCTGAGGTCAGGAGTTTGAGATTATCCTGGCCAACATGGCGAAACCCTGTCTCTACTAAAAAATACAAAAATTAGCTGGGCATGGTGGTGGGTGCCTATAATCCCAGCTACTCCGGAGGCTGAGCCAAGAGAATTGCTTGAACCTACAAGGCGGAGGTTGCTGTGAGTTGAGATTGTACCACTACACTCCAGCCTGGGTGACAGAACGAGACTCCATCAAAAAACAAACAAACACACAAAAAAACCAGCAGCAGGGCGGGTAACTTGAAGAATGAAGCCCTTGGGGCCAGGGCTGGCTCCCAGACACCAGTAGCCACTGGATTCTCAGGACAGGAGAGAAAACCAATCTGCTACAAGAGGTGGCTGGAGGGTCAAGTTCCAGGGTGGAGAGAAGCCAGCCAGGAAACAGCAGGAACTCCAGGAAGCAAACATCTTCAGGGTGGTCTCATGGCAGCCTCAAGCCAGCAAAACACTCTCTGGGGCCCAGATAGGGAAGTGTCTCTCTCACACAGGACACCTGAGTTCTAGGCAGAACCCACAGGGCTAGCATGCCTGTGACTGGGAGTTTGCCATGGCTCAGGGTCCCTGGGGAGAGAAGGCAGATGCCGGCAGAGTTGGACATGTCTGCTGACCCTGGCTGGTGCCCACCATGATGGATCTGTGTCCAGGCTTGGGCTGCTTGGCCAGGCTTCTAGTGAAGGGAGGAACCAGCCTGCGCACCAGAGTCAGTGCCATCAATCCAGGCAGGTTCTCAGCAGCTTGGGCTATTTCTAAGCATGAAGTCCAGCAGCATTATGTACATCCAGTGCTGTGCTACCACCACCACCCTCCATCCCCAGAACTCTTCGTCTTGCCAATTGAAGCTCTGTACCCATTAAACAGGAGCTCCCCTTTTCCTCTTCCCCCAGCCGCTGGCAACCACCATTCTATTTTCTTTCTCTAGGAATTTGAAGACTCTTGGCACCTTATGTAAGTGGAATTATCCAGTATTTGTGCTTTTGTGACTGGCTCATTTCACTCAGCATGTCTTTAAGGTTCATTCATGCTGTGCCGCATTCCGATTTCCTCCATTTTAAGGCTGAATAATATTCCATTGTATCCATACGCCACATTTTGCTTACCCATTCATCTGTTGATGGATATTTGAGTTGTTACTACCTTTTGGCTGCTAAGAACAACGCTACTATAAATGTGGGAGTGCAGATATCTCTTCACGACCCTGATTTCAATTCTTTTGGGTATCTACCTAGAAGTGGAATTGCTGAGTCATATAATAATTCTATCGTTGGTTTTATGAGCAAATTCTACATTGTCTTCCACTGTGGCTGCACCATTTTACATTCCCACCAGCAGTGCACACAAGGGTTTCTACTTTCTTCACATCTTTACCAATATTTGTTATTTTTGGGGATAGTAGCCATCCAAATAAGTGTAAATAATGTATATTTTTAAGCCCTTAGATTTTTTGTTTTGTTTTGGTTTTTTGCTACAGAGTCTCCCTCTGTCGCCCAGGCTGTAGTGCAGTGGCGTGATCTCGGCTCACTGCAACCTCTGCCTCCGAGGTTCAAGCGATTATCCTGCCTCAGCCTCCTGAGTAGCTGGGATTACAGGCACCCGCAGCCACGCCTAGCTAATTTTTTTATTTTTAGTAGAGACAGAGTTTCACTATGTTGGCCGGGCTGGTCTCGAACTCCTGACCTCAAGTGATCCACCCGCCTTGGCCTCCCAAAGTGCTGGGATTACAGGCGTGAGCCACCTTGCCCTGCCTAAACCTTTAGATTAAGGAAAGTAGGGAAGTGCTTCTGCTTAGGGCCAAAGACTCAGACAATCAGAGCTTGGGGTGAACACAGCAGTCTTTTTCCAGGAGCGGCAGGCACAGCTACTTGTGCTCTTCGACATCTGCTTACCCATTGGTATCTGCATGTTTGACTCTGTCCCAGGCCAGGAGTCTAACCCCTATGGGGTTAGAGCACCTGTCATCTTTGTGTTCCTAGAGCCTAGCCAAGAGCCTGGCGTGCAGCAGCATTCTTGGAAAGGGTGTGTTTCATGGAGTTCTTCATCCCAGACATGCGTTCCTAGACATAGGCACCTATCACCCTGAATCAGCGACTTCTGCAAATGCTTTCCCATTCGTACGCTGGCTTTCCAGCCAGTGCCGGAAAACGTTTTATCTTCTCTTGGTATATTGCTTTATGAAACTGGCTGTGGATGCCTAAATGAGCCATTTTTCACTCCTGGTGACCAGCTTCATTGGTGTACTAATTCCCACAAGGACGTGTAAATCCCCTTTTAAGCTGGAATATCTCCAAGGCCCCATATGCAGGTAGTGAAGGTGGAAATATGTGCTAAGAAAATAAAACCTACATGGAATGAGCCCTGGAGATCGCAGAGAGCATGGCTTAACAGCAAGTGGGGGAAGATGCCTCTCATCAACCCCCATGGCCCGTGGCCGGTGGATGTAAGTCTGGGCTTTCAGGGACAATTTTTCAAATTAAGGCTAAAGAGGCTCAGAGAAATGCCTGGAAGTGTCAGCTCAAATCGTGTCTCATTTCCGCTTGCTATGGTCCTTATGGCCGTGATATCTAAATCCTTTCATTTCTTTCAGTAAGGAGCTGGTGCTGCTGCCAGCAGGATCCTGGTCACAAAGCTGGAGTGGAGAGAAGCAGGAGAGACGGGCTGGCGCTGGATTGGGGAATCTTCTTCTGATATGAAAGGAAACAACAAGCTTGAAGCAGGGGACCTGTGAAAACCATGCAGGAAGATTCGGTTCTGAAATCCGAGAGGAGTGCAGGATGATGGGCACACGTAAAACCAGAAGGGGGGCATCTAGAGCAGGTGGGAAGCCAAGAGCCTGGAGCATGGAATGAGCCAACTCAGCAAACTGCAGCTGTGGGAGGCTGTGGGGTGCATAGGGAAAGGGGCAGGGGCCGCTGAGCAGTGTGGACAGCGTCAGCCAAGGGTCTCAGTACAGTGCATGGACAGTGTATGTGAGCGAGCGTCAGTGTGCATGCATATATGTGTGAGTGTGTGAGAGAGAGCATGTGTGTGTTTGTGAGTAGTGTGTCTATGTGTGAATGCGTGTTTGAGTGTGTATACATCAGTGCATGAATGTGGGTGAGT
This sequence comes from Homo sapiens, assembly GCF_000001405.40. Taxonomy (NCBI): domain Eukaryota; kingdom Metazoa; phylum Chordata; class Mammalia; order Primates; family Hominidae; genus Homo; species Homo sapiens. Next base: position 25,618,805 of record NC_000015.10, on the reverse strand, counting down.
GTGGGTGAGTGTGTACATATGTGCACATGTGAGTGTGAATGTATATATGTGTACATGTGTATGTGAGAGTGTCTATATGTGTGAGTGTGCATGTGGGCTTTTGTGAGTGTGTATATAGGTGTGTGAATAAGTGTGAGTGCATAAATGTGTCTGTGAGAGTGTGTGTGTGTGAGTGTGCATATATGTGTGTGAGGATAGCAGGTCCTCAAATAACGTCATTTTTAAGATTGTTTTGTTACGATGTTGATGATTTAAAAATCTATTCCTGGCCAGGCCACTGTGTGGAGTTTGCACGTTCTCCCCCTGTCTGTATGGGTTTCCCCAGGTACTTCGTTCTCTCCCACATCCCAAAGCCGTGCAGGTAAAGCAGATCCCCATGTCTCCATGGTCCCCGTGTGAATGAGTGTGGCTGTGTGAGTGCTCCCCATGAGGGCATGGCATCCTAGCCAGGGCGGGTTCCCAGTTTGCACCCTGAGCTGCCGGGACAGACTCCTGTCACGTGAGACCCTGAAGTGGAATAAGTGGGTAAATAATTCATACTAGTTTTTACTAATCTTTCTTAAGTGTTTGTATAGCTCACATGTACTTCAATGTTTAATATTAGAAGTGTTTTGGTCTTTATTAAGAAGTTTGGTGATTTTTTGTGAACAGAAATATGTCATAGAAACTTAAGTCTTGTTTATCTCAATTAGCCTATGGTAAAACAGTTTTATTATACATCATTTCACTGTGAACCTATCGAGGATATTTAGGGAGGACTTACTGTATGTTTGTGTAAGTGCGAGTGTCTGTTAATAAGTGTGTATGAGTGTGTCTTTAGTGTGAGTGTATTTGTGTGTGTGCGTGCACACAGATGTGTACAGGACACCAGGAGAGTGGTTGAGGCTGGCCTGACTCAAACATCTGGGGCTTGAGGGTTGGTGTCACTTTAGGACAATGTAAGATGCTTCATCTTAGGACAGTTCACACATTTTCATATGCCTCCTCATTGTTAGAAAACTGTGTACACACATGAAAAAATGCTCATCATCACTGGCCATCAGAGAAATGCAAATCAAAACCACAACGAGATACCATCTCACACCAGTTAGAATGGCAATCATTAAAAAGTCAGGAAACAACAGGTGCTGGAGAGGATGTGGAGAAATAGCAACACTTTTACACTGTTGGTGGGACTGTAAACTAGTTCAACCATTGTGGAAGTCAGTGTGGCGATTCCTCAGGGATTTAGAACTAGAAATACCATTTGACCCAGCCATCCCATTACTGGGTATATACCCAAAGGACTATAAATCATGCTGCTATAAAGACACATGCACATGTATGTTTATTGCAGCACTATTCACAAGAGCAAAGACTTGGAACCAACCCAAATGTCCAACAACGATAGACTGGATTAAGAAAATGTGGCACATATACACCATGGAATACTATGCAGCCATAAAAAATGAAGAGTTCATGTCCTTTGTAGGGACATGGATGAAACTGGAAACCATCATTCTCAGCAAACTATTGCAAGGACAAAAAACCAAACACCGCATGTTCTCACTCATAGGTGGGAATTGAACAATGAGAACACATGGACACAGGAAGGGGAACATCACATTCCGGGGACTGTTGTGGGGTGGGGGGAGAGGGGAGGGATAGCATTAGGAGATATACCTAATGCTAAATGACGAGTTAATGGGTGCAGCACACCAACATGGCACATGTATACATATGTAACAAACCTGCACATTGTGCACATGTACCCTAAAACTTAAAGTATTATAATAATAATAATAAAGAAAACTGTGTACTCAAATATGACATTTAAATTGTTGGAGCTGGCTGGGCACAGTAGCTCATACCTGTAATCCCAGTGCTTTGGGAGGCAGAGGCAGGAGGATTGCTTGAGCTCAGGAGTTTGAGGCTGCAGTGAGCTATGATCTCACCACTGCACTCTAGCCTGAGAGACAGAGCAAGCCTCCGTTTCTAAATAAATAAATAACTGTGGTAGCTACCTTCAAAGATTCCAAGGACTTCAAAAGGATCCTTGCCTCCCAGTATTCATGCCCTTAGGTAGTCACTTCTTGTACAGAATCAGGGCTGGTGTGGGTGACCCACACAATATGACGGAAGTGATGGTGTGTAATGCCCAAGGCTGTTTCATAAAAGGCTCTGTGGCTTCCACCCCTGTTTCTTGAGTCACTGGCTCCAGGGAAGCCTGCTGTCATGCTGGAAGCACACTGGCGAGGCCTGTGGAGGGGCCCACGAGGAGAGACAGTGACTTCTGGCCAACACTCAGCAACCCCTGCCAGCACTCTCTGCCCAACATGTGAATAGCACCTTGGAACTGAATCCTCCGGCCCCATTCAAGCCTCTGGATGACTGCAGCCCTGGCTGACACCTGACTGCAACCTCAAGAGAGACCCCAAGTCATAACCACAGACATTGTGAGACAGCAAATATTTATCACTATTTGAAGCCATTGAGTTCGGGGCAATTTATTATAAAGCAATAGATAACATATAATATGGAAAATGGGTAAAAGAATGATCTTTGAAAAAATCCTTCTTGTTTAAAAATCCTACTTGTTTTCTCAAGTAGGTTATTAAAAATTATACATACATATAAAAAGAATAGTTTCAGATACATAACTTTAAAAATGCAATTGTATCCATGTTAATGTTTTCAGGTGATTTATAAAAATGTGCTGACCGAAAAGAAAAATATGAACCATACGAACCATGAAAGGTGACCCTTAGACTATGGAGCTCACATTCATATTCCCCTTCTAGCTCTTATCCCTTGACAATTCCCAGTGAGGCTCCATCAAAAGGTAGCCATCCACGTGGAAGATTAATGGAGCCACTACACAAGGGCAAGCAAGCAAGACACCATGCGACACTTCCAGACAAGAGATTGCCTGGAGATTTCGCAAACACACATTTTACTTCAGAGCTGAGCTCTTATTCTAACTCTTGGTTGCTTTCTCCTGCCTTTGGCATTGGAGTGTAGGCTGGAGTCCTCTTAAGGCAGCGTCTTCCAAAAAATATCCTCATTTGAAACAAAGACCGGGTTGTGACAGACAGATCATTTGTGATGGTAAGTTCTTTCCCCACTTTTCTCCCTTTCTGGAAATAATTTTAAAAACAATCCTGGTGATTCTCGGAGGCCATTAGACTATCTCAGAGAAAGCATGGGCATTTGACTGAGTAGGGTTGACCCTGCACTGTCCTGCACCCCAAGGGCACTTGTGTGGCTGCTATGACAAGGGAGTGACATGTGGGCCCCATTCTAAGCCTGTCAATCATCCTGGGAGGCTATTTCCAGGTAGGGGCCTGGGACTCCCCTTGTTACAGAGAGACCCAAGAATCTCTTCCAAAAAGGAGGTAAGCAAAGAACTTATCTGAAGGAAGGCTGCATTGAGTCTTTTTCTGGAAAGGTGATCTGCCCTCTATGGTTGGAAGCACCTGAGGGTCAGTGTGACAGTGATGACAAGTTGGACCCAACTTTGAACCAGATCAGGAGAGAGGGCAAAGCTGGCACCTCACAAATCCAGAGGAGGGGTCTTGTGTCATGGGAATGCCTCCTGGGGACTTGCAGGAAGTCTTTGAGAGAGGTCAGGTGAGGATAGAGCCAGAAAATTGCGCCTTCACCTTGTGAGTGCTCTGGAACAGCCCGTTGTGGTGTTTGCAGTGCTTGCTCAAAAGAGGGAGCACAGAGTCAACACTGTTAGGACCAGATGGGGCTCTGGTGTCAGCAGTGACAGCAAAACCTTGTCTGATTACAATGTGTTCCCCTTGCTCCTCAGGGACACAGGAAGGGCAGCATCTCTGTCATTTCGTATTTGTTAAGTGGGGCCACCCAGGGATACCTGGCCCTCCCTTCAACCAGGATTTGACTGTGAGGGTTCAGTATGGCCTTGGCGCTCACTGCGTCTTCTGATTCCAGACATGAGAGAAGGGTCTCTGTACCTTTGTCCCGACAGTGACCTTTGTCCGAGAATGACTGTACCTTGGTCACTCAATAATTCAGTGCTGATGTGAGGGCTAAGACTGCAACAGAGGAGCTTCCCTGGACAAACGCCCCTGACCTAAGGACAGCAGTCTCCCGTCTCCCTTGATAACGCCACCTCGTCATTGCCATTTGACTGTAGGGAAGGCCTTGCAATTCAGAAAAGAATTATGACAAGGAACAGAGAGAGGGCTCGGTGTGGCTGTCTACACCCTGGCACTACAGGTCCACACTTTCAACACGGGCTCCAGGCTTCATGTTGTCTTTGCCCATGAAGTTCACGGGCCACATGAAAATAATAAAATGCCCCAGGTGTCTACAAAACAAATTCCACAGGTTGGTGAAATGATGAAAAGGTATTTATCTGGGGATGGTCTGACATTAAGAAAAAATATTTTGATCATTGGTTTCAACATTTCTAAAACTAACAATATTTTCCTTCAAAATATCAATACAACTTCAAAAAGCACTGCAGTTTCCTGCCTGCCTGAGAAAGAGTGAGCTCCAGGGATAGCTGGTCATAGGCACTTGTGAGCTCTCCATTGCCTTGCGGGTGACGAGCCCCTCACGGCTAAGCCACAAAAGAAATGGCCCCGTCAGCAGCCCCTGAACCGCAGTGGCCAATGCAGACAGGTGTTTTCAATGGATTCCGTGGAAGAGGAGCTGATTCGAGGATTTGGGGCAAGTCTTGTTTTGGGGAGGTGATCCCAAGGAAGACTGCAAGTGAGGGAGGGAAGACAGCCAGTAGGAGGTGTCATCCAGCAAGTAACTGCAGGGACAGCTGGAGACCAGTTTTCCTGGGGACCTCTATCCACAGTGGAGAACACACCCAAAGGTACTCCAGCCAAGCAGTGAGAAGTAATTTTAAATTATACACATACATTCACCATTTATCTTTATATTGTGCAATGACAGCAAATATCAACATTTAACTCCTAGGCAGAGTCAAGGAAATTATACCATTTGTATTTTGCACATCAGAATGTCTGTATGTTTCTTACCAGAACAATGACTGTGGGAAACTCACTCATCTGATTTTATTTCACTTCTCCATGGGCACCCATCTCATCCTCCCAGTCTCCTGGCGACAACACCCGGATCTTTGTCTCTGAAAGGAAGGAAGGATCCTTCTCCCTGAAAGGAAGAAAGGAAGGAAGGAGAGGGAAAGGCACAGTGGCTGTCCCACTTTCCCTTTCCTGTCTTGGTGTAGTCAGCTGGAGTGGTTGGCTAATTCAGGGTAGTGATATGGAGGGGCAGGGATGTGACAGGGTTACTTGGCTGCTCCCGTATCTTCTTTTTGCGTTGGAAGTGAGTTCGGGTGTGATGGGAAAGTGTGGGGGCATCCATATCCCCTTTGCTCCGTCACAACCATGGCACACTGACCTTGGGCTTGCCCTGGCTCTCTGAACTCTCACGCATTACAGGTCCTGGAAACTCTGTGCTCCTGGGGCACTCGGAAAGCTCTATAGCAATTAGAGGGCAAGGAAGGGCAGCAGGGACACACACTGCACCAATCTCCTCTGCGGACATGCATGCTCCAGTGCCCCGTCAGGCTTCAGTTACAAAGCACTAGTCAGAGATAAAACAACAAAGAATTTCAAGACGGTCAATGACAGCAGAGAACACTGAACCAGGAGCAGGGCCCTTCTCAATGCTGGGCCCATATACCTGCACAGGCCTCGTACTCCTGCGGCTGGCCCTGGCTGGGGCATTTCTCCGCCAAAGCCCCCTTCTCGGTGGGTGGAGAACTGCTTCCAGCCTGATGTGCCTCTGATTTTCCCCTCGGGGAAACTGAGGGAAAGCCTCAGGCAGAGAGATGCAGGTGTGCCCGGGGAGTGGCCTTCACCCACGTGGAGAGGAGGATCCACAAATATTTCTGCTACAAGGCAGGTTTCAACAGAAGAGGGCTGTACTTCAGGGTTTGCTGCATGCTAGGAGCTGCCATTCCCTGCAAAGCAGATCTAAGACAGGAGCAATGGTCACCGGGCATTTTTTCCTGTGTGAGTCCCACCAAAGTGAGGAGCCCATACATTTCCTTAGGACATCCGCCTCTTGCTGCAGAGCCTTTGTTTTGCCACCCTTTGTTTACATTCACAATTGCCGCTGGTTGATGGGTGCACGTGCGGAGCCTGCGGCACAAAGCAGAGAGTTCTGTATTTGGACCAGGCAGGCTTTCGGGGAGCTCCAGGCTCTGGTAGATGTCAGGAAAAACACTGGCTACCACTAGAAAAGTATGAATTCCCTGTCATCCTCACAACTGCCCTGGGCCCCCACACTGCCGCTCACATATCCTCAGGAAGGAGGAGAAGCCTCAGGTTCTTATGGCTGGGAGGCAGCTGGACCCAGCCTATCAGGGCCACAGCCCCATTTCTCCAGGATCACACTTCTTCAGGGGCTGTGGGTGGTGTTTCTGGGGAGGGATAGCCAAACCCACCCGCCGGGAGGAGGAGCTTGAAAATTACCCAATAATAAGAAAGGATACAATAGTCCAGATTTACCCAAATCCCTGGGGCTGGTGCATTGATATTTTAGAAGTCAAATTATGAAATCATGCTTCAATTTTCAGTGGGCTTTCTTATTTGATACACTCCTTTTATTAAAACTCTATTAAATGCCTATTATATGCAAAGAGTTGTCAAACAGCTTTCAATTATTTTTTCAATCCTAAAGATAAGACCAAAGAGATTTTTGCCCTCATCCTGTTTCTAGCCCTGGCTGGCTTAGTTTCCACTGGAGCAGAGGGTGGGAGGCACAAGAGACTGGTCAATTCTGGGATTTCAGTACAACTAAGAAAATGCCCAGTGCAGTGGTATCCTGTGTGATCAGATCATGCTTCCTCGGGCTGGGGCTTCAGCACTGGCTTTCTTGGATGAGTTCATCTGATCCTTGCCTAGAAGCTATGGGACCAAGTGTGCTCTGTGCTGGACAAGACCAACAATCCTGCCTATTGTGCTGGCTGCACTGAGACCTCCCACATGCCAGAGCAGGCCACGGCTGCTCATGGAAAATGCAACACAAACCCCAGAAGCAGCCAGCAATGAGTTTTCCACCCAACACGGCCAACCAGGACTCATAGATGTCATCATTCTGTGTGTGTCATGCATTACTAAGACTGCCTCACACACGTGTTCCAAGACTTTCAGCAAACATGGTTTTTACTAGGGTGTGGATCACCTAGGAAAATTAAATTGTATCATTTTATCAAACATTTATTGAAACTCTGCAACAAACTGGAAGCACCAGCATATTCTTGAGCACAAATGTGATGGAGCATTTTCTTTCTTTTAAAATATACAGAATCAAGGCTGGTCCTGGTGGCTCATGTCTGTAATTCCAGCATTTTGGGAGGCCAAAATGGGTGGGTCACCTGAGGTCAGGAGTTCCAGACCAGCCTGGCAAACATGGTGAAATCCCATCTCTACTAAAAATACAAAAATTAGCTGGGTGTGGTGGCCACGTGCCTGTAATCCCAGCTACCCAGGAGGCTGAGGCAGGAGAATCACTGGAACCTGGGAGACAGAGGCTGCAGTGAGCTGAGATCACACCACTGTACTCCAGCCTGAATGACAGAGTGAGACTCTATCTCAAAAAGTAAAAACAAAAACATACAGAATCAGTAAAAGACAAGACAAGCAAGCCAACACCTTTTGATTTGATAGCATATGAGGATCCAGAAAGAGCCACAAAGACTGACCAAGATACAAAGAATGGAGCTGTCATAGCTGCTTTCTCAAATTCCTCCAATGGAGGGAGTATTTGAATGGATCCTGACGTATGGGTAGGAGTTACTGTTTTTTCATGTGTGAAAATCTCCCCCAAAGCCTTTTCACTATCTAAATAATTCATTTTCAATAATTCACTGTCTAGAAGTCATAAATATAGATTAAAAACTTTTAAATTATTTTTAGGTCCAGCTTCTTTTAAATTAAATACACAGAAATGAGATTACACCCTAATATTCTATTTGATGACATATTCTTTTCTAGTGACCATTTCGTGAGGATCATTTCATGTGCACAATTATGTCTACACAATCTTTATTCATAACTGCATATTATTCTGTCATAAGATACCATTAATTTATTTGATGAATCCCCATATTTGAACATTTCGAACATTTCCAGTTGTTTCTAATTTGTCATTATTATAAATAAACACACTTGAGTATATGTCTTTGTGCACTATTTATTTATTTATTTTGAGACAGAGTCTCACTCTGTCACCCAGGCTGAAGTGCAGAAGCACGATCTCGACTCACTGCAACCTCTGCCTTCCAGGTCCAAACAATTCTCCTGCCTCAGCCTCCTGAGTAGCTGGAATTGCAGGTTCCCACCATCACGTCTGGCTAATTTTTTGTATTTTTAGTAGAGACAGAGTTTCACCATGTTGGCCAGGCTGGTCTCAAACTCAGGTAATCCACCTGCCTCAGGCTCCCAAAGTGCTGGGATTACAGGCATGAGCCACCGCGCCTGGCCAGTGCACCGTTTTAATCATGACTTTGGGATTCATGCCTAAAACTAGAATGGACAGGATTTACAGGGAGGAATGAGAGCCACAGCCTCTGTGTGGAGGGAACAGTGGGTGCAAAGGAGCAGATGAGGGCCAGAGAGAACAGAATTGGTTGGGTTCCTAGAATATACTCAGCTTAATTGGAAAGCAGACTCAGCACAGAGAGGAGCTAGAGGTGGTTAGAAAATGTTCTCTGTCCTTATTTCAAGTATTGGAAATACGAACTTGGTGAACTGGGCCGACTACAGAGAGAGCGTAAATGCCTCTAACCTTCTGGGTAAGCAACTTGGCAAAATGTATTTAGAGTTTTAATAATGTTTATACCCTCTACCCTAGAAATACACCCTCAGAAATTTATTCTACTACATATTTATTGAAATATCATTTACATTAGGAAAATCTGTGAACAGTTGAAGAATAAAAAACTCCTCTAAATTTCCAAATGAAGGAATGTTATACAGCCAACAGATAACTATGTTTTGGAATAATAGTTTCAAATCTGGCAAAGAGTTCATGATTAGAGTGACCATGCATCCGCATTTTCCCATTACAGTCCTAGGTATAATCATGGATGGTATACTCTTCCAGTTCCTGGTCACTCTGTCCATAATGTGACACTGAACAGGGCAGGCCATGAGACCAAATACACTCCTTGTGCTGTATAAACAGGCCATGGGCCAATACGTCTTTAGCAAGTGGTTTTCTGGGAAACCAGCTCTGCTTTGCAGAATTTGCCAATATCCACGATGTAAATACACCAGCTATGGCCAATTTCAAGCCACAGTGTGAGGTTACTGCAGGCATATTTGAGATGAGCTTAGCACAGTCGGCCTTCCCAAGCCAGGCTAAGCTGACTCAGCCTACCTCTGAGTAAACTCAACACTGCGTGGGTAAGTAATCCACAAGGACAAGGGTGGTTATCCTGGTTCACACGGAGGTATTTTTATTTTATTCTCTGTTTGGGGAGAGGAAAAGGGAACGCTCCCTTGGAGAGGGAGTCCAACTCCCATTGGGCCGCCATCTCTGAAGAGGGTGATCCCTGTGCACCAAGGCAGGGCAGATGACCCTGCTGATACCAATGGAGGAACGGGCCTCTGTGCTCCGCCACTCCAATTGCCAGGCAGGTGCTCCCTAATCCACATGCCATTACCCTCAGGGCAAAAGGATGGCCTTTGATCTCTCTTTGTGCTCCTGTCCCACCAGCCTTTCAAGCTGGACAGGGTAAGAATGTGAAGTGGTGGGACAGGTAAGCTCATTGAAAAACTGCCTAACAGTATCCATAAGAGGAAATGAGGGAAGTTCTGAAAGAAAACAACAGCACAAACATTTAGAGGAGAGGAAGGCTGCAAGAAGCGCTGGGCATTCTTGTTCCTGTGCTTGATAGATAAAAATCTTTTTTTTTGTTTTCCAAAGTTTTCAAGTAATGCAGATTGTCATTAATGTGTCATCCTTGTCAAGACCATGCTAGCTAGTCTTCTCTGCATCACTGTAATTTTAGTATACATGTTGCTAAAATCATTAATCTGCATCATTAATGCAGATTAAGAGGAACCCCGTGCCAGTTAGCTGCACCCTGGGGAAGGGACTGATCGTGTGTCTGCCTTTGTTGGAAGTCTTCACCGTCCACAATGCCAGGCTCTATTGGCTTTTGCCTCTGAGCCATACTCACAAACTGCATCACCAGCTGGACCCCCTCCCTAGGCCCAGCTATGAGTGCAAAGATGCCTGGATGGCCACTGTGTATTTATGGGGTATCCTTCTGAGTGTGGCCGAAGTCTGGTAGCTCTTGTATCTGAAGGTATTTAAACACTTAGTTTATACTTTTATACATTCTTTTTCTCGAGAAATATAATTGTCCTTCAGTATCACAGAAGATTATTTCCAGAACCCCCCATAGATACAAGAATCTGTGGATGCTCAAGTCCCTAAGGTAAAATGGCACTGTTTTTGCATATAATATATGCACATCCTCTCATTTACTTTAAATCATCTCTAGATTACTTACAATACCTAACATAATGTAAATGCTATGCAAATAGTTGTTATACTGTATATCTGAATTTATATTATTTTATGGTTGTATTGTTATTTTTTCAAATATTTTCAAGTTGTGGTTGGTTGAATTCAATGCTGGTTGAGTTTGTAGATGCAGAACCCGTGGATATGAACAGCCAGCTACATTTAAGTAGCTACCATGCACCAGGCGCTGCTCTAGGCATTTGAGTTACGCTAGTGAACCACGACAAAAATAGAGAAAAACCCCTTTCCTCATGAATCTATTTCTTGTGGGGAGAAGACAGATGGTAAATTATACAGTGTGTTGGAGGTGGTCAGTGCCTTGAAAAATGATAGAGCAGAACAAGGGATATGAGAAGTGTTTTATGGGAAGGAGGAAATTTGTCTTGGTTTTTAAATCCTTTATCCCTTCATGATTAAAATATCAGCCATGGCTGTAATCACTGATAGGGACACCAGGAGCATAAACTAAACTTCCTTTTCATAAATTTTTCATCGGTCAATCACATAATTGAGGGAAGTCATGTGTTGGTCTAATGAATCTCCAGCACAGAACTTTCCAGGTCCTAAGTCTGTATTCACACTCCTGTGTGTGCAGCAGCGTCTCACTGCTTTGAAAAGCAAGTACTCTCTAATGAAATTAGTGGAAGGTCCCAATGACACAGGTCAAAATGTACTATCATAAATAGTCACACAAAGGGAGGAGATGCTATGAATCTAGTTTCTACAGCTGCCACTAAGTCACTATGGGGCACACTCCTTTCCTTTGTGAAACAGATCAAAATTCTGATGCCCATAGTAAGCTATGCCTACTGAAAGATGCAAAGGCCCATAAACAAAGCGGGAAGGGGCAAACAGCGGAGGTCCTGGAGTGGGCAGCATGGGGTGGGCAGAGGAGTGTCAAGGAATACATTACTGGGAGGTATGTCTGGAAACACCTTGGAAAGATGAACGGCCATCAGGTGGACAAAGGAGAGAAGGATGTTATGGGAGACGAAACACTTGAAACTTTCCTTTGTTCTTGTCTGACCACTTCCAGATAGCAAGCTCCTTGAAAGCAAGATTTCATTAGTTTACTTGCCCCTTCCTTGGTCCCTAAAGTATGAAGACACAGTTCATATGAAGACACAGTCCCTACTAAATAAAGACTTATTATGAGGAAGAAAAGAAGGACAAAACATAAGGAAAGACCATTCAGTTTGGGGACATGGAAAATCTGGTAAAGCTGAGCCATAGAAGCCAGCAGGAGATGAAATTAGAATTTCAGTGGGGGCCAAATCATGAAGAGACTCATCTGACAAAATACGGAGTTTAGGCTTTATCCTGAAGGAGTGATGGGGAAAATTATAGTATTTTAAGAAATAGAGGAAAGGGGTGACATCAACAACATGGCAGAAAAGGAGTCTCCAGCCCTAGTCTCTCTAAAGAAACACTGATGTAGCTTCTATCCACAGATGAGAAGGCCTTTGTGAACCTTCCAGAACCCAGGAGTGAGGCTATAACACCCTGGTAGAGCACAGAAACTGAGAAAAACTTCACTAAAAATAATCTAAAACTTCATTAAGAGGAACACAATTTGCCCAGTCAGAGAAGCATTAAAAAAACTAAAATGAGTGGGCTGAGTATGGTGGCTCACGCCTATAATCCCAGCACTTTGGGAGGCTGAGGCAGGCAGATCACCTGAAGTCAGGAGTTCGATACTAGCCTGGCCAACATGGTGAAATCTCATCTCTTCTAAAAATACAAAAATTAGCTGGGCGTGGTGGCACACGCCTATGAACCCATTTACTCAGGAGGTGGAGGCAGGAGAATTGCTTGAACCTGAGAGGTGGAGGTTGCAGTGAGCCGAGATCATGCCATTGCACTCTAGCCTGGGTGACAGAGCGAGATTCGCTCTCAAAAAAAAAAAAAATTAAAAAGAGTGAAGAAAGCCTATAGGACTTAAGAGACACAACTGAGTGAAACAACATGTGCATCATGGGAATCTCCAAAAGAAAAGAGAAAGGGGCAGAAGGCCTATTTAAATAAATAATGACTGAATACTTCCCAAATCTGGGGAGGAAAATGGACATCCAGATTCATGAAGACCAAAGATTTCCAAAAAGGTTGAATCCATAGAGATCTACACATAGATATATTATAATTAAATTGTCAAAAGTCAAAGAAAAAATAATTTTGAAAGCAGCAAGAGAAAAGCAACCATGACATATGAAGCAATTCCCATAAGGCTAACAATAGATTTCTCAGCAGGAACTTTGCAGGCCAGAATAAAATGAGATGACATGTTCAAATTACTGAAAGAAAAAAGAGCTAAGCACAACTACCATACCCAGAAAAACTGTGCTTCAAAATGAAGGACAGATAAAGACTTTCCCTGATAAACAAAAACTAAGGGAATTTGTTACCCCAGAACTACCTTGCAAGAAGTGTTAATGGGAACTCTTCAAGTTGAAGAAATACAGGCTAAACAATAACATGAAACCATATTAAACAACAAATTTCACTGGTAAAAGGCAAATAGACAAGCACAGAATATCATGATACAATAATGGTGGCATGTAAATCATCCTAAACCCTAGTATAACAGTCAAAAGAAAAAAGTGTTAAGAATAACTAAAACCACAAAAAAGCATTAATGGATACACAATATAAAAAGTAACTCAGAAAAAAACAATATGAAGTTGGGGAGGAGTAAAAGGGTAGAACTTTCATATGTAATTGAATTTAAGTCTTTATCAGCATAAAATAGACTTTTATAGCTATAAGAAGTTCAACAGAAGCCCCATGGGGTAACCACAAAGAAAAAAATTCTATAGAAGATACACAAAAGATAAAGACAAAAGAGTCAAAGCATATCACTGCAAAAGATTTAAACCACAAAGAAGTAAGGCAAGAGAAGAAGAGAGGCACAAGTGAACTACGAAACAGAAGACAGAACACAATGAACAAAATGACAATAGTAAATTCTTACCTTTCAATAATCACTTTAAATGTAAGCAGATTAAACTCACCAGTCAAAAGATGCAGAGTGACTGAATGGGACACACACACACACAAAAATCCAACCATAGATTTAAGGACACATAAACAGAAGTGATGAATGGAAAAATATATTCTATGTGCAAATGGTTACCCTAAGAGAGCAGAGGTAGCCATACTTAAACAAAATAGTCTTTCAGTCAAATACGGTGATTAGAACCAAAGAAGAACATCACATATTGATAAAAGGATTGATTCAACAGGAATATATAACAATTGCAAATATATATGCACCCAGAATTAAAGCACTTAATATATAAAGCAAATATTGACAGACCTAAAGGGAGAAATAGGCAGTAATATAATCATAGTAGGAGACATTTTTTATTTTTTAAGGTCATATTTATTTCTTTAAAATTTTTCTTTATTTTTATTTTTTTAAATTTTTGTGGGTACACAGTTGTTGCATGTATTTATGGAATATATGAGATGTTTTGGTGAGGGCATGCAATGTAAAATGAGCACATCATAGAGTATGGGGTATCCATCCCCTCAAGCATTTATTCTTTGAGTTACAAACAATCCAGTTACACTCTTTAAGTTATTTTAACATATACAATTAAGTTATTGTTGACTATAGTCACCCTATTGTGCTATCAAATAGAAAGTCTTATTCATTTTTTTCATTTTTAGTACCCATTGACCATCCACACCTCCCCACACAAACTCCTACTACCTACCCTTTTAAGTCTCTGCTAACCATCCTTCATAGTAGGAGACTTTAATACCCACTTTCAATAATACATAGATCATCCAGACAGAAAATCAAGAAGGAAACAGCAGACTTGAACAACACTGTAGACCAAATGGACGTAACAGACTTATGCAGAACGTTTCACCTGATGGTAAGAGAATACACATTCTTTTTAAGTGCACACAGAACATTCTCCAGGATGGAATACATACTAAGTCACTAAGCAAATGTTAACAAATTTGAGAAGATTAAAGTAATTCCAAGTACCTTTTCTGACCACAATGGAATAAAACTAGAAATTAGTAACAAAAGGACATCAGAAAAACTCACAAAAACATAGAAATTCAACAACACACTCTTGAACAACCATGGGTTCAGAGAAAACATGAAAAGGGAAATTAAAATGTAAACACACAAGTTAGAACAAAAACACAACGTACCAAAACTTACAGGATACAGCAAAAGCAATACTAAGAGGGAAGTTTAGAGCAATAAATCCCTACATTAAAAAAGAAAAAAGTTCCCAAGTAAACAACCTCAAGGAGCTAGAAAAAGGAAAACAAACTAAATGTAAGATTAGAAAATGAAAAGAAATAATACAGATTAGAGGAGAAATAAGTGATATAGACCAAAAAAGCAATAGAAAAAAATTTGACAAAACTAAAGTTTGTTCTTTGAAAAGAAAATTAACAAACTATTAGAATAAGAAGAAAGAGATGAAACTAAATAAAATTAGAAATAAAAGAGGAGACATCACAACCAATGCTACAGAAATGTTAAGTTTATAATGGACTATTGTGAATAATAATAAACCAACAAATGGGATAACTTAGAAGAAATGAATAAATTCCTAGAGACATACAACTACTATGATTGAATCAAGAAGAAATAGAAAACCTCAACAGATCAATAACAAATAAGGAGAATGAGCCAGTAATCAAACACCTCCTAAAGAAAGGCCCAGAACCAGATGGCTTCACTGGTAAATTCTACCAAACATTTAAAGAAGAATTAATACCAATCCTTCTCAAACTCTCCCAAGAAATAATAGGGAACACTTCCAAAGTTATTTTATGAGTCTAGCATTTACCCTCATACCAAAGCTAGGCAATACATAGCAAGGAAAAAAATTCCATATACTAAGAACAAAATTCCATATACTAAGAACAGATGATCCAAAAAGAAAATTAAGAAAACAACTTTATAACAGAACATATATATGTTATAAATAATATATGTTTAACATATATATAATACTTAGGAGTAAACCTAGCCAAGAAAATGAAAGAATTTACTGAAAATTGTCAACATTGATGAAAGAAATTCATCAGAAGATTGAAATAAGTGGAAAGACATCTCATTTTCATGGATAGAATAATTAATATTGTTAAAACTTTCATACTGCTGAGGCAATCTACAGATTCAATGTAATCCCTACCAAAAGTCTAAAGGTATTTTTACAGAAATGAAAAAAAAAACCCTAAAATTCATATGGAACTAGAAAAGATCTCAAATAGCCAAAGCAATGTTGAAGAATGAAGTGGGAGAAATCACACTTCCTGATTTCAAATTACGTTACAAACTCCAGTAAACAAAACAGTTTGATACTGGCATAAAAATAGGCATATGGATCAATAGAAAAGAATAAAAAGCCCAGAAATAAACCCAGGTATACATAGCTAATGGATTCTTGATGAGGATGCCAAGAATACACAATGGGGACAGGTCAGTCTCTTAAATAAATGGTGTTGGGAAAACTGAATATCCACGTGCAAAATAATGAAATTGTATGCTTTCTTATATGAAACACAAAAATTAACTCAAAATAGATTAATGATTTGAATGTAATAGCTGAAACCATACAACTTCTAGAAGAAAACATGAGGGAAAAGCTTAAGTGGGACAGCAAAGGAAACTATCAACAGCGTAAAAAGCCAACTTATAGGATGGAAGAAAATATTTGCAAACCATATATCTGATAACGGGTTAATTTCCAAAATACATAAAGAGATTCTAAACTCAATAGCAAAAACAAAAACAAAACAGAAGCAAACAAAAAACCTGGTTAAAAAATGAACAAAGGATTGGAATAGACATCTCTCCAAAGAACACCTACAAATGATGGACAACAGGTATACAAAAAGATACTCAGCTTTACCCATCGGCAGGGAAATGCACATCAAAACCACAATCAGATATTATCTTGCACCTATTAGGATGGCTACTATAAAAATATTTATAAATATTAGTGAGGTTTGTATACTGCTGATAGTAATGTAAAATGGTATAGCCATCATGAAAAACAGTATGAAAATTTTTCAAAAAATTAACAATTAAACTACCATATGATCCAGAAATCTCACCTCTGGGTATACATCCATAACAATTGAAGTCAGGATCTTGAAGGGATAGCTGCACTCCCATGTTCACTGCAGGTTTATTCACAATAGCCAACATATGGAAACAACTCAAATGTCCGTTGAAAAATTAACAGATAAAGAAAAATTGGTATATCCATGTAATAGAATATTATCCAGCCTTAAAAAAAAGAAGGAAAGCCTACAGTCTGTGACAACATGAATAAACCTGGAAGACATTATGCTAAGTGAAAGAAGTCAGTCACCTAATTATGTGCAGTTTCTTTTATGCCAATTATACCTCAATAAAGCTAAAAAAAAATGGGGAGGGGGGAGAGAGGACACATGGTTGGTATTACACATGAGAAAGATTGCTTTGAATGTGGTGGGCTGAATAGATTGGGGAGGAGGGGTGCAGGAGATGAGATTATAGGCCAGGATAGAAAGCTGGAGAGAGCAGAAATAGGGTGGGAACCTTGAAAGGATGGCTAGGTCAGACAAGTAGGAGTAGGAAAGGGAGCAGGGCAGAAAGAATGCACACCAGATTGCTTGAAGGTGCAACAGGTTTCTTAAAGAATCAAGATCACGCTTTAATTTAAAAACTTTTTTTATCCATTCTTATTGACAAGTGGCACTTGCCCAGATATATTTTTTTCAGGGTAGAAGTTTGTGATAAATTGAAGTAAAATTAACACAAAAGCTTAACTTATATAAAAGGACCCCAACAGCAGTCACAAGACTGTGTTACTGTAGGTCCTGTGCAGGATTGCAGAGACGTAGCCTAACCTCTACACTAAGGTCTTGCCATGTAGACCAGTCTGGTCTCGAACTCCAGCATTCCTGCCTTGCTTGGCCTCCCAAAGCACTGGGATTATAGGCAAGGCATGAGCCACTGCAACCAGCCAAAGCTTTTTTTTTTTTTTTTTTTTTTTTTTTCACAGACAGGGTCTCACTCTGTTGCCCAGGCTGGAATGCAGTGGCACAGTCATAGCTCACTGCAGCCTTGATCTCCTGGGCTCAAGCTGTCTTTCCACCTCAGTATCTCAAGTAACTGGGACTACAATTGCATATCACCACACCTGACTATTTTTTTTAAAAAAACAGTATTTGTAGAGATAGGGATCTCACTATGTTGCCCAGGCTGGTCTTGAACTCCTGGCCTCAAGCTGTCCACCTGCTTCTGCCTCCCAAAGTGCTGGGATTACAGGGATTACAGATGTGAGTCACCATGTGGGCCTTCCTCCCTTGTTTCTGGCAATGGTGGGTGCTGAGTCTTCTGTAGATTTTAATGACATGACTCAGAGTCTCCTTCCACCCAGTCTCAAAGGACAAGTTGAGTAAGGTGAGTAGCACCCCACATTTCCACGCTCCAAATTGTCTTTTCCATGCTGAGGTTCAGTTCTAAGTGTTGGAACTCTCTTATGAGCCTCCCTTCTCTTGCTCAAGTTAAATTTCTTTTCCTGGCGTTCCTTTGTATATCAGCAAAAAAATTCTTCAAGAGGCCAGAGAACAAACCTGGACTTGTCTACCTAGCAAGAAGTTTGTAGCTTAGACTGACTACCCAAAAGTAACTTGAATGTTAATTTTCTGCCCAATATTTTAGTATAAAAAATTGAAACATAAAGAAGAGCTGAAAAATTACTGCAGTGAACATTCACATACCCACAGTAGTATTCAATATTCCACATTTTGTCGTATTTACTTCTGTATCTGTCTAATCTATCTGTGTGTTTTTTGTTTTGTTTTGTTTTGAGATGAAGTCTTACTCAGTCACCCAGGCTGGAGTGCAGTGGCACGATCTCAGCTTACTGCAACCTCTACCTCCCAAGTTCAAGTGATTCTCCTGCCTCGGCCTCCTGAGTAGCTGGGATTACAGGTGTGTGCCACCACACCCAGCTAATTTTTGTATTTTTAGTAGAGGTGGGGTTTCACCATGTTGGCCAGGCTGGCCTTGAACTCCTGACCTCAAGAGATCTGCCCACTTTGGCCTCCCAAAGTGCTGGGATTACAGGCATGAGCCACTGCCCCTGGCCAACTATCCATGTGTTTTTTGAATCATTAGAAAGTGAGTTGCAGTTGTTACGACACTTCACTGCTTCAGCATGCGTTTTCTAGGAAAAAGAACAGTCTCCTCTGTGACCACAGTAGCATAATCACAATTTTAAAAATTAACCTCAATTTCCTAATATCATCTCATATCCAGTATATACCAACATTTTCCCAGTTGTCTCAGAAATGATTTTATAGCTCAAATTTTTAAAAACATAGAAAGAACCAAGATTCACAGATTGCATTTGGCTGTTTCATGTTCTTAGCCCCTTTTGATTATGACGTTAGAAGAGGCCAGGACAATGTCTCACGAAATGCCCACATTCTGGATTTGTATGGCAGTGTCATCGGTGGCGTCATTTTATTTGGTGCTCTCTTCCCTGTGTTTTCTATAAACCAGAAGTCAGACAAAAAGATTCAGTTAGGTTTAGTGTAAACATTTTCATCAAGTGTACTTTAACTTGACTATTGAAAATATTTCCCAAGCTTTAAAAGCATACCAAATCGGACTTGATAGTTCTAGAAATACCATGAAGTCATGTTGTAACTGTATTGAAGGGCTTTCCTTCATCTTTGTCTGGGTGCCAATACTGTGAGATTACTTTACTAAGCCATCCATGAATATCAGCAGTTAACAATGTTGCTTATAGGCCCCAAAGATGCTTTGAGTCAGAATAACCCAGGAGCTTCAGTCCAGCACTTTGGTTCGAGTTCCTTTAGCAATAAACCCTAAACTGAAAACTTTTTCAGAAACTTCTCTTTCTTTCTACGTTGATGCCTTCTAAGGTTACTTAAAGAAAGGGAATCAAAGTCCATACACAATGTACCCTTTATTTTGGTGTTGCAATAAGTACTCTAGGCATATAAAAACTAATTTCCTGGTTGGGCTCAATAGCTCACACCTGCAATCCCAGCATTCTGGGAGGCCAAGGCAGGAGGATAATTTGAGCCCAGGAATTCAAAACCAGTCTGGGCAACATAGCAAGACCCCATCTCTACAAAAAAAAAAAAAACCAAAAAAACAAAAATGAAAACAAACAGACAAAACACAACTAATTTTCTGTAAACTATAAAAAACCAATAGGGTCAAGAGAGTTTCAGCAGTGGCCTCTTAGGCTGGTTTATGACAGTGGAAAAAATTCTTCAACAGCTTTTTCAAGGCAATACAGACAAGCTAATGTTTGTATACAAATGTAGACCTACCGACGAAAGGAAGCCAGTGCCTACAGGCAGGCCCCAAACCCTCCCTTTACAGAGGCTCTGTGCCTTTCCCTTCCAGAGCACTCTTGCTCTGTAGGTAGAGCATGGTTTAATGTATACGAATCCAAACTAGTCACATTTTTATTGTGTATGTATATATATATATAACATAAAATATATCATTTTAACCAGTTCAGTGACATTGAGTACATTCACATCACCACCATCCATCTCTAGAAATCTTCTTGCAAAACTGAAACTCTCATCTATAACGCACCATTCCCTTCTCCCTAACTCCTGGCAAACACCACTCCGCTTTCTGTCTCCGTGAATTTGACTACTCTAGGTACCTCATATACATGGAATCATACAGTATCTGTCCTTTTGTGAGTGGCTTGTTTTACTTAGCATAATAATGTCATCAAAGTTCATCCATGTTGCAGCATTTGACAGAATTTCCTTCATTTTCAAGGCTGAATAATATTCCCTTTTACGGATATACCAGATTTTGTGTATCCATTCATCCATTGATGGACATTTGAGTTGTTTCCCCACTTTTGGTTTTTGTGAACACTGCTGCTAAGCATGGGTGTGCAAATTCCTGTTCAAGTCCCTGCTTTGAATTGTTTGGAGTATATAACCAGAAGTTGGAATTGCTGGACCATATGGTAATTCTATGTTTAACTTTTTTGGGATAATCATAATTTTTAAGGAAAGTAAATATAAAGTATGGTGAAATCTCTGTAAGTAATAAGGAAGAAACCACAACGTCAAGTCACACATTTCCGTGAAGGCCACCTTTTTCTTCAAGTAAATAGACTCTATGAAGCAGCTCAGTTTCCAAGACTATGGTCTCAGTGAACCCCTGTATAGACCTCATTGGACCTATGGAAATACTCCCGAAGTGGGCCAGGTCTGCAAGGAATGGTCCAGGCACATAAACAGCAAATTATAAGAACCAATAGAATAGATGATCAAAACATTCATCAAAGCTGCCAAATACAGCAAGGCACAAATTCCAGAAAGAGTTTCTTAATAGAAAAAAAAAAAAAGTAAACTTTCAACGCTGTCCCAGATATGTTATCTCAGGAGGAAATCGCATTGGCCCTGAGGACCCAGAAGGCGCATCTGTGAGTTGTGCGGGCCACTTTCTTAATCAAAGGAACAGGAAACACAGCAAGGCAGGAACTGGGCTGGGCTTTTTGCCCGTTTGTTTGTTTTTAATTCCTTTTTAGGCTTTTATGCCTTTCCAAAGTTGTGCCAGAAGTCTGAGAAGAGTTTGATGTTGGCAATAAAATGGAATCTGGAAAAAGAGAATAAACTGCAATTTGAAAGAGGAAGGAGAAGGAGAAGAAGAAGAGATGGAGGAGGACCTGTGGTGACTGAGGAAGTGAGGAGCGTCAGTCTCACAGGGTGTATTCCCTTGTCTGGAATCAGCGCAGTCCCTCTGCTAAGGAATGCCTCCAAAGTCGCTGCTGGTGGAGCAGGAACCGGGATCCAGCGACCACTCGTTCGGAGAGGCCGGCTGAAGGCTCTGCAGCTCCAGGACAGCCGGGAAAAGCCAAAGGCTTGCCGGCTAAGGAATAAGCCCACTCAGACCGCTGTCTCTGCCAACAGGAGATGGGTTATTCACTCTGGAAACCAGAGCTGTCCAGAGACACGGGGCTTTCCCCAGCTCAGAACCTGATCTGAGAATCTGGATTTCAGAAACATTCTCCAGGCTGCATGCTCTCCGCGCGGCTGGGCAGAGCTGTTTCTCTGCATACCATCGTGACAGAGCATGGATTCAAGACTGACAGCAGGAGTCATCCAGCAGGCCCTTGGTGGTTGCAGAGAATGGCGACTACACTAATATCACTTCAACACCAAGAGGGCTTTCCTCCCGAGGAGAAATCGGGCACACACATCAGCACCGCCTTACTCTGCTGTTTCCATTTCCATCGCATGGCCCGGCCACGGACAGCAGCTGGAGTCCTGCGGAGGAAGCAGCTCCTGTTCACACAGACAGACGGCGCAACTTCAGGGCCGTTTACACGCCGCCCTGCCTGACATATGGAATCAGCCGCACAGCTAGATGGGCCCCTGCTTCAATAAAATTAGACATGCATGATCCTAAACGTTCTCACTCTTCCCGACCCCTCGCCGTCCACGCCCGTCAGCCTTGCTAACCGTCACAGTGTGGAAGCTGAGGTCTGGAAGACGCGTTGGAGAATCTGCTGTGCAGCCCGGCGTGCTGGGCTGGTGCAGACAGAAGGGCCGGCCCTGTCACGGGCTGTTGTCAGTGCTGTTCCCATCGGCCTCCTTCTCCCTTCCGTGCCAGCTTCTGACTGCTGCGCTCAGCCCTCCTGGGAACAGCCAGATCTGCAGAGGTCATCTACCTGATTTTATGATCTGGAGGTACAGCATCTCCTGAAAAGGGCCTCTGTATAGAAAATGAGGCACATCATCGGGCGCGTGATAATTGCATCCACAGTCTGATTTAAATTGTCTTTGGATATTCTCTCAGTGGCCACTCAGGTCTTTGAAAATGTAGCACTGGGCTTCTTATCGAGCTCAGGCCTGGAAACAGATGGTCTATGGTCGGGTGAGGTGGCTCACGCCTGTAATCCCAACACT
The DNA here is from genome assembly GCF_000001405.40 of Homo sapiens. Lineage (NCBI taxonomy): Eukaryota > Metazoa > Chordata > Mammalia > Primates > Hominidae > Homo > Homo sapiens. The sequence continues at coordinate 25,596,326 of NC_000015.10, read as the reverse complement.
TTGGGAGGTCACAGAGGGAGGATTCCTTTAAGACCAGCCTGGGCAACATAGTGAGACCCTGTGTCTAAAAAAAAAAAAAAAAAAAACTTTTGAAAATTAAAAAAAAGAAAAACAAATGATCTTTGGTTTGTTCCTTCATTTGCTCATTCTTTCGTCTGTTTATCTGCTAATTCTCTTGCTGCTGTATTGCACTGGAGAGGTGAAGGTCAGGCTCTGGGGGCCACACTACTTCCATAACCTCTCCCGTGACTTGGGATAATGAGACGTGGGTGTGCTGGAAATGTGTCTCTGAAAAGATTCATAATCCTTCCCTACAAATCACAGTCCATTCTCATTAACTGCTCTGGGGGCATTCTGAGACATACATAGTCGTTTTAGCTTCCAAGGTGCTTGGGCTTATGCTATGAGAAAGAAAATTATTTTATTCCCAAAGGAGAAAAATACTAACATTGTATTTTTCTTGGGTTCAGCATCTACAAGTCAAAACTGACACTGATCTCCCAAATATGCATGGATGTTTCTTTTTAATTTTTTCCCCAACTGTAAAAGTAACAAATGGTTCTAGTAATGGCAGGCTGGGTAATTCAGACCAATCCTTGCTCTGAGAAAAATGAAAATATCTGTATGATGTTGAAATATATTATCTTAAAAGCATCAAAGAGCCAATGAGAGTGAAGAATTACAGGACCATACTTTGAAAGAAGACAAGAGCCAGAAAAAATAAGCTGAAGGCTCAAAGCGAATTTTGCCCTGAGGATTTCCTCTATAAACAAAGAAATAGCAGGAAAACTGAAATCAGATTAGAAGAAATAAAAGTCAAATGCCCAGGCTTTCTGAAATGGGGCTACTGGCACACTGTACTCACATAAAGCTAGGACTCCAAAGGCCAACAACATGCAGGGAAAGGGTGAAGTGGACATAAACCAACCATGCCAGGACTTGCAACCTGGTTTTGAGTCATCTGTGTGGCACAGGGAACCTCAGACCTTGAACTTGGATTTGGGCAGTCTTAGCTGACTGGCACACCCAGCTCCTTATCCGTAGACTATGGTACATGCACAAGGTGTAATGCTATACTCATATTAAAAGGAATATTGCCAGGGAGTGAGCTCCAGGATACGTTGTAAGGTTATGGTCCTCAACCTTTTTGGCACCAGGGAGCAGTTTTGTGGAAGACAATTTTTTCACGGACAAGGAGCTGGACGGGGGATAGTTTCAGGATGCAACTGTTCCACTTCAGATCATCAGGCATTCATTAGATTCTCATAGGAGTGTACAACCTAGATTCCTTGCATGCGCAGTTCTCAATAGGGTGTGTACCCCTGTGAGAATCTAATGCCTCTGCTGATCTGACAGGATGCAGAGCTCAGGTGATCATGCTCACCCCTTCTCACCTCCTCCTCTCAGTTCCTAACGGGCCATGGACCAATACCAGTCTGCAGCCCGGGGAGGCACTGGGGACCCGTGTTGTAAGGTTTAAATCAGACTAGATAGATAGATAGATAAATAGATAGAGATAGATAGATAGATAGATAGATAGATAGATAGGTGATAGCTTAGATAGCTCTTATTGTTCCTGTTATTCATGATATTTATCTTCTATAAAGCCACCAAGAATACTGAATTAGTAAATACTGAACCACTGCTTCTAGGAAAAATACAGAGATTCTTATTAGCCTCTGGTCACAACATTATTGCCAACCAACCAATACACAACCTTGTTTTATGTGTGTTTCTGTTTAAACATACCTTATTATATATACATTTCTAATAAATAATTAATCGCATGGTGTTTGAATGATTTCAAGCCAGGGGCTTTGGAGATCACATGTAGTTTATAGATTTGTTTTCCAACATCCTTGTAAAATGAGCCGGTTGTCTCATCAGTCTTCCACATAACCCTTTTCCCATTCAACACATAGCAGATATTTTAAAAATTATTCTGCAGCCTCCTAATCCAAAGGACCTGCTTCATATACCTCAACAGCAATTTTAACATTTTTCACACCATATCACCTTTTGAAATGTGCAAGCCAGCCAGCACTAGCTGAGAAGGGTTTCCTATTATCCTGTCCTTGAATAGCATGAGCCTTTGACTTTTCCAATTCCAGTTCCTTTGGCTTTCAACTTCACACAATCCTGTCAACTATGCTTTTTTTTTAAATTAGTTGTCATCATCTCATGAATACAGAAATTTAACCACTTTTCTATCTTTTCCATAGCTTCATCACATCTTATAGATGTTACTTTAGCCCATTTCCAGAGTGGTGTCATATATATAAAGCATCAGATTTTCTTCTTCCTTTCTCTTGATGTACTATATGGTTGATTTATTAGCATTGAACTAATTGTCAACAGCACTATAACTCATACCTGAACAAAGCTTCTCTAACACATGTATTTTCTTTCAGGTATGTCACAGTCTTCTTGCACTATGCTTGGGGGCCATTTTAAACAGTGAAATCACCAATATAAAAGCACAAAATTCAAAAAATGTGGCACTAATAGACCAAGGAAAGGACCCTTTTTGCAATATGAGAGCTAAAATAAGAATGCAAAATGTTGCCTTGTTCCACCTCAGTTGGGATGGGTCAAATGCCACATTTTTTTTACTGTTTTGTACCATGAATAACCACCAAAGTGCAACTAGTATTGATTTGGGTGTTGCAAATAAATTTTAATGAGTAAGCAAACTTGCAAATATGGAATCTACAAATAATGAGGAGTGATTCTTTCTGATTTGGATGTGGTTTATCCCCATTAAAACTTGTGTAGTAGTTTAATTGCCAGTGTGGCCGTGCTGGGAAGTGAAGCTTCGTGGAAAGTGTTGAGTGATGGGGGCAGATCCCTCCTAAAGAGTTTGATGCCCTTCTTGAGGTAGTGAGTGAGTTCTCACTCCCACGGGATTGGATTAGTTCTCATAAGCATGAATTAGTTCCTAGGAGAGTAGGTTGTTATAAAGGGAGGTTCCTCCTCATGTTTGAGCCCTCTTTGCACATGTCCACTTCCCCTTTGACCTTCTACCATGTATTGTCCTGGCACAAAAACTCTTACCAGAAGCCCAGCAGACACCAGCACCATTCCCCTTGAACTTCCCAGACTGCAGAACCATAAAATAAAATGCTTTTCTGTATAAATTATTCAGTCTCAGGTATTCTGTTACAGCAACACAAAATAGACTGACATAAAAGTGAAAAAAATAAACCATAGATTTCTTTCAATTTAGTATGCTTTATAAATTTAACTTTGAACCATATATTTTCTACAATCATAAGACAAAACTAAATAGAAATAATTTCTAAAAATCAAAATCAAAACAAAGTAAACGAAGCACAGACAGGTAGTTGGATAATTGGGAATTTATTAGTGCTAACATTCAAGACAGATACAGTTTTTGGGAAAAGCAAATTAGTGGGAATTTTAGGTAAAGTAAAAGCAGATAGAGAAGTAAGATCAATGAGGTTAAGTAAAACTTCTGTAGTTTTAAATTTGAATTGGAAAGGTCTATATGAATCCATGATGTATATACATCTTTAGGAAAAAAACAAAACACATATTTCTACTCCTTCCCACTGAAATGGTACAGAAACAATGACAACCCATTAACCATGAGCACTCCTGATCCCCAGATTGTGGTCTCTAAATGCCATTTCTCAATAGAAGGACCAGGGCTCATTAGAGAAATGGCTTTTATGGCTCTGGAGGAGGAAATGTATTAGATGAACCCATATTATTAGAAAACAAGGAAGTTATGAGAGACTCTTAAGTTTGTGTCAAAAGGATTCAGGAGTTAACCTAAAGAAACACTTGGTGGACAAGATGGGAAATTGTAGCATTAATAAGGGCAATCATGCTACAAACTAAAACAAAGCAAATGTGTTTATTAATCCGTTAATTTGTAAAGATAATACAACAACAACAGCAAAAACTCTGGTGTCATTTGGTTGATGCTAGGAAGAGCAATTCATTATTTTGGGATAAAGGGAAAGAATGAAAGCTTTGGTTCTGCCTTTCCTGTACAAACTGTACACTACAGTAACAAAATAATAGCCAGAAAGTTTTTCTTTGTTGAAATATTCCATCCAGGATGTGAAGAAGAAAAATATATACTTAGATTATCATAATTTTGTAACTACCAGTGAATTGCTGGGTCTAGGCAAGTATCACCAATGGCATCTCTCATCACAATGAGACAGCTACATAGACGTTTGTGCCTCCTGCTGGAAGTATACAACTCTGCCATGATGTATTCTTGCCAAAATCTAAACCCCTGATTCTGATCAAGATTATGGATTTAACAACCAATTTATTTTTTAGAAGTAGGGACAGAGGAACATCTAAACTTGAACTGTCCTAATATCATTAAAGAAATTAAATCAGAAATTTAAAAATCATCGCATAATGAAAATTTCAGGCACAAATTGGAAATATTCTTTTAATCTTATTTACACAAAGATTGGTGAGAGGGTGTATACTTTGAAACTATTTTAAGTTGATATTAAGTTGATCACATAACCTTGATTGCAAAACCTGACAGGAAAATTATATAGGCCAACCTCATTTGAATACACACACACACGCACAAACACACACACACACAAACACACACACACACACACACACACTTATACAACATTATAGCAAGCAAAATTCAAAAATATATAAAGAGGACAATACAAGTATATCAATACCAAGTTGAGTTTGTGTCCGGAATGCAAGATTGCTTTAATCAATAGAAAACTAAGTAATATAATTTACCCATTATCATGATCATTTAACAGAAAAATCCCAACAGACGTGGGAAAAGGATTTATTAAAATTTGACATCTATTGATTATTAGAAACCTCTAGAAAATTAGAAACAGAGAAAAAGCTTAGATAACCTGATAAAAAGGAATATTCAAAAACCCTACAAAGGCCAGGCATGGTAGCTCACGCCTGTAATCCCAGCACCTTGGGAGGCCGAGGGAGGGAGCATTGCTTGAGGCCAAGAGCCCAAGACTAGCCTGGGCAACATGATGAGGCCCTGTCTCTACCAGATTTAAAAAATTAGCTGGGTGTAATGGTGCACACCTGTAGTCTCAGCTACTCAGGAGGTTGACATGGGAGGACTGCTTAAGCCCAGAAGGTCAAGGCTGCAAGGAGTTGTGATCACGCCACAGCCTGGGCAACAGAGTGAGACCCTGTCTCAAAAAAAAAGAAAAAAAAGCACACACACACAAAACCTACAGCAAATATTATCTTTATTGGTGACACATTGAAAGTTTTCTATTTGAAATGTGAATATAATAAGGATGTAAGGGTGCTTTCTATCTCCACTTCTACTTAACATTTTATTGAAATATTTATTAAAAGTACTAGCCATCTAGAAAAATATACCAAAGATACAAGAGTTAGAAACAAATAAATAAGACATTATAGATATAATATGATTATGTATGGAAAAATAACATAAAATGTTAGAATTAATCGAGTTCAATAAGGTTGTTGTATATTAAGTAAAAATAAAAATGAATTGTATTTCTATATGTTAACAAGACATAATTTAAAAGTACTTTTAAAAAACTGCCATTAACAGCAAAATCATAAAATAGTAAGTAGCCAGTAATAATTTAATAAAATGTGTTTTAAAATACTATGGGAAAATTTTGAAACTTTATTGAGAGGCAGTAAAAATGATTTAAATAAATAGAGAGATGCTGTGTTTGTGAGTTTTAAAACAAAACGTTATAAAGATTTCATTTCTTCCTGAACTAATTTATACATTAAATGAAAACCCAATCAAAGTTCCAAAAGAGTTTTTTGTGGACCTTGACAAATTGATTCTAAAATTTATATCAGTCTGTAAAAAGTCAAAAATTTCCCAGACCCTCTAGAAGAAGAAATACAAGTTGGGCTTATTATAAACTTATTATAAAGTCATCATTGTTAAGATAACGTGGTGCTGTACAGACGTAGACAGGCAGGCAAGTGGAATACACTGAGGAGCCCAGAAACCAATGAGCCTTGTGCAGACTGGCCAGGGAGCTTATCCCTCTCTAGTCTAGAATATTCCATCTTACTCCCAGTATGGGTTCTTGAAAGTGACCATTGGAAGCTATAGAGGCAAAAATGCTCTGTCTCTGTCACTTTACTGCTGGTTTAGGTCCTTAAGTGAACCTGAATGATTCTTGGATTACGTCTTTGACACACAAAACTCTCTGTGAAGTGGCCCCACTCTCCCCACCATCTTCCTCAGCCCCACGCCACCACATGGTCAGCCTGTGATCTTCCAAGTCAGGAGGACATGATTAATTGCCTCCCTCCCATTGATCTTGCCATTCACTTCTTGCCAGTGGTCAGAGCCCACCTCTTATCACAGAGGATAAAAATACTGAATAGTTACTTCCACACCCCTGTAGCCAGGGCATGGACATGGATCTAATCCTGGCCCATGGGACCTAAAAGAAGTGTAATGGAAGCATTTCTGCTTTTATACAAAGACACATGCACGCGCGCACACACACACACATCTCCAGTGTCACCCTTAGACAATCCTGTTGTTGTGCTTATATTAGGTTGCCTGAAACGTTAACAAGTTGGACCGCTAGAGGATGAAACTAATGCTGAGACCATATGCCAAAGACGAAAGAGCTTGGACGCTTGTTGAAATAAGTTTGCAGGTGAACCAAACCTGGAACCATCTGCCCCAGAATTCTTGTTATGTGAGTTGATGTTCAATTTCAGATTATATTCTTGCAGAACATAGACCACTCTCAAAGGGTTCACTGAAGAGGTTAGTGGAGGTTCTGGTGGCAGAAGTGTGGGTGAGATGAAAGAAACTTGCAAGGGTCGCCAAAACATCCAGGAACAGGCAGCAGCAGGAAGCTATGAATTGCTACACCACATCGGTGAAGGTGAGGAAGAGGTGGTTCCCGGGACCTGGTGAGACTTAATTCACAGGGCATGAGGGATCAGGTCAAGTAACTCTTTAGTTATTTTCAAAACTGCAGCCCAGTGTGGAAAAGGTGGTTCAAATACTGGAACCTCTGCCACCTGGCACCTTCTGAAGTCCTGAAGGGAAGGGAAGGGAAAGGTTCTTGGATTCACTGGCTGAATCCAAGAGGGAGCCCAGGTGGTGGTGAGGTCAGCTCCCCAGGACACAGAGAAGTGCAGTGTATGGATGTGGAAGGGCCATCAGAGAACAGCCAACACTTACAACAAACCCCTCTTCATCAAGCCACTTTTAGACAAAACTTCTGTTACTTTTGGCCAAAGGCACCCTGACGGATCCTCCACCTGTTCCCACCTCCATGCTTCTGGAAAGGCTGATCTGATCTCTGCCTAGAAGAAGGCTTCTGCCACTCCTGGAAGCCCCTGTGCAACTTGTGGGGCTCAGCTCCTGTATGGTCTCCACAACCTTTCTACCTCCCCTAGGGTTGTCACTCTACTTTCTGTGCTTTCGAACTATTTTTTCTTTTTATCCCCGAGACGGAGTCTTGCTGTCACCCAGGCTAGAGTGCAGTGGCGTGATCTCGGCTTACTGCAACATTTGCTGCCCAGGTTTAAGCGATTCTCCTGCCTCAGCCTCCGGAGTAGCTGGGATTACAGGTGTGCACCACCACAGATAGCTTTTTTTTTTTTTTTTTTTGTATTTTTGGTAGAGGCAGGGTTTCACCATGTTGGCCAGGCTGACCTCGATCTCCTGACCTCATGATCCGCCCACCTCGGCCTCCCAAAGTGCTGGGATTACAGGCGTGAGCCACCGCGCCTGGCCCCAAACTTTTTAGTTTGACATGATTATAGACCCACAGGACTTTGCAAGGATAGTATAGGGGTCTCATGTACCCTTTTACTGAGATTTCCACAATGGTTACATCTTTCATAATTATAGCATGATACCCAAATCAGAAAATTGACATTGCTACAATGTGAGTGTACAGCTCTGTCTCTGTCTCTTTCTCTTCTCCCATGTACAGATTCACGTGATCATCACAATAACTATTTCATCACCACCGACACTGCACTCTGCTACACCTAGGTAACTGCACTTATTCCCCTCCCTTCACCCTCCTTAACCTTGGAAACCAGTCATCTGCTTTCCAACTCCATAATGTCATCATTTTGACAAGGCTATACAATGAAATCATATGACATGTGACTTTTTGGGATTTTTTTAAATCACTCAGCAAAATGCTCTTGCGACTCATCAAAGTTTATGTGTATGCATAGTCCATTCTCTGCATTCCATGGTATAGACGATGGGCGTACCACAGCTTGTTTAACTTCACTTACTAAGGAACGTTTTGGTAGTTTCCAATTGTTCACCATTAAAAGTAAAGCTGCCCTGAACAATCATGTACAGTTTTTGTGCAGACACAACCTCTTATTTCTCTGGGATAAATGCCTAAGAGTGCAATTGCTAAATTGTATGGTAAATGTATGTTTAGTTTTCTTAAAGAAACTCCCAAAATATTTTCTAGAGTGATTGCATCTTCTTACATTCCTAAGTAGTGATATATGACCGATCCAGTTTCTCCACAACCCCTCCAGCATTTGGTATTGTCATTGTTTTTTATTTTAGTTGTTCTAATAAATATGTGATGATATCTCATTACTGTCTGCACTTGTGTTGCCCTACTAGCTAGTGACAGTGAACATCTTTTCATGTACTTATCTGCCATGTATATATCTTCTTCGGTGAAATGTCTCTTCATCTCTTTTTCTCATTTTCTAATTGGATTGTTTGTTTTTCTAACAAGAGCTGACTCTTAAGAATTATTTATATATGCTAGATAGGATTTTGTTGTTGAATATGCAGCTTGCAAATATTTTCCCCCAGTCTATAGTTTTCTCTCATCAGAGTTTTCCACAGAGCTCGATTTAAAATTTAATGAAGTCAGATATATTAATTTTTCCTTTTATAAAATGTGCTTTTGGTGTCATGTCTAAAGTTTCAAAGATTTATCTTCTTATAGGTATCTTCTTAAAGTTTTATAATTTTACGATTTACATTAAATCTGTTCCTTTTTGAGAATTTTTGGATAAGGCATGATAATTCGGTCAAAGTGCCTTTTTTTGCCTGTGAAAATCAAATTGTTCTAGGAGCAGGAGGAGAAAAATGAAAGAAAGAAAGAATGGAGAAAGAAAGAAAAAGAAAGGAAGGAAGGAAGGAAGGAAAAACTATCCTTCTTCCATTGAATTATTTTTGCACCTTTGTTAAAAATGAGTTGGCTGTCCATACATGGGTCTATTTCTGAGTTCTCTGTTCTGTTGCAATAATCTATGTGTCTATCCCATTGCCAATACCACATTGTCTTGATTGATGTAGCTACACAGTAGGTCTTAATATTGTTAGAGTAATTCCTCTCACTTTACTCATCATTTTCATAATTCTTTAGTCCCTTTGCTTTTAAATATACATTTTTAAATAATTGTGTCTATATCTACAACCTTGTTAAGATTTGAATAGGAATTATGTTAAACCTATATGTCAGTTTGAAAACAGACATTTTTACTATGTTGTATTCCCTAATCTATGAACACAAAATATTTCTTGCATTATTTAGATTTTTTATTTCTTTCATCACTATTTTGTAGTTTTCAACATACAGGTACTGTACATGTTTTGTTAGACTTACATCAAAGTATTTCATTTTTAACTCCTCTGGCTTCTTTCAAGATTTTCTCTGTCTTTGGTTTTCTGAAGTTTGAATATGATAGGGTTGGATGTAGGGTTTTTTACATTTATTTTACTTGGTGTTTTCTGAGCTTTTTGGATTTGTGGTTTGGTATCTATCATTCACTAGGGAAAAAAATTGAACATTATTATTTCCAATATTTATTCTGTTCCATTCCCTTTTCTCCCTCTGGTATTACATATATGCATATGTTACACCTTTCGCAATTGTCCCACAGTTCCTGAATATCTTGTTTTCTTTCTTTGCATTTCAGTTTTGAATTGGCATATCTTCAAGCTCACTGCTTCTTTCGTCAGCTATGCCCAGGCTATTGATAAGCCCAAAGCCATTCTTTATTTTGGTTATAATGTTTTTCATTTCAAGCACTTTCTTTTGATTCTTTCCTAAAATTTCCATCCTCTTGCTTTAAATTACCCATCTGAAGTCAAACTATCTCTGCAGACTGCATGATTCTATATCTAGAAAACCCAGTAGTCTCAGCCTGAATGCCCCTTAAACTGATAACTTCAGGAAAGTTTCAGGATAAAAAATCAATGTACAAAAATCACTAGCATTCCTATACACCAACAACAGGCAAGCCAAGAACCAAATCAGGAATGCAGTCTCACTCACAATTGCCACAAAAAGAACAAAATACCTAGGAATACAGCTAACCAGGGAGGTAAAAGATCTCTACAATTTGAATTAGAAAACACTGCTCAGAGAAACCACAGATGACACAAACAAATGGAAAAACATTCCATGCTCATGAATAGAAAGAATCAGTATCATTAAAATGGCCATACTGCCCAAAGCAATTTACAGATTGATTGCTATACCTATCAAACTACCAATAACATTCTTCACAGAACTAGAAAAAACTATTTTAAAATTCATATGGAACAAAAAAAGAGCCCCAAAAGCCAAGACAATCCTAAGCGAAAAGAACAAAGCTGAAGGCATCACATTACCTGGCTTCAAACTATACTACAGGGTTATAGTAACCGAAGCAGCATGGTGCTGGTACAAGAACAAACACATAGACCAATGGAAGAGAATAGAGAGCCCAGAAATAAGACTGCACATCTACAACCATCTGATCTTCGACAAAGCTGACAAAAAAAAGCAATAGGAAAAGGACTCCTTATTCAATAAATGGGGCTGGGATTACCGGCTAGCCACATGCAGAAGATTGAAACTGGACCCCTTCCTTACACCATATATAAAAATTAGATCAAGATGGATTAAAGACTTAAATGTAAAATCAACAGAGTAAGCAGACAACCTGAAGAATGGGAGAAAATTTTTGCAAACTATACATCTGACAAAGGTCTAATATACAGCATCTGTAAGGAACTTGACCAAGTTTACAAAAAAAGTCAAACAGCCACATTAAAAAGTGGGCAAAGGACATGAACAGACACTTTTCAAAAGAAGACATACAAGCAGCCAAGAGGCATGTGAAAAATGCTCAATATCACTAATCATTCGAGAAATTCAAATCAAAACCACAGTGAGATACCATCTCACACTAGTCAGAAAGGCTATTATTAAAGAGGCAAAAAAGAACAGATGCTGGCAAGGTTGTGGAGAAAAGGGAACATTGTTGGTGGGAGTGTAAATTAGTTCAACCATAGTAGAAAGTGGCGATTCCTCAAAGACCTAAAGACAGACATACCATTCAACCCAGCAGTCCCACTAGCAGGTATGTACCCAAAGGAATATAAATCATTCTATTATAAAAACACATGCACGTGTATGTTCATTACAGCGCTATTCACAATAGCAAAGACGTAGAATCAACCTAAATGCCCATCAATGGTAGACTGGATAAAGAAAATGTGGTACATATACACCATGGAATACTATACAGCCGTAAAAAAGAATGGGATCATGTCCTTTTCAGGGACATGGATGGAGCTGGAGGCAATTATCCTTAGTAAACTAACACAGGAACTGCAAACCAAATACCACATGTTCTCACTTATAAGTGGGAGCTAAATTATGAGAACTCATGGATACAAAGAGGACAGCAACAGACACAGGGGCCTAGTTGAGAGTGGAGGGAGGGAGGAGGGAGAAAATCAGAAAAAATAAGTATTGGGTACTAGGCTTAGTACCTAGGTGATGAAATAATCTGTACAATAATCTCCCATGACATAAGTTTACCTATATAAGAAACCTTTACATGTAACCCTGAACCTAAAACAAAAGTTAAAAAAATTCAAATATATGGGGTGATAATTCAGGTTTTTACCTGGAAATAGGCATGTCTCAAATATTAAAAAGATAGTTGATTTTGAAAGTCCTTTTGAGTACTATATTTGAATAAAGTGAGACACCTTTTAAAAAATTACCCATCTGTTCTTGTATATAGTTCTACTTTTCTCCTTAAAATATTAATCATAGTCATTTGAAATTTCCCACCTGATAATTCCAACATCTATGTCATACTTTCGTCTTGTTTTGTCTCTCCAGACCATTTTTCTGGCTGCTGGTGTGCCTTGCAATTTTTTGGTGAAAGACAGACATGATGTACAGGTTGAGTATCCCTAATCCAAAAATTTGAAATCCAAAATGCTCCCAAATTTGAAACTTTCTGAGCATTGATGCGACACCACTACTGAAAAGTTCCACACCTGACCTCACATGATGGGTTGCAGTCAGAACTTTATTTCATGCACAAAATTATATATAAGTGTTGTCTAAAATTACGTTAAGTTACATGGCTAAAGGTGTATGGAACATGATGAGTTTAGTGTTTAGACTTGGGTCCCGTCCCCAAGATATCTCATTCTGTACACGCAAATATTCCAAAGTCAAAAAAAAAAAATGAAATCCGGAAGAGTTTGGTCTCATTTTGTATATGGGATACTCAATCTGTACGGGAAATAGTAACTGAGGTAAATAGGCCTTAAATTTGAGGTCTTATATTAACCTGGCTAGGAGCTGGGCTGTGTTTGATGTTCACTGTAGCTGTAGGTGCCAGAGGCTTCACATTTCTTGTTACTGTTTCCTTTGTCTTCGGGCTTCTCTGAGAATTCCTTAGGTAGAGCCTGTACCTTGTGGCTCTATTAGCTGTAGTCGCCTGTTATTATATGGAAGTCCCATTGATGCGGTGGGAAGGTGTTGGGGAGTAAGCTTTCTATAATATTATGATTAAATTTGTCTTTTACTGGTTCTGTTCTCCCTGGCCTGTGACTTTCACAGTTGCTTCTTTCCTTTTCTCCTCCCTTTGGTGAGATAGGAAAGCTGGGCTTCATCAGCTGCCTTTTCCTGTAGATGGGATAAGGCTCTGGTAAGTATTTTTCTCACAGAGAATAGGTATCTGTTATGATGAGTGCCCTGGACATACTCCAAAATGGTTATTTTCTCCTTCCTCCTGTCAGAAACATGAGGAGATTTTTCTTGGCTCTTCCCCTTGAGAAACTGGTGCAGTTCCTTGGGGTAAAAACGTATGAAGTGTGGGGTACCCCAAGACTGCGTCCCCTGGAGTTTCTTGCTGTTACACTAGTCCACGCTGAGCCTCCAGCAGTTCAAATTCCCATTCAAGTGTTCCTGTGGGCTTAGGGCTGCAGCAGCTACTTCTCCAGGGAAGCAGGTCTCAGCCGAGGCTCCCTGTGGGCATGTCTCTCTCCAGATTTCAGGGTGCTGTTCACTCCATGACCTCAGCACTCTAATGGATCCAGGATAACTCACTGATTTTCCATTTCTTCAACTTTTCCTTGTTTTTTTTTCTGGTTTTTTGTTTGTTTGTTTCTTGTTTGTTTGGTTGGTTTTGGTTTTGTTTTGTTTTGTTTTTGAGATGGAGTTTCACTCTTGTTGCCCAGGCTGGAGTGCAATGGCGCGATCTCAGCTCACGAAAGCTCCACCTCCCGGGTTCAAGCGATTCTCCTGCCTCAGTCTCACGAGTAGCTGGAATTACAGGCATGTGCCACCTTGCCCAGCTAATTTTGTATTTTTAGTAGAGATGGCGTTTCTCGATGTTGGTTAGGCTGGTCTCGAACTCCCAGCCTCAGGTGATCCGCCCATCTCGGCCTCCCAAAGTGCTGAGATTACAGGCGTGAGCCACTGCGCCCGGCCAACATTTCCTTGTTATAAGGAAAGTGTGAAGACTTCTAAATTGTATGTTGGAGCTGAAACTGGAAATCTCATGTATTTTATTTTGTAAAAGTGATTATAAATTCTATTTTAAATTTTGGTTTCAACATGTTTGCACTACTATATCAAAATATAATTTACTTTTGTATGCTGATCCTGTATCTTGAGGCCCTGCTAAACTCACTCGTTAGTTTTCGGGGGACTTTTCTTTTTGCTTTGCAGATTCCTGGGTGTTTTTTTTTTTAACGTAGACAATTATGTCTTCTGAAAATCAGGACAGTTTTATTTTTTCCTTGCTTGTCTTATTGCACTGAGTAGAATTTCCAGTATTATGTTGAATAATGGTGGTGAGAGTAGACATCCTTGCCCCCTTCTCAATCCGAGGTGAGAGCATTCAGACTTTCACTGTTTAACTATTCAGTATAAAGTTAGCTGTAGGGTTTTTGTAGATGTTCTGTATAAAATATCAATAAAGTTCCTCTTTATTCCTATTTTCTGAGAATTTATATCATGAATGGATGTTGAATTTTTTTCAAATATTTTTAATGCAACAATTATATAACCATGTGATTTTTTTTCTTCTTTAGCCTGTTAGTATAGTGAATTACACTGATTGATTTTTGAATAATGAACTAGTGTGGCATCCCTGGAATAAACCCTATTAGGTCGTGGCATATATACTTTTTATATATTACTGATTTATATTAGCTAATATTTTAAGTTTTGCATCTATATTTCTGAGAGAGATTGGTCTGTAGTTTTCTTTTTATACTGTCTTGTCTGGTTTTGGTATCAGAGTAATACTGGCTTCATAGATTGAGTTGGGAATTTTTTCCACCTCATCTATTTTCTTAAAGAAATTGTGTCAAATTGGTATTGATTTTGCTTTACATGTTTGACAGAGCTCTCCAGTGAAACTACTTGGGCTTGGAGATTTCTTTTTTGAGAGTTTTAAAATTGTGAACTCAATATTCTTATAGAGCTATTCACATTTTCCATTTCATATTGAGCACATTGTGGTAGTTTGTGATTTTTAGGTAATTGGTCCATTTCATCTAAGTTGATGTGTCTAAAGTTGTTTGTAGTATTTTATCACAATCCTTTGAAAGCCTGCAAGGTCTGGAGTGGTATTCTCTTTCATTCCTGACATCAGTAGTTTGTATCTTCTCTATTTTCTTTTGTCAATCTTGCTAGATCTCATTACTACCTAGCATAAATGAACATTCCCATATTTCTTTTTTAAAAAAAAAAACGAAAGGTCTCACATATTTATTACCGAACCCAGCAAACCAGCTCGTTCATAACAGATTCAGAGAGAAAAAATATATTCCCAATAAAATATGCCCAACTCTCCAGACAGTGGTGTCATTTTCAGCTTGATATGATAACATGTTTGTGACCTTCAGACAGCATAAATATGTGTGCCATCTCATGTGCAATTCCTTAGAGATCCAGCTTGGTTCTTTTCCAATGTCTCCGTTTGGAGTTGTACTGATTTTATCACCAGTTTTCATCCCAATCCAATGGGGAATGGGACAATTTCACTTTTGTTTCTTGACCAGGAATCGCTTAATCCTGAAAGTCTTGTGAGAAAACATGGCAAGAAGAGGAGTCAAGCACACACCGTGGTGTCAGAGAAAGGAAGAGACAAACATCTCCATTTCTTACCTGCTCTTTCTGACACCACTACAGTGGGGACCTGGAGTCTCATCCAGCCTCAGAAGGGTGGAATTCTAGGCTCCCAACATGGCCTGCGAGGGTGGGATGAGTCCACTGTTTTTGCTCTGGTGTCTGGCTTAAGTAATTAGTATCTTAAAGTTTTCTCCTTTGCTTGGCCACCCCTTTCCTTGTCGTTTGGTGAAGGAAAGCAGGCTTTCTTGATTGTTTTGTTTGTTGCTCTTTGTCTGCACCTACAGGTGTTTTCAGTTACTGGTTTCTTCAGCATTCAATTCAGGATACAGGAGGTAAAAAGAAAATCCAGGTAACTCTCTGTTGTGGCATTCCTCGGATCCCAGATTCCCTAGCTATTCTACCTTCTCCCCACCTCTCAGCTTCTTATGTTCATTCTATGCAAAATGTCCTGGATTTTTAGTTTCGATGACTTGGAAGAATATGGAAAAGTAGGGCTGGGCGTGGTGGCTCATGCCTGTAATCCCAGCACTTTGGGGGACTGAAGCAGGTGGATCACCTGAGGTCAGGAGTTCGAGACCAGCCTGGCCAACATGGTGAAACCCCATCTCTATTAAAAATACAAAAATTAGCTGGGCATGGTGGCACATGTCTGTAATCCCAGCTACTCAGGAGGCTGAGGCACGAGAATCACTTGAATTCAGGAGGCAGAGGTTGCAGTGAGCCAAGATCCCACCACGGCACTCCAGCCTGGGTGACACAGCGAGACTCCATCTCAAAAAATAAAATAAAATAAAACTAAAAATAATATGGAAAAGTAGGTCCATTCTGTCTTCCCAGAAGTGTAAGCCCTGTGCTGTTGTTATTTTTACATGTCCTAATTTCCTACTAGGCTCTTGAGTAAATGTAGACTCAGAGAGGTTAAATAATTTGTTCAATATTATACTGCCAGTGATTCAGCAAGAACTGGATACAAGGCATTTGTCAAAAGCTCACCCTCTTTTTCATGACCCTATACTGCTAAATAAATGTTTACTGGAAGAATGAACCAATGAAAGCAAGTTCCCTTCCTTAGTCACAATAGTTCTGTGATTTTTGTTTTAAAACTCAGGATATAGTGATGTATTTCTCGTTTTTTATCATGATCAAAAATGCTTGAAGTCTAAGAGCTTAGAAACCACTAGTCATTGCCATTTAGGAAATTTCCTAGAATCCAACTGTGTGGTTTCTGCCAATAATTTAGGTTTTATGAACACTGGTTGTACAGTATCGGGCTCTGCTCACCTCTCAACCTGTAGACTGAGACTCACGTGAAGTTATCAGGAGAACTAAATAAAGAAAACTGCAGGGGACTGTAAGTGAAAATATGAGAGACAAACTAATCCTCAACACTCTTTAATATAGGGCTTTCCAGATGAAAGCAGTAACAAATGCTGTAAGTGTGCAAGTTCCTGCGATGGTTGATCTTACGTGTCAATCTGGCCAGGCTATGGTGCCTAGTTGTGTAGTCAAACAGTAGTCTAGATGTTGCTGTGAAGACTCTTTAAAATGTGATTAACATTTATAATCACTGGACTTTTAGTAAAGCTCATAAATGTCCATGGTGTGGTGAGCCTCATCTAATCAGTTGAAGGCCATAAGAGCAAAATCTGATTCCTCAAAGAAGAAGGAATTTTGCCTGAATTTGCAGCCTGCAGGCCTACCCTGTGGATTTAGGACATGCCAGTCTCCACAGTACTGTGGTGTGTGTGTTGCCATATATGTATCTGTGTGTGTGTGTGTGTGTGCACATCTGTATGGAGAACCCTAATACAGCACCTTACACAGCACACAGTACCTGGTCTGTAAGAACAAGACAATAAATTTTAGCTGAATCTGCATCAGCTTTCTGTTTATACTGCTTTAGAAGTATCCACTCATTATTTGAAGAAGTGTGTGTTAGATGCTTGCCTTAGGCAGAACATTATATGTTCTCCAAAGGTATAAAATTGTTTTCTTTCCTTAAGTAGTTTCCAACTTTTTGTTTCCAAGGCAACAAAAAACATTGTCTCATTCAGTTTTCTGTTGCTATAATGGAATACCAGAGACTGGGTAATTTACAAAGAATAGAAGTTTACTGGCTCCAGGTTCTAGAGGCTGGGAACACCAAGGGCATGGCAGCAGCATCTGGTGGGGTTCTGTGCTACATTACCCCATGGTGGAAGGGCAGAGGGCAGAGGGCAGAAGAGGAAAGGCAGAAGAGAAAGACAGCATGGGAGACAGCAAGAAAATGGAGGCCAAAACTTATCCTTTTATCAGGAATCCACTCCCACAGTAAGTAACCCACTCCTGCAATAATGGCATTAATCCATTCATGAGGACAGAGTCTTCATGACCTAATCACCTCCTAAAAGCCCTCTCTCCCAACACCATTACATTGACAACTACATTTCAACAAGAGTTTTGGAGGAGACATCCAAGCCATAGCAAACATATACTATGAAACTCTAAATAAGGAGAAAAGGTAACAATTCACAAGAAGTCAGAGGTAGCATGTGACTTTCCAACCAAGGAGTGACATTGCCCAGTCTTTAGTCAGGACTTGAAGGGATGCTGTCACCTGGATCAGAGTTTCCAGTGAAAGTTTTCTAGGGGAGACGGGTGACAAGTTTAATTTTGCAGAATGAAAAAAAACTTAGATATGTGGTTAAGTAAAGGGTGCATTCCAAGTAACAGGAGCAATGAGCCTCAGGAGAAGGGTGTGTTTGAAGGAGTAATAGGAGATGTTGGAAGCAAAGGTTGGGATAAGGCTTTGCTTTTAGTGATTAGATGAGCAATTCACATGAATGTAGCTAGATTGGGGAGAGATGATGAGGAGTGGTGCTTATCAACAAACACTGCCCTAAGGGCTTTCAAATTCAAATTTTTAAAGAACCCTAAGTTAGTCAAATATTAATAAAACATGTCTACAGGCTAGATTTGATCTTCAGGTTACCTGTTTGTGGCCTCACTTAAAGACTTTGGATTTACAAAATGAGTTATTTGTTCTTTAGGTCTTGGAGAGACCTGAAATGACCTAGCTCAATGGCTCCCAAGGTATAGTCTGTCAACTCTTGGGGGTCGCCAAGACCCTTTCAAAGTGTCTGCGAAGCCAAAACTATTTTTCTGGACGTTATTTGGACTTTCCATTGTGTTAACCCTGACAATGATGGTGTAAACACAATGCTGGGTGAAACTGCAGTGACTTAGCACAAATCAAAGTGAGGCCAAACTGTATTAGTAGTCAAGGTACAAATACTTGCCGGAAAACTAAAAAAGCCAGTTTCACTAAAGAAAGTCCTAGTGAATCAGAAAAAAAAAAAAAAAAAAAAAAAAAAAAAAACACGTTTAAATTTTTAAATCTCCACTCTTGAGTACACAACTTTATAACATTCCGTGTGATAAGATGGGAAGTACACATCACGTACTGCAGCTACATAATAAAGTAGGATGGTTACCTTGAAGGAAAGGACTTGTGCAATTATTTGAGTTGTGAGCTAAGCCACCTGCTTTTTTCATGAAACACAATTTTTACTTGAAAGAACAACTGACAAATGGTGATTATTTAGGTTTGCGTATTTGGGAGTTGAAGGAGTTTGGGAAATGCCACCCCAAAATATGTCACTTTGGTGTGCTGATTACTTCAAACTGAAGGCACCAGGGAAACGGCAAATGCAGGGAGGGGCTGTCTCTGAACTCCCCTATCTGCCTAGAGACAGATCCTCCAAAAGGAATTGAACTGCCATCTATCTCATCCCCAAGGAATCTCATCGACTGAAGAAGATTGACTCCTATCACAGGAGAGGAGAGTAGAAGTTGATGCCACACACAGGCTTTGTCACAGGCTGTTATCTCCTCTTCTAACCCCATCTTTTACAAAAGTAATTTACTGTCCCCTAAGTTGCCTACATCTCTCCTACCCTCTCTCCTAAGAGGAGGGTATGTAAGTTTCTAGATCTCACTGGGTTTGAGGGTATTCACTTTTCTTTCCTTTGATGTTCCCACGCACATAATACATTTGTATACTTTTTCTCCTGCTAATCTGCCTGATGTCTGTTGATTTCATAAACTCAATTATCAAATCCTCAGAGGAAGGGTAATGGGAAAATTTTCCCTCCCCTACAGCAGGCTTGTCCTGAAAATGAATAAGGTAAGCCTGTTACTTTAAGGGAAACAGCTGACAGGAATTAGTATTTGTTGCTAATGATTACATTTAAGTTTTCAAATGAAAATTAAAATTTTGGAAAACTTGTATCTGCTACCATGAGCTTGATGACTTCCCAATGCTTAAATTTTTTATAAGATTGGTGGTACTATCAATAAATGCAATTTTTAATATATAATGAAACGTGGAAATATTTGAAAGAGTTGCGTTATTCAGTAAACTAATATTTTCCAAGTGTCTGGTACATAATTTTACACAATCAGGCATGAGGAAAAGATCCATCCAAAGTACAAACTAGACCAATTAATTTTAATGTACAGTTAACAAATTTATTGAAATGGTTTCAGAATCTACATTGCAAAACTTTTAAGAAGCTACCAATTGTTGAGTTCGAGGGTAGTATCAAAGTAGCATATCTATAATTACCATAAAAATGTATTAAAATACTCCCTTCCCTCAAATACTATATGCAACTGGATTTTAGTCATCAACTTCAACTAAAACAAAATATTTCAGCAGCATGAATATCTCAAGTCAAATAGATATGAGAACTCTTTTGTCTTCTAAGCTAGACATTACAGAAATTTGAAAAATGTAATGTCACTCTTCACTATTTGTGTTATAGTTATTTTTCATAACAAGTGTTATTTATTTTAACCTTTAATGGGTTTACTCTCGGTATTTTTAAATGACTTAGTAAGTATACTTCAAACATTTTTCTGTTTTAATTTGTAGATACGATAACTATCAAAAGGTATAACTCACCAAAAAAAGCTCGTGTCATTCTCAATAAGTTTAGAAATGTGAAAGGTTCCTAAGACCAAAAAGTTAGAACTGCTGGTTTGAAGATGAATGCCATATTTAAAGAGATATTCATCTTAGAATGTAGAATGGATTTCATGGAGAAATCTGAAAAGAGCGAGGAGGCTGTTGAAAGTGTCAGAAAAGAGGTACTTGGGTCCAGACTCTAGTCTGGTGTAACTATGGAAATAAAGGACTGCTGTGGGAGGCAGGGTAGAGGCAAAACCCTTAGCATCAATAATTGGTGATGGGTGGGGGGAGAGAGAGAAATAGAAGAATCTAAATGACCCATATTTTGAGACTGGTTATAACTGCGAGAATGGTAGTGTTGGAGCATTAGCTTAGGTATTTTAGTGACTGGTAACATAAAGGAGTAGACAGATTTACTCAATGACAAGCCTGGATGCTGGCAGTCCCAGGGCTGGTTCTGCAAGTCCATAATTTCTCAGGATCTTTCGGTGTGCCACATACTGGCCACATCTCTCTCCTTATTGTCATGGAGGGATCCCACTGTTTCAAGCATCTACATCTTTACAGAGAGATAGACGTTCAAGAAGTGAACAGCACTGGAAAGAGTAAATACATGTATAAATTGTAAAATCTATTGTTTAAAAAAAGCTATAAACATGTTTCATGAAGTTGATAATTTATGTAGAATAAAATACATGACAACAAAAGCAAAAAAGGAAGGGATGGTAAATGGAGTTAAATTGTTGCATGGTTATCAGACCATTGGGGAAGTGTTAAAATACTAATTTAAGGCAGACCATAATAAGGTAAGATTGCATTCTGAAATTTCTAGTGTAATGATGAAAAGATTGATACTAATCTTTTATAGCAAAAAAATAACATACTAATAGATAAGATAGAAGTGCATTATAAGATAAAGTATACTATAACATTTTGTTATAAGTATAACAAAATCCTAATGGATAAGATAAAACAGAATATTTTTTAAATACCTGATTAATATAATGGAAGGCAGGAACAGAGAAAAAAGAAAATAAATTTCAGGACAAATAGAAAACAAATAGCAAAATGATAAACAAACAAACCAGATCAGTTATATATTATTATTAAACATAAATGGACTAAATACACCAATTAAAATACAAAGTGAGTCAGCTATTTTTAAAAGCCCAAGCTATATGTTATTGGCAATGAACATATTTCAAATATACATTTATAGATAGGATGAAGTAAAGAGATGAAAAAACATGCAAACACATATCAAAAGAAATCTGTCATGGTGACATTAATAATTAAAATATAAATAGACTTCAAAGTTAAAGATATTCTGAGAGATAGATTGTAACATTTCGTAGTGGTAAGTAGGTAAATTCAAAAGGAAGTCATAACAACTTTAACTTTGTATGCACCTAATATTATAATTTTTAAATATATGAAACAAAAGTTTACAGAAACTAAAGAGAGAGATGAATCCACATCATAGTTGATATATTAACTTACCTCTCTCAATAACTAATAAAATAAACAGACAAAACAAAAGCAGTCAGCCTCTTTCCCCACCCATCACAGCCATTGCCCAGTGGGCTCATGAACAAAGTAGCCATGGTGGCAGGAATGGAGGCTATGCATGGGCTCAGTCACATGGACTTCCATTCACCAAAGGTGACCTGGCTACAGCATCTGCTAAGTGCCCAATTTACCAGCAGCAGAAACTAACACTGAGTCCACAGAATCACATCATTCCCCAGGGAGATCGATCAGCCAGCCTGCCTGGTGGTAGATTGATTACACTTGGGCAACGTCCATCATGGAAAGGGCAGTGTTTTGTTCTCACTGGAATAGGTTCTTACCCTGGAAATGGATCTGCCTTCTCTGCACACAATGCTTCTGCCAAAACTACCATCCATGGACTTATAGGATGCCTTATCCACCATCATGGTATTCCACCCAGCATTGCTTCTGGCAATACCTTGCAGGGCTAGGATAAGGTTCTCCAGGAGGCTGTATATGATCCGAATCAGTATTTAATATATGGTGCTGTTTCTATGACAGGTTCATGGGTAGGAATCAGGGGGTAGGTAGAAATGGGAGTTGTACTATTCCCTATTACTCCTATTCACTCCCCAGCAAAATTTTTGCCTCCTGTTCCTGTGAACTTCTACTCTGTTGGCATAAAGGTCTTAGTTCCAAAGGGAAAAAAGGCTTCCACTAAGAGACACAAAAATGATTCCAATGAACTAGAAGACGGCTGCCCCGCCACTTTAGAGTCCTCAGGTCTCTGAATGAGTAGGCAAATAAGGGAGTTACTGTGGTGATTGGGGTGGTTGATTCTCACTACCAAGCAGAAATTGGAGTACTACTCCACAATGGAGGTAAGAAAGAGTATGTCTAGAATACAGAAACTCCTTTAGGACGTCTCTTAGTGTTACCATGCCCTGTGGTTAAAGTCAATGGAAAACTACACCAACCCAATCCAGGCAGGACTACTAATGGCTCAGACACTTCGGGAATTAAGATTTGGATCACTCTACCCTGTATAAAAACACAACCAGCTGAGGGTAAAGGGGATACAGAATGGCAGTAGAAGAAGGTAGCTGTAAGCACCAGCTATGATCATGTGACCAGTTCCAGAAACCAGGATTTTTAATTGTTATGAATATTTCATCCTTATTTTGTTATGAATATGTTTGTTTATGTGTGTGTATATTTAGAAAATATCTCATTTCTTCCCTCTCTTATCCTCTTATTGACTTTTTATCATAGTATTTAAGTATAGTCATGTGTTGCTTAATGACAGGGATATGTTCTGAAAAATGCATCATTAGGTGATTTCATTGTTATGCAAACATTGTAGAGTGTACTCACACAAACTTGGATGGTACACCTACTACACACCTAGGCTATATGGTACAGCCTACTGCTCCTAGGCTACAAACCTGTATAGCATGTTACTATGCTGAATGCCGTAGGCAGTTGTAACACACTTGTCAGTATGTGTATATCTAAACATATCTAAATATAGAAAAGGTAGAGTAAAAATACAGTATTATAATCTTATGGGACCATTGTTGTATATAAGTTTTGTTCTTGACCATAAGGTCATTATATGGTACATGACTGTATTGTTAACTTTACATCATAGTATTTAAGTTGCAGGCTATCGAGAGGCATAAGCATCACCTGAGGACGTTGCATACTCTTTTGGGGAGGGAGTTAGTGCATTTTTGGTTGTATGCAGGACAATTATGATAGGTGAAAGATGGCCTTGTTATCATCTTTGTTTGGAAATTAAGTATGGTTTAAGGAGATGTGTATAGCTGCCCAGATGACAAGGGGTGGACTTGCACTGGCTAATTTTATAGTCAACTTGGCTGGGTCACAGTGTCCAGTTATTTGGTCAAGCATTATTCTGGATGTTTCTGTGAAGGTGGTTTTTGTTGAGATTAACCAAAACTGATAGACTGGGAGTAAAGCAGATTACCCCCCATAATGTGAGTGGGCCTCATCCTGTCGGCTGAAGGCGCTCAATAGAACAATGACTGGCCTCTCCTGAGCAAGAAGGAACTCTGCCAGCTGACTGCCTTTGCAACTTGGACTGACATTCTCCCCCGCGTCTCTAGCCTGCCAATCTACCCTGCAGATTTTGGACTTACAAGCTTCCACAGTCTTGTAGGCCAATTCCTTAAAAATAAATCTCACTGTATATACACATCCTGTTGTTTCTGTTTCTCTGGAGAATTCTGATTAATATGCTAGAAAACCTTACTGAAAGAAATGAAAGAAGACCAAAATAAATGAAAAGATGTTCCATGTTTAGAGGTTGAAAAGTTCGTATTGTTTAGATGTCAATTCCTCCCGTATCTTTTGATGAATTCAGATATAGCTAAACAGTTTTTTTAAAGAGATGAAATTGAGAAGCTGATTTTAAAATATATATGAAAAGACAAAGGACCTGAAAGAAACAGAATACTTAATGAAGAAGAGCAAAGTTCAAGGATTTCAAGAATTCTTTTGAAGCTACAGTAGTTCAGATAGACTGGTATTAGAGGAAGGATGGACAAAGAGAACAGTGGAATAGAACAGAGGATCCAGAAATAGACCCACATGTGGTTTACCACGAAGGTGCTGCTGCTATTCAGATGGAAACAGATGGTCTGGATAATAAACAGAGCAACTGGATACCTGTATGGAAAAAAGAAAACACCTTACCCATATCTTACCCTAAAAATGAAAATTAGTTTAAGTTGGGTCATATACCTAAATGTGAAAGCTAAAACAATTCTGGAAGGAGATAAGAGAGAATGTTTTCATGATCTTGTTTTTCTGAGGTCTTGCTCTGTCTCCCAGCTTGGAGTGCAGTAGCACGATATTAGCTCACTGCAGCTTCAAACTCCTGAACTCAAGCCATCTTCCCACCTCAGCCTCCCACCTCAGCCTTCCAAGTAGCAGGGACTACAGGTGCATGCCACCACACCTGGCTAATTTTTTTTTATTTTCTGTAGAGATGGGGACTCACTTTGTTGTTCAGGCTGGCCTCAACCTCTTGGCTTCAAGCAATCCTCCCACACTGGCCTCCCAAAGTGTTGGGATTATAGGCATTAAGCCACCATACTTGGCCTTCATTTTCTTAATGGACTTAGAAGAGCCTTTTGTAAAACTTGTTTTTACAATTTCTTTTTTAAAAAATCTAAATTGCATAATTGACAAATAATAATTGTATATATTTGTGAAGTATAATGTGAAGTTTGGAGTGGCATGATTAAATCAAGCTAATTAACCTGTCCACCACATCACTTATCATTTTCTGTGGTGAGGCATTTGGTATTTACTTTTAGCGGTTTTGAAATATACAATACATTAACTATATTCACCATGCTGTGCAATAGATCTCAGAAGCTTATTCTTCCTATGTAACTGAAACTTTGTACCCTTTAAACAACCTCTACCCATTCCCCTTCCCCCATGCCCCAGCCCCTGCTAGCCACGATTTTATTCACCATATCTACGAGTTCAACATTTTCAGATTACATATATATAAGTGAGATCATGCTGTATTTGTCTTCCTGTGCCTGGCTTATTTTGTTTTTTACAGGTTCATTCTTCACTGTGAACTCAGAAGTTCACTGCCCCATTGATCTTGAGAAAAATGAAATGTGTGCCATGCTGCAGGAAAGTTAGGAAGGCCTTGGGGTGGATCTTGACAGGCTCATGTTCACCCTGCACATGACTTTGCTTCCCTGCCTCCTAATCTCCGACCCACACCTCATTCTCTTCTCCCTAACCCCTCCCCTATTCTATGTGCCTCAGGGTACAATAGCCTCATGCCCCCCTACAGGAGCTGGCTTTGATTCATCTAATAGGATTTATGCGATCCCACAGCCTGATCTTACCCCAGTGGCTGGCCCTTTACCCAAGTCTATGGCATTCCCTGGATGAAAAACTTGCTTCGGAAATGGGCCTATAGCCTGATTTTGGCCAGTGTGATGGAAGCGGGGCTGTAGGCACCTTCTGGGTAGTGTAGCTCCAGACTTTAAGTCTCTGGAACTACAGAAGCCATTTTGCCGTGGTTCAGAGGGCAGAGGGACAGAAAGAGCCAGTCCACGGGGTCATTGTTGAGTCATTGGATGAAACCCACCCTGAAGACTCTACCAGTCAGGATGAGCAAGAAGATGGGGTGATCTCAAACCATGACCTCAGCATCAACTCGCAAAAGTTAGTTTCTCACTCATGGCCAGCTGTGGGCCTGCGTGGGCTCCAGGGCTGTGCTCCCTGATGGGTGGCAGTGCATTCCAGGCTGTCCTGTGCACCTTCATATCAATGTGTGACTCCACGATGACCTGCCATGGGGAGAAAGGTGGAGACTTACACCCTGGTTCTTAATGCTCCCCCAAAGTAACACACATCATTTTTATTGTTGGTCCTGAAATATGCTTAACTCCAAGGGGTCTCACGTCTGGGAAGGAGATTTTGCAAAGTGCTAGGAATGCCTATGTAGGAGTGAAGGAGAAACTTCCCTTTGGCCCTCTGAAGGCTTGCTGAAAATCAACTGACGAAAGGCAGATTAACAGAGAAAAAAGACAAACAAATGTATTAATGTGCACAGGGGACAATCACAGAGTGATCACCCACTTACTCGGTGCCCTACAGAAGCTCATTTACCCTTTCCTAGGGGTGGAGGTGATGGGAAATGTAGATGATCTTTTGATGGGCAGGAAATCATTAGGGAAGATGAATGGACCCCAAAGGCAGGAGGCAGATGCTCTGGGAAAGTGGGGTCAGAGCTGCACAGGAACAAAGGTTGTCTTATTCTGCAGGTAAAGCCCCCCAGGTAATCTCTTGGAGCTGCTCTTAGAAGAATAGATGAAAAGTCCGTCTGGGCACAGTGAGGACTCTGAGTCTTTTCTCTTCTGTGCTTGATCGTCCTGCTTCTTTAATGAGATTCCTAAGGAGGGAGTCTTAAGACAATTGCATTTAAGCTTTCTTAGATAAGGAAATTCTAGAGAAGAGTCCCTCTTGGTGCTTCAGGAAAGAGTATCAGGGAGACAAAGAGGTGGGGAAAAAGTCAGAGAGAAACCTTGACCCTAAGGCTTATTTTGGAGGCCTTTCAATTGTCAAAGCACTCCGCATGCCAAAGCGCCATATTTTGGGGAATCATTTCCTGTGCCCCAACACCTATCACTGGATCTTCCTTCCAGACTGTGATTCAGGCCAACACTCCCCTTTGTGGTTGAGGTAGCTAAAATTAGGATTTCTGTGGTTATTTTTAACCAAAAGCATCTGACATTTTAACTGAAGCAATTGTTATCATTTTCATTCAAGGGGTGAGGAGATTATCAATATGCTGGGAGCTCAGCTGGGCATGCATTTCTGGATCCTCACTCAGGGAGAAAAACTCACCGACTGTGCGATTGGCAGCAGCTACAAACCAGCACAGTCTGCAGGTCACAGTGACAAGTTTCAAATAGAAACCTGGCATCCAAAAATATACAGCTTTGGCCACGAAAGCATGGGGTTATTCCAAAGTATTCTGAGGCTAGTCTTGCTGGCGCCCACAGTGGCCTATTCTGAGGCATGTTTTAAATAAGAGTCCTGGCAGCAGGCCTCCAAGCTTCAGAAATATAAGCTGGTTCCTCTCATCAGTCACTGACTGTCTCTCCGAATGTTGTCGAATCTGGATGTTCTCAGCAGTTCAATTGTTCTTCACATTGTCCTTTGTGCGAGCCAAGGAACTGAACTTTCTAAGTAAAGATTTAAAAAGCATCCTTGCAATGAAGGTAGAAGGTCTACTGGCTGGGTTGAGCCTCTCTGCTGTCTTCAATGGCATCTGGAACTCAAAAGGCACCTGGAAGCATTTTCCACCTTCCATACATGGGTGCCAGTGTTCAGGCCTGTGCCAGGGTCCCAGGGTCAGGGTCGCCAGGCTCTGCCTTCTCCTGGGATAACTGTTGGCTCCACCCACGATACTATCAGTGCAGTGTTCCTGAGCAAACGTTCAATGGGCAGCATGCAGAAGCCACTTTTGGAATTCCCCCATATGTCTTTTCTTTCCATCTAGCTTCAGAAATATATGTAAACATGTGGAAACCTTGCTTAAAATGAGCTCAATTCTGTGACGTGCTCTCTAAAAAGCATAAATGTATAATGAGAATACATTTAGTCGTGGAATTTAGGGCCATAAAAATGACTCTCTCATCCCGACGACCTCACCTGCCCTCAAGCAGGCTATGCCCTGGCACTCGCCCATGCAGGAGGCAGGTTGGATGCCCTCATCCTCCAAGACACAGATTGGGGATGAGCCTGCAAGCTCCTGCTTCCTCCACGGAGCTGACACAGCTCTCAAAAACACACAGGGCACTGCCCACAGGGCTTCTGTGGGTCGGCCTTGGGCTCACCAATCACATTCATGCCTGATGCCTTGTTGTTCCTTTCCATTGTTACACGTTGGTAGCCCAGCCAGATCAAAAGGAGCCATTTCCATGTTAAAACACAGTCCACCCATCTGTCTTTTGCCTCTTCAGGCTACAGTTCTCGCCCCTGCAGGGACGGTCAAGGGCTCCAGCAGGTGATGTCTCTCTCTGGCCTTCCTGACTCCCCTGACCCTACATTTCAAGGACATCTGTGCAGCCCCTTTCTTATGCCTCCTCCCCTGATCACAATAGTCTAGTTCATGTCAGAGTTCCTGAGTTAAATGCCACATGAACTGTTCTCTAGCATACCAAGCTTCTTTTGTCACTGAATTTTGATAAGGACTCCCTCCTAGCCAGGCTCCTGGAACCCTCTTCTTAACTAAGCCTTGTCCTTGGCCTGCTAAGCCCAGTTTCAATCCCCACCTTTGACAACTCATCAAATTCCTCTTAGTAATTTTTCATCCATTGATCCTGTCTCCTTGCCCGTTGGCTACAAATCCCCAGATGTCATTGCTGTACTTGGAGTTGAGTTCTGTCTCTCTCCCTTATTGCGATAGTCTTGACCCTTAGTGAAATAAGGAAAATGCAAGCCTAAAACAACGAGGCAGAGAACACAAACTGATAAAGCAGCATCCGGGATCTGGCCATAAGTATACAGAATGGCAAGGGCAGATGTTTTTTAACTAGAAAAGATTCCTAATTCTCTTCTTAAAAATAAAATGAAGCCAGGAAAATAAAGGTCTTTAAAAATTAACCTGCTTCTACACACACACACACACACACACACACACACACACACACAAAGTGATTAATTTCCAAACCAGGAGCATAACACTGAAGCGGCATTGTTGTCTGGGGTAAATACCCAAGGTTTGGTGCCTCATGCCAAGGAAATCAAGGACACGGACACACGTGGAATGGGATTAAGAGTGGAACTTTCATAGGCAAAAGAAAGAGAAAGAGAAGGAGAATAGCTCTCTCTCTTGCAAGTGAGAGGGGCGCCTCAATGGGACTTCCAGCATATGGCAGAATGCACCACATTTTATAGACAGGCTTGAGAGGTGGTGTTTGATTTACACATGACCCAAAGATTGGTTGGACCCGTTGTGACATTGAGAGGTGAAGCCCGCTGGGCTTCTGGGTCGGGTGGGGACTTGGAGAACTTTTCTGTCTAGCTAAAGAATTGTAAATGCACCAATCAGTGCTCTGTGTCTAGCTAAAGGTTTGCAAACGCACCAATCAGCACTCTATAAAAACGGACCAATCAGCACTCTGTAAAACGGACCACTCAGCACTCTGTAAAATGGACCAATCAGCTCTCTGTAAAACGGACCAATCAGCAGGATGTGGGTGGGGCCAAATAAGGGAATAAAAGCAGGCCACCCAAGCCAGCAGTGGCAATCTGCTGGGTCCTGTGCGACACTGTGGAAAGTTTATCATTCAGGTTTTTGCAATAAATCTTATTGCTGTTCACTGTTTGGGTCTGCACTACCTTTATGAGCTGTAACACTCACCACAAAGGTCTGCAGCTTCACTCCTAAAGCCATGGAGACCACAAACTTCACTGTTGAAGCCAGCCTGACCACGAACCCATGGGGAGGATCAAACGACTCTATACGTGACACCTTTAAGAGCTGTAATGCACCCTGCGAAGGTCTGCGGCTTCACTTTTAGAGTCAGAAGTGAAGACTCTCCTGGAGACCAGCAAGAGGACGAACCCACCAGAAGGAAGAAACTCCAGACTCATCGGAACATATGAAGGAACAAACTGGATACACCATCTTTAAGAACTGTAACACTCACCCCAAGGGTCTGCGGCTTCATTCTTGAAGTCAGCCCGACCAAGAACCCACCGGAAAGAACCAAATTCCAGACACAACATTTACAAAGCATGCAAGAGGCTGGCAGCCCTACCCGAATGGTGTATTATGCAAATGTGGTCTGTACTGGGCCAGTGCCATGTTGCCTGCTCCCTACTGTGTATGTGATTGACAAGGAAAGGAGAAGACGGAGCAGCCACACAGAACATGTCTTCCCCACCTAGCCTTTTCCTATTGGTGCAGCTCCCAGCGTTCCCCCCCACAAGCTTCCAGCTTGCCTATGTTTGCAAAGTGATTTTAGAGGCTGCTGTTTGATAGAAAAGAAATTATTTTGGGGCGGCTTTTCATTAAAAGGAAAACCTTACCAAGGACGACTTTACCTCACTATCCACCTAAATAATTTCTTCTTAACTCCTATATCAACATCAGAGATAGTGACAGCATGACACCCACTTCCACAACCTCCTTTCCTGATAAGAATTCCGGGCTACTTGTCCAAGCAGGGATTTCACAAAGCTCTTGACAAGCCCTTGTTGAGCAGAGGTCAGCACGCCTCTCTCCAAGCTCCTGGAGCCAAGTGGGCTGTCAGCTGCAGGGTGCCCAGAGTGAGGAAAGGGCCAAGAGTGAGGAAAGAGAAGCACGGCCAAAAGTGCTGCGTCTCTCTAGGACAACTGGTATCTAAATGTGGTTTAGACATCACTGAGACAGTGATGATCGGCCGAGAAGGTGCCCACCAATTTGATTTGGGCAATGAATAACCTTCCAGTGCATATTTATTGACACATGTTTGCTGTGCTGGGCACTAATGTAGGTGCTGTGGAATCCACTGTGAGCAAGAAAGACAATTAACTGTTTAGTAAATAACGATATGAAACAACATCAGGTAGTAACGCTTCCTCTGCACCGCATGCCACTTTGCACAGAACACTCTGTTGCTCCATTTGCAAGGTTCTCAGTACTAGGCAACCTTTCGATCTCAGACCCAAAGCCTGTTCCTCAGCAGGTCTTCCCTGGTCTTCTTACTTAATAAAATGTCATGACTGTCACCACAGGCAGGAAGTATGCAACGGAGCACGGCATAAGCGGACTTATCTTGTTCCAGGAGTTCATGGCCAGGCTAAAAAGGGAAAAGCCAGGCCCCAAAGAGCTCACATGGCTAAGACGGCCCTCGGCGTTGAGGGACTGACAAGCGTTCTTCTTTTTGTTTTGTCTTAAGACTGCTTATTTCTCCGTAGAAAACCACTGAAGAGAACTCGCAGGAACTTCTGCAGACACTAGGAAGAGTTTGTGAGCCTTCAGAGCTACAGGGAAGCCGGTGACTATGCTAAGGTGGCAAAGACGAGGTGACAGGCAAGAGAGAAAGTGCCATGGAGCTGCCAGAGGGAAGCCAGCCCATGCCGCTGCTCCTTAAGGAAAGCCTCTAGTGTGTGGGGCCACTAGGGGACTACTGGGGCTCAAGACAGCCCTGTGGGAGAGGAGGGAGCAGCCCTGACGGTGGAGAGCTGGAGGGGATGGCTTTGCACAGCCAAGGCCGTCTTCTGTGTGGGAACGACTGTGGTGGAGAAAAGGACTTCAGACAGAGGCCATCATCACACCTTCCTGGAGAGAGGCAGGAACGACCACGTAGGAAGTGATCCTCTATGGCTGGAACACCCAGTGTCTGCAGTGCCCAGGAGAAAAGGTTGTCTATGTCCCAGAGAGATGTGTCACCCCAAGAGGGCTGGAATATCAGGGATGATCAGAAGGGGCCAGAAGAGCCACTGACAGGGCCTCAGGGAATGGGAGTGTCTTAGTACAGCCCCAGGTGGATGTCTAACCACCTGTGCAGGGAGACCTTGCGCCATGTGAGGCCTCAAAAGCAGGGAGGGGGACTTGAAGTGGAAACGGAGTTTTACAAAAGTAGAGTTGTGTGCTGGATTTAAACTCACGACACCTGTTTACATCTCTTCTCCACTGGATTAAAAGTTCCTGAAGGATAAAACTCCACATGTCATATTCCTTGCTGTTTCATCAACACTTATTTCAGAATCTAGTAGGCAGCAGGCAGTCAAAGGATGTTTTTTTAGTTGAACTGAAACTGAGTTCTAAAGTCTTGCCCTTTTAGACCATCTAAAAATATTTCAGACCACAGATCCCAGGATTTTTCTTTTCACTCTTGCCATGACCAGTAAATCAACATCCTGGTTGAGACTACGGTTTTTGCAGAGGCTTTGAAGGTTGTTAATGGAGCCATCAGTTGGCCAAAGGACATGAATTTTCCTTGTCCTTCCATAAGGAAGAACTGACCATTGACTTCTGGGAAGAACCATCTGTCTCCACTCGCAGAAGAGATAAGGGTTTCCTTGTCTGACACCAGGAGGTACATTGTGCAACAAAACAGTAGTACAATATCTGCAGAATCCCAAGCAAGGGACAGCAACATCCAAGGGTCTTTTCTTCCCTTTCAACTGCAGAGCAAACCACAAAAATACTATAATGCCTATTGAAGGACAGGGTTACCAAAAAGTGCTCAGATTCAAAGGATTCAAAGAGGTGTCTTTGTTATGTAATTTTCCCCTACTTCTTGGCATTCATCGCCCATTCACATTTTTGTTATACGTCAGCAGTAGTGTAGTGTGTGGGAGCAGCAAGCGCAGCACATCAGGGTCCACATCACAGTGCCCTCCACACCTTCTGACATTTACCCCAAATGACAACAAAACGCCAAATCAGGTCATCACGCCATGTCCAAAAAAGCCTCAGTGGTTGGGGTGACCAGGGGGCAGGCTGCTGGGGGTGAACACAGATTCCACACTCATGCTGGACCGGGCTCCCCAGTGTCACCAAGTGTCCCTGAGAGACTGGTGAGTGCTAGGTGCTCTGACATCTTGTATCCCAAAGCCCCTACTCACACCTTTTCTTTTTCCTTCACCGACCCTGCTCTCCTTCCCATCCTAAATCCTCACCTCTTGAACCATGCCCTTCCACTGCTCCACTGCTGTTTTGACCTCAAGTACCTACAACACTTTCCTTTTGTGAAGTTATTTGGCCATTTCTCCACCCTCATTCTTTTCTTCTGCAGTTTTAAACTTGTTTTAATTTTTAATTAGGCTGTATATGCAGAAAGGTCAAAATTGTTCAACAAGTTTCCCTCGCAGCTTTGGCCATCAATTCTCCTCCTTCTGTGGCCGTTACTGCTAATCAGTGTTGTAGGCTGAATTGGGATCTTCCCAAAAAAGATATGTGGAAGTCCCAACCCCTAGTATCTGAAGGTGACCTTATTTGGAGACAGTGTCATTACAGAGGTAATCAAGTTAAAATGAGGTCTTAGGGAGGGCCTTAGTTTAATTTCTTATAAACTAGATTGGGTTCTTATACAAAGGGAAAATTTGGACAAGGAGACACACAGACACACACAGAAGGAAGATTATAGGAAGACAGAGAGGACGGCCTTCTACAGGCTAAGAAGAGAGGCCTCAGAAGGAATCAACCCTGCTGACACCTTGATCTTGGACTTCCAGACTCCGGACAATATATTTCTGTTGTTTAAACCACCCGGTTGTGGTACTATGTTAACGACAGCCCTAGCAAACTAATACAACCAGTTTCTTGTGTACTTGTATCACCAGAGATAGCTATGGATCAACAGGGTTTTACAGTCATTTTTTGTTTGTTTGTTCTACTCACATGGTGGTCTACTGTGCACATGTACTTGGCTATACTTTTTCCACTTCACCAGATCTCAGTGATAATGTCCTATCAGTTCATACAGACTACTTCATCCTTTTAAATACATGCACAGTCAGCCAGGCACGGTGGCTCACGCCTGTAATCCCAGCACTTTGCAAAGCGAGGTGGGCAGATCACCTAAGGTCAGGAGTTTGAGACCAGCCTGGCCAACATGGCGAAACCCCGTCTCTACTAAAAATACAAAAATTAGCCCAGTGTGGTGGCCCATGCCTGTAATCCCAGCTACTCAGGAGGCTGAAGCAGGAGAATCGCTTGAACCTGGGAAGCAGAGGTCACAGTGAGCCCAGATCGCACCACTGCACTCCCGCCTGGGTGACAGAGAAAGATTCTGCCTCAAAAAACAAATACGTACATATATACATACAGACATGCACAGTCTTCCATTCTATGGGTGTTCCATGTCTGCTTAGACCCCAGTGGATGGGAATTTAGATGATATTCCTAATTTCTTGCTACTGCAGAAATGCTTCAAAGACTAACATTGTACATACGTCATTTTACACATGTGCAAATACATGTGCAGGATTAAATCCTCAAAGTGGAATCACCCTATGAAAACGTCGCTAAATTTCTCTCCATACAGTTATAGCAATTTACACTCCTATGAGCATGTAGGTTTCCCACAACACAACATCCTCAGCACGGTGAATAATCAAACTCTGAATGACGGCAAATCTAGCAGTGAAAACTGCTATCTTGTAGTTATTTTGGGTAAAAAAGTATTTCTTTTTCTTTTAACACTATTTGTAGGTGTTAATCAGTTTTCTATTGGCTTATAGTCCTTACTGATATTAAGAAATATTTGTGCTATAAATTGTAAATAATTTCCATAGTTGTCATCGATCTTTGAATATTACCTAAGGTAACTTTTTTCCATGCAGGTGTACTTGAATTTTCCCTTCTCCTTTTGTTCCTTCCTTCCTTTTTTCCTTCCTTCCTTTGTTCCTTCCTTCTCTCCTTCAATAACTATATAATACAGAACCCAAATACATCACCCAACATGGAATTTTACCCAACAGATTGGTGGTTTCCAGATTTTTTTTTTTTTTAGACAGAGTCTTGCTCTGTTGCCCAGGCTGGAGTTCAGTGGCACAATCTTGGCTCACTGCAACCTTTGCCTCTCAGATTCAAGTGATTCTCCTGCCTCAGCCTCCTGACTAGTTGGGATTACAGGTGCGTACCACCATGCCCGGCTAATTTTTGTACTTTTAGTAAAGACAGGGTTTCACCATGTTGGTCAGGCTGGTCTCAAACTCCTGACCTCGTGATCTGCCCACCTCGGCCTCCCAAAGTGCTGGGATTACAGCTAAGAGCTACGGCACGGCGCTTGGCCAGTTACCAGATTTTTTTAATTTACAAAGCACTAAATTAAAAGTGGGGGGAGGGTCTTTTTATTTTGCCAGTAATTACCTAATGTTTTAAAATAATTTATTGTCACAATCATTTGATTAAGAAAAAATGTTTTAACTTCAGAAAAAGTAAGAAGGACATAATCTCAGGTTGATTATAGTTTATTTTCTGAAAACAGTACAGTCGTCCCTTGGTATCCATGGGAGACTAGTTCCAGGAACCCCCCTGGATCCCAGAATCCATGGATGCTAAAGTCTCTGATATAAAATGGTGTTGTATTTGCAGATAACCTTCACACATCTTCCCATTTCTAGATTACTTACAATACCAAATACAATGAAAATGCAATGTTGATAGTTGTCATACTGTTTTGTTTAGGGAATAGTAACCAAAAACCTCTGCACTTGTTCAGTACAGATGCATTAAAATTTTTTTGTTTTTTGCTCTGCAGTTAGTTGAATCCAGGAATGCAGAACCCATGGATATGGAGGGCTAACTGTACATTGTCCTGCTTTATTTGTTTTTATGGAAGCTGTTGAAAACTTCATTGTTCAGGGACTGGCACGTGGAGACCATTGCTTTGGAGATTTTTTTTTAAATAAAAAAATGTAAACAGCTATTCAGGTCAGGTCACCATTAAAAGGACCAAGAGACAGGCAGGTTTCCTTACTCATGCAAACGCTATCGGAAGTCTGCCCAGATCTCAACACATTACCTATATATGGTATGCATGTTGCATACACACCATACAGGATGCTGTACACATGGATACTAGTCCCGTGTACATCTATAATACACATCTGGGTGGCAAGACAGTAGCCCTCTCTCTCCCCTGTGTTAAAGTCACATACACATGGAAAATGCAGTATGCAGCTGCTGAACGGAGCCTTTTCTGCAGGCAGGGCAGACTTCCAGCGCTTGAGTATCTCCTCCTAAGGCAGCAGGATCAGTGTATGCCAGGCGTCATTCTTGGGGTGTGAAGCAGAACCTGCCACTGCTTTTGGAGGCGCACACTTCCAGGTGGAAGGGGATCTGAAAGGATGTAAGGAAACGGGATCCAGGGATGACTAGGTGGAAGGTGCGCTATTCTAAAATCCCTCTGCCTTTAAATTGCTTTTCAAGCAGGACGGTGGTTTTGTTTGCTTGCTTGTTTGTTTTACCACACTTACCATCTCACAGAGAGAGGACACAGGAAGAAAGGGAAGCCCAAATTGCTGATAAGGACCAAGGAGATGATCTAGACGGGGTAACCCCTTGGTAGAGGTTGTACACAGCCAGGACAATAGGGACACGGCCAGTGCCCTTGTGATTCAGGGGAAGGAGCACGGGCACCAACAGGAGAGTGGTGGACTTCAGGGGGCAGCCGGTGATTTCAGAGCCAGGCAGCTGGAGTCAGAGGCTCGGGAGCTGGAACGGATCTTGGTATCACCTTCTCTCGCTGCTCATTTTGCTGAGGCTGAGGACAGGCAGGCACAGGAACAGCCAGAGGGACCCACACTGGCCAGTCCGTGGTGGAGTCAGACACAGTTCCAGCCTCTAGCTCAGGTCCCACTCCATACTGCCTCCCTTGGGGACCTGCTCACTCCAGCTCCTTCATGACACTGTTCCTGGCAGAAATGATGTCCTGTGATTAAACCTTCATGCCCATGGCTCACACAGTCTTTGTCCAGGTCCCTGAGCCCACACATGTGTGAACAGCCATTGGAGAGAATCCTTGTAAAGATTCTTGTTTTCCAGGACTTTGGAAAGCAGTTTCTCAACCTACTTGTAGTATATCATGGACATGTATCTTATCCTTACGTTTCCTGATAGATATTTTATTTTCTTGGCTTTGGCACCTGAATCAGTGGTTCCTAACCCTTTGTGTGCTCTAACCTGTTTGAAGAACTTGATATAATCCAATAGTCAATAACAGAAAGTCCCACCTAGTGGGGCAAAGTGGTGGAAAGGCCTTTTGTGATTTGCAGACCTATCTCCTCCCCCACTGCAATTAAAAATCAGTATTCTGAAGTGTAGTAGAATATGTGTCTTATTCATATATCACACATTTGAACAATAATAGGAAATGTGTCTTATTAGTGTGCCCAGGATTTAGCACATAGTACTAGGCACAAAGTAGGTGCTCAGGAAATGTTTGCTGAATCTATTTGAGTGGTAGATGAGCAAAATATTCATTGAGTGAATTGATGGATGAATAGACATGCAATTTTAGATGCAATCCAAGGACAATCCACCCACCCATTTAGTAATCGGGTAGCACCTCTTCATCCCAACAGCTGAGGGCTGGGGCAGAGATGTCTGGGGGAAACATGACCCTCTCCCCCAAATATCAGTATTTCCAGGTTCTGGGTTCTGGGCTGTCTTTTCCTGCCCATGACAAGTTGCTTGACTTCTCCAAGACCTGGATGACAGCCCAGGCTAAGAGGTGAGAAGCCTAGAGAAGATGAGAGGTGTCACTGTGAAAACAAAATCCTGGGCTGCACTGGTGTGTGCACCCCCACACTTGGGCAGCCCAAAAATTAATCAACCAGGAAGGGCTGCATCTGACCGCATCTTGGGTCAGCGTTTGTAGGGTTCTCTGGAGGCTGAGGTCATTGGTGTCTACTGGCCTCTCATCACCACTGTTTCCATGAGTCTTCCTCATTTGAACCCCAGGCCCCACTCCTTCTGTAGTTTTCCAGATCTGTCCCTTACCTGCTGTATCTGAAATCTACAGGTGAGGGAAGCCCCAAAGCCCATCGCTGGTTTTCTCACCTAAATTGAGCCTCTCCATCCAGGGCAGGAGTCCAACATCCTGGAATCCCCAGGCCCACCACTGCCTTTCCATCAGGGGCCTCCTGAAGGGGATCTGTCCTGGCAGAGAAAGGTCCTCTCTCCTGGGCTGCCCTGGGCCACAGATCTTCCTCACCTGCATGTGTTGGGAATATTTATTTCTAATCCCACTTAAATGCAAGACACTGGCTTTTGAGAAAAACACTGGTTTTATGAATGCCAAGTTTCATTCCTCACAAGCCTTCTCTTCTTTGCCACCTGGCACATGCCCACACATCGTCTGTGATCTCACACAAACGTCTCTCCCTAGAGAAGTCTTCAATGGCTCCTCCAGACTCACCCGTGCCCTCTGTGCATGCTACTGGGACAACTGGAGGCTGTGATGAGACATTCCACATGCAGGCCTGCAGCCCCTCGCACTGTACGTGCCTGGCCATGCCATTCATCTCTGTATCCCTGTGTTTGGTATAGAGCAGGAGGCTCTATGTTGGTGAAGGAGGAACATTTTTGTTGCTTTTTACATCTCTGTCAGAATTATGTCCCTCCCTCATGAAAAATCAATATGGGAAAGACGTGGTTTCAGACAACACATACCTAAAGGTTATGCAAGTAAAGCCAGGAAATACCTGCAGCCTTTCCATGCAATTAGGAGTTGGGAGAAGCTCCTTTTTTGTTGCACACCTGGGGCTGAGGATGAGCGCTGCGGCCACCAACAGTCAGGATGGCGATGCATAAGGACTGACCTCATGGGAAGTTGGCTGGAGCAGCACGTGACGGCTGTGTCCAAGACTTTTAGCTATGGACTTTGCAGAAATAAGTGAAGGTCATGCAAATGAAAATATGCTTATAGCTATAGAAATGTTTATAGCTATGATAAGAGGTCTGGCAGGGGCAGTAGGATAAAACCACGAATATGGAAGGAAGCCAGGAGCGTAGCCTTCCTTACAACCTCATGCCTACCTAGTGGTTTCTGGAAGTGACTTTCATCCTAATGCTTACTCCTCCCCCCACAAAGAACAGTGTAACTTTTTCATCTCTAGTCTTTCATCAGTATGGCAAAAAGAAACTCATGGACATGCCCTGCTGCATTTTGTTTATACTGATACAAAAAGCCCTAGGCCTTCACACATGCTTGCTTTAGACATCTTCTTCCCATTGGTTTTCTTCAATATATACAGAAAGCAGTTTTGCTTTAGAAAGTATCTGGACCATTGCCTTGCCTATAATCAAAAATACTAGAATGAGACTTTGGTCTAAGATGAATAATACTATAATAAGTGTATGAAAGAATGATGTAAATGCTTTATTTTTAACACTTTTAAAAGAACCAAGCAAATGCAGGGAGCCAAAAGCCCCCTGTAGATCACTTATGACACAGCAGATGGAGGGAATACCTGGACCCTCTGAACACTGTTCCTTCTACCTGCACCCGCTGGGAAAGGATGAACTCTCGCTCACTTCCGGAAGACCGGGTTTGGCTGAGTGGACAAGAAAGTTGGACAGTATTTTTGAAGGTCTGTTGGGAAATTATTATTTGAACCCAGACTCACTGACACATAGTTGTTTGTATCGAATTTCTTCATGCAATCCCTTGTTAGAGTTCTCTAAAAAACACTCAAGTGGACAAAGGCGATGACTTACCATCCACATCCTTCTTCCAGGCTGTTCTTCAGATCTCCTGCGCCCCTCACAGAGCTGAAGGTCCCTAATCCCATGCCTTTTCTGTACCTGATACTTCCCAGTTCCAAACTCACGTTAATTTAGATAGCTGAGTCTGAGTGAGAAAATACATGAGATTAAAAGAGAGAATTCCATAGGAGGAGGGAATTCATGGGTATAACATTTGCAAAGCCAAGGAATAATAGTAATAGCAAGGTATAGTATTTACTCTCTGCCAGGCACTTTTTAACACTGTTACTGTCCCCTCTCTACAGATAAGCAGACTGAGGCAAAGACAGGCCAAGTAGATTGTTTAAGTAGAATTGTTTAATTGTTAAGTGAGCCAGGAGGTGAAGCCAGGTGGCTGGGTGTCCACATTCAACTCTAAAGCAATCCCTGCCTCTCTGGGGTAGCAACATAAAGACCAACAGCCTTAGGAATGCAATGAATGGGACAGGATTTGTTTCCCACCTAGTTGAAATGACAAAGACTGAGAATTTCAGCCCCAGAAGGAATTTTTGAGTCATTTTCAGGTTTTTATGAGAACTCTTCACCAAGTAAAATAATACAAAATCATCAATGCATGATTGCTTGTAGCTCCACCAAGATGGAGCAGTCCCACTCCTCCAGGTCCTCCTCTCAAGACAAAAAATGCCCTGACACAACACAACAAATGCACTTGGGGAGACTGACAAGGGGCCGCTGCCTAGGAACCTGGGAAACCACACGTGGTGTTGCCTCCCAGTATCCCAGGCGCAGCCACAGAGCCTCCCGCCAGACCACCACAGGCACAGACTCAGAAGGCCCCAGGCAGGCTGGCATGCTAAGCCTCGGGCCAGGAAAGCTGAGCTAAGGACAGAAAACCTTTTGGCAATGCCACCCCTACTCCAGTCAAATATCAAGAAAAAAAAACAAACCACTCCTACCTGTGTCGGTGGCCTGGCAGGTGCTGATTTTCCACCTGCCCCCTCTACCACAGAGCAGGTGGTGGCCCGCTGTGGTGGGGTTGAGCAGGGAGCTCATGGTGCACCCTCTGCCCGGGGACACAAGTGAGACACACAAGTCTCCCTGCCATGGTAGAGTCAGGGGGTCCAGGGTGAGTTGAGCCTCTACTCCCATGACGGAAGTCAGCCCTCTGCTTCTCACTCCCCAGGGTCAACAGAGCCTAGCAAAGAGCTGAGCTGAGCTCCTGAACCTTGTAGGCAATGAGGTGGTGTGAATTAGTGCCCAACTTCTACCCAGAAGGGGTCAACAACGAAGAAAGGCTGAACCTTTATCCCCTGCAGTCCAAGGAGGTGGTGTGAATTTGGCTTGCTCAATGTTCACACTGGTACTGGCAGGGCTCAGTGGGAAGATGGACACAGTCACCCACCTGGCCCTTGTGCTACCTCCAGGGGCAATGCTTGCTAAAAAAGATGATTGGATAGGATGTAGAGGCTCATAGCCTAATATCCAAAAAGGCTAGGCTACAACTGAAAACTCCACAAAAGCCAAGAACCAGGAGACCACAATTTGAATGAGAAAAGGCAATATCAGTTTTTGGAATGTTCTGAAAAGAACTTTAAAGCAGGCATCATAAAAATGCCTCCACATGTGGTTAAAATTCTCTTGAAACAAACTGAAAAAATAGAAAAATGCAGCAAAGAAATAGAAATTATTTTTTAAAAGAACCAGATGCAAATTACAGAACTGCAAAATAAAATAACTGAAATGAAAAACAAGCTGGAAAAAATAATAGAGTGGAGACGACAGAGAATAGAAACAATAAACTTGAGGACACGTCAGTGGCATTAACCCAGTCTGAACAACAGAGAGAAAATAGACTGAAAAAAAATTTAACAGAGGTTCAGGGAACTGTAAGACAATAAAAAGAGTTAAGATTTGGGCCGGGCGTGGCGGCTTATGCCTGTAATCTCAACACGTTGCGAGGCCGAGGCAGGCGGATCACCTGAGGTCAGGAGTTCAAGACCAGCCTGGTCAACATCGTGAAACCCTGTCTCTACAAAAATACAAAAAAACTAGCTGGGTGAGGAGGTGCATGCCTGTAATCCCAGCTACTTGGGAAGTTGGGGCAGGATGATAGCTTGAACCCTGGAGACAGAGGTTGCAGTGAGCCAAGATCACACTACTGCACTCCAGCCTGGGCGACAAGAGCATGACTCTATCGCAATAAAAATAAAAATAAAAAATAAAAAGAGCTAAGATTCAAATCACTGAAGTTAAAGAAAAAGAGGAAAGAGAGGGTGGAACTGGAAAGTGTCAGAAGAAATAATGTCTGAAAATTTCTCAAATTTGGTAAAAAATATAAATGTGCTGCATGAGTTTCCTGTGCTGCCATAACGAATCACCACAAAC
This sequence comes from Homo sapiens, assembly GCF_000001405.40. Taxonomy (NCBI): domain Eukaryota; kingdom Metazoa; phylum Chordata; class Mammalia; order Primates; family Hominidae; genus Homo; species Homo sapiens. The sequence continues at coordinate 25,554,391 of NC_000015.10, read as the reverse complement.
CTCTTGTCTTAAAAGAGCAGAAATGTGTTCTCTCACAGTTCTGGAGGCCTGAAGTCGGAAATAAAAAATCACTGGACCAAAATCAAGGTGTCTGCAGGCTCCGAAAGCTCCAGGGAAGACTCCATGCCTGGCCTCTTCCAGCTGCAGGCTGTTGGTGTTCTTGTTTGTGGCTCCGTCACTCCAGCCACTGCCTCCATGATTACATTGCCTTCTCTTTTCTGTGTTTTCTCTGTGTGTCAATTTTCTCTTCTTTTCTTTACAAGGATACCTGTGATAGTATTTAGGGTCCACCTGAGATAATCTAAGATTACTCCTTTATCTCAAGATTCTTAACTTAATCACATCTGTAAGACTCCCCACTCCCACCTTTTTTTGGTGACAGGGTCTTACTCTGTCACCAGGCTGGAGTGAGTGGTGCTCAATGTAGCCTTGACCTCCCGGGCTCAAACGATCCTCCCACCTCAGCTTCCCAGTGCTGGGATTACAGGCATGAGCCACGATGCCTACCCGAAAGACCCTTTGTTTTTTTTTTTCATATAAGGTAATGTCCACAGGTTCCAGGGATTTGACATGGATATCTTTTTTTGAGGGGGGGACTGCATTTGTCAGCCCACCATGCCTACAGATTCAAGAAGCTTGAATCCCAAATAAAACCCAAAGTCCCTAACAAGACACAACGTAATTAAACTTGTGAAAACTAAAGATAAAAATCTTCAAAGGAGCCAGACAGAAATGACACATTACTTAGAGGCAATAAACAATCTGAATTATAATTTATTTCTTGCCTGAAATAATCAAGACCAAAAAGAAAATTTTAATATGTAAAAGTCAAAAGCATAAAACAGCAGCCCTGCTCTTGTCAGGGGTAGGTTCTGGGTGATACCCAAGCCTCACCTAGTTACCTACCCATACAAACTCTCACCAAGACTGTTTCATGACTCCTAAGTCTTAGCCAAGGATTTTCACAAAGGTATGCAAAAATGTTAAATTTTAACGGTCTCATGTTTTTCAAGATCTGTTATTCAAAATTACCTTTATTCACTGTCTAATAGATCAACTACCTCATATTCATGATCTGACCAAATGACTTAAGCAGTGAATATGGAATTGATAGGAACAACACATTGGGCAGTGAGCCTAGTGCTTCTCAAACTTTTTTTTTTTTTTTTTTTTTTGAGATGGAGTCTCCCTCTGTCGCCCAGGCTGGAGTGCAGTGGCGCGATCTGGGTTCACTGCAAGCTCCGCCTCCCGGGTTCACGCCATTCTCCTGCCTCAGCCTCCCGAGTAGCAGGTACTACAGGCACCCGCCACCACGCCCGGCTAATGTTTTGTGTTTTTAGTAGAGACAGGGTTTCATCGTGTTAGCCAGGACGGTCTCGATCTCCTGACCTCGTGATCCGCCCGCCTCGGCCTCCCAAAGTGCTGGGATTACAGGCGTGAGACACCGCCCGGCCACTTCTCAAACTTTAAAATGGAATCACCTGAAGCTCTTCTAACTCAGTTCGTCAGGGGGTGTGGGAGGAGCTGAGAGTCCACATTGCTAACAAGCTCCCAGCTGATGTTTGTGCTGTGGGATCTGGGACCATACGCTGAGTAGTAAAGACCTGAGCACAAGGCCACTTCTGTGAGTTTATGATCAGTGTATGCATATGTATTAACGCCAGTAAAAGGACAGGATCTTTGAAATTAGGAAAATCTGGTTTTAAATACATTTTGCCCTTTCCAGATGACTGACCTTAAAAAAGGTATCTACCTCTCTGAGTCTGAGTTTCAACATATACCCAATGAAGGTATTTTAGTAATTGACTCATGACACTACCTGATTTCAATGCTTACTATAAAATGACCATAAAAATAAACATATTGATCAATGGAACAGAATACTGTTCAGAAATACCAGCACTTACATCTTCCACTGATATTTTAACTTTTGAAATAAATATTCACAGGAGGTTGCAAAGGCAGCACACAGGTCTCATGGATCCTTAACCCAGTTTCTCCCCCATAGTCACATCTTACATTATTACAGTGCAATATCAAAACCAGGAATTTGACATTGATACAATGTGAGTGCATAGTTCTGTGTCGTTTTAGCACATATGTAGATTCGTGTAGCTACCACGACACTCAAGACACAGAACTATTCCATGACCGCAAAGATACCTTTGTGCTAGCCCTCACTACCAATCTGTTTCCTGTCTCTGCAATTTTATAATTTCAAGAATGGTATATAAACAGTATTATACAATGTGTAACCTTTTGATATTGGCTGTTTTTCACTTAGCATAATGCCCTTGGGATACTTCCCGGTCATTGTATCCATAGTTCATTCTATTTTGCTGCTGAGTAGTACTCCATGGTATGAATTTGCTCCAGTTTGTTCAGCCATTCACCTATAAGGGACATTCTGGTGTTTCCGGTTTTTGGCTATTTACAAATAATGCTGCTGTGAACAATTATGTACACAATTTGTGCAGACATAAGTCTCCATTTCTCTGGGATAAAAGCCCATGATTGTACACTAAGTGTTGTGTGTGTGTGTGTATGTATATATATATACATATTTTTTTTTTTTGAGATAGGGTCTCACTGGAGACTGGAGTGCAGTGGCACGATCTCGGCCCACTGCAACCTCCACTGCACAGATTCAAGTGATTCTCCTGCTTCAGCCTCCCCAGTAGCTGGGATTATAGGTGTGTGCCACCATGCCTGACTAATTTTTGTATTTTTAGTAGAGACAGGGTTTTACCATGTTGGCCACGCTGGTCTCGAACTCCTGACCTCAAATGATCCACCCACCTTAGCCTCCCAAAGTGCTAGGATTATAGGCGTGAGCCACCGTGCCCGGCTGCTAAGAGTATATTCACTTGTTTAATAAGCTGCCACAATGTTTTCCATAGTAGCTGTAGCATCGGGTACATTCCCACCAGTAAGGTATGAGAGATTCGGTTCCTCTTCTACAGCATTTGGTGCTGTCACTATTTTTTATTTTAGCTGTTCTAATAGGTGTGTAGTGATATCTTATTGTAGTCTTAATCTGCATTTCCCTAATGGCTAATGATGTTGAACATCTTTTAATGTGTTTATTTGCCATCTGCATTTCTTTTTTTTTTTTTAGGGGACAGGCTCTCTCTATGTTACCCAGGCTGGAGTGCAGTAGCACCATCATAGCTCACTGCAGCCTGGAGTTCCTGGGCTCAAGTATTCCTCCAGCCTCTGCCTTCCAAAGTGCTGGGACTATAGGGATGTGCCACCATGCCCAGCCATTGACATTGTTACTATGTTATGTCTTCAAATCTCTGATCATGAAATAGCTCTCTATTTCCATCTTGTTTTCCTTTCTTCCATTAGCATTTTATAGTTTTCAGCATGCCAGTCCTGTAAATGTTTTGCTAGATTTAAAACTATGTATTTCTCCCTTTTTATTTTGAATTATTGTTAATGGTATTGTATTTTTAAATTTGGTTTCCACGTGTCCATTGTTAGTATACAGAAATACAATTGATCGCTGCATGTTGATTTTGTAGCCTGTAACTCTATGGAATTCACTTATTAGGTCTAGGAATTTTTATATACTCCATGAAATGTATTATTTAGACAATATCTACTGCAAATAGGACAGTTTTATTTCTCCTCTTCTAATATGTATGGTTTACTTTTCCTATCCCTGCCTAATTGAGCTGGCTACATCTTCCAGTTCTGTATGGATTTGCAGTGGTAAGAGTAGAAATCTTTGCCTTGTTCTCAATCTTAGGGATAAAGCATCCAGTCTTCAGCATTAAGTATGATATAGCCGTAAAGTTTTTGTAGATGCTTTTTAACAAGTTGAGAAAGTTCCTCTCTATTCAGTATATTTCTGAGGGTTGTGTCAATAATGGGTTTTAAATTTTGTAAAATGCTTTTTCTGCAACAATTGATATAATCATGCGATTCTTCTTTAACTTATTAATATGGTTATTTTCAAATATTCACCCAGCCTTGCATCACTAAAATAAATTCCTCTTTGTCATGGTATATAGTTGCTTTCATATACTATTGCATTATATTTGCTAACTTTAAAAGGATTTTTGTATCTAAATTCATGACAGATATTGGTCTACGGTTTTCTTTTTGTACTGCGTTTGTCTGGTTTTAAGAGCAATGTAATACTGGCCTTACAGTTTGAGTTGATAGATTTCCTGAAAGAGATTGTGTAGAACTGGTATGAAACTATGTGGGCCTACAGATTTCTTTTTGCAGAATTTTAAATTTATGAATACTCTAAGTATTACATTACATATATGTAACTTATCACCATATACTGGTGCCAACACTTTACCACTTCCCTCCTTTACCACTTTCCCTCCTTTGTCAATTTACCCTTCCCCATTTGTAATATATTTGTATGAAATCGTTCCCTAATAGATTGAGAACTGCATTAGACATCGTTACAATGTTTTGCTTTAACGATCAAACATGACTTAGAAAACTCAAAAGAAAAAAAATCTATTGTATTTACTCATATTTTTATTTATTTTTTATTATTCCTCGATTTCCTACATTCTTCATTTATCATTTTCTTTCTGTTTCAAAAACTTCTGTTAACAACAAATTCTCTTAATTTTTCTTCATATGAGAATGATTTCCCCTTCACTCAGAAGAAGATTTTCACTGGATACAGAATTCTGGACTGGCAATTCTTTTGTCTGTACTGGAAACATATTGTATCACTTTACCCTCATCTCCATGGTTTCTGACATGACATCTGCTGTCATTCTAATTGTTTTTCTCCTAAATATAATGTATCACTTCTCTTTGGCTGCTTTCAATTTTTTTTCTTATTTTTTACTTTCTATTGTTTGACTAAGATGTGTCTTGGTGTGGATTTCTCTGGTTTATCCTATTTGAAATTTTCTCAGTTTTATGAGTCTGTAGGTTTATGAGTTTTGCCATTTGAAAAATTTTCAGCCACTAATTCTTCTAATAATCTTTTGTCCCCACCCCCATCCTCTTATTATGTGCCTATAATGACATGAATATTATATTTTTCCCTATACTCATGTCTCTGAGGATTCATTTATTTATTTGAAATATATTTTCTCTCTGTTGTTCAGTTTGGGTAATTCGCTTGTTCTGTTCTCAAGTTCACTGATTCTTTCCCCCTCTACTCTTCATTTTGCTGTTGAAGTATTCCTGGTTCTTTGTATAACATGTACATTTAAAATTGATAGTTAGACATTTTGGTTATTATGTTAGGAGACTCTGGATCTTATTTAAACTTTCTGTTTTAACTAGCTTTCTTTGACACTACTCTAGCAGGGGAAGGAGAAGTTCTAGTGGGTACTTTTTTACTGTCCAGTGGGTAAATGCCCAGGTTTACTACTTGACCTCCATTGACGCCTGAAGGGGTAGCTCCTCTGTACTGTGGGGTATTAGTGAGAATGCCAGCTCCCACCAAGGCTACACTAATATGCCCCTGCCTGTGAAGGAGTGGGGCATCTTATCACTGCTCATGTGGCATCCACTAAAACTGTAAGTGGGTGGCCTTAAATGCCACTGAGCAGTGGTGAAAGTTCTGACTCTCATCTAGGCTTCCTCTGCCACCACCCCCCAGCAGGGAGAGGGAGAGTTGCCTTATCAACACTAGCTGAGTGAAGATGGACGTCTAGGCTCCCTGTGTGGTGTCCACTGACACTGTGGTGGGAGAGGAGGGCTGGCTTCCTGTGGGCCCTCTCTGACAGCACTCTGGTAGGGGAGGAAGGGTTGCGATGCGAGTGTGGAAGCCTGTGCTCTGCATTCTATATTTGCTGGTAGGGGTATGGATGGCACCTCAACATTTTTTCTGTAATGTGTGGCGAGAGTAGAGTGTCGATGATCTAAAAGTTTTTGGTTTGTCAAGGTTGCCCCTTTCCTAGTCTTACGGCTAGAGAGAAAACTTTTCTTAGACTTTTGTTGTTATCGTTCTGTGTCCAGTGGTGTTTCCAGGTTGGCAGCTTTTCCACTTTCCAGTCCGAGGTATATGAAGTAAAAAGAAAACTCGTCACCATGTCATTTTCCAAATTTTAAGCTGTACTTATCAGGAGAAATCTAGAAATATACCCCTACTCCATTATTACAGTCATCAATTGGCTGAGATTGATTGATCAAAGAAGTCAAGGTAACACAATAGGAAAAATATGGACTTTCCTGGTGCTGAAACATAATATCAAAATGAACGTAAAAATCAGAATGAACCTTGGCCTTTACTACACTATATACAAAATTAACTCACAATGAATCTTAGACCTAAATGTAAGAATTCCAACTATAAAAACACTTGAAGAAAAACTAAGATAATATCTTTTTTCTATAAATAGAGAGATGGGGTTCCACTGTGTTGCCCAGGCTGGTCTTGAACTCCTGGGCTCAAGTGATTCTCCCACCCTGACCTCCCAAAGTGATAGGATTACAGGCATGAGCCACCACGCCCATCCTAAGATAATATCTTAGTGACTATGGATTTAGCAAATATTTATTAACTACAATATAAAAGTCCAAGTTATAACAGAAAAAAATTAATAAATTGAACTTATTCAAAGTAACAGTTTTGCTCTTCAAAGATACAGTAACAAAAATGAAAAGGTAAATCAAAACCTATATCCAACAAAAAATTTGTGTTTAGAATCTATAAAGAACTCTTATAACTTAATTTGAAAAAGACAAGAAACCCAGTTAAAAATGAGGCCAGGTGTGGTGGCTCATGCCTGTAATCACCACATTCTGGGAGGTCAAGGCAGGCAGATCACATGAGGCCAGGAGTTTGAGACTAGCCTGGGCAACATGATGAAATTCCGTCTCTACTAAAAATATAAAAAGTAGCTGGGATTACAGATGTGCATGGTGGTACACATCTGTAATCCCAGCTACTCAGGAGGCTGAGGCATGAGAATCACTTGAACTCAGGAAGCGGAGGTTGCAGTGAGCCAAGATTGCACCACTGCACTCCAGGCTGGGCAACAGAGTGAGACTCTGTCACGCATACACAAAAAAGAGCAAAATATTTAAGCAAAAAACATATGCAAATGGGCTACGAGCACATGAAAAGATTCTCAATATCATAAGCCATAAGGGAAATGCAAATAAATACCGCAAGGAGGTACCACTATATACCCCCTAGAATGGCAAAAATGAAGTTTGCCCATAGCCACGTGTGAGCAAGGATGTGAAGCAACCAGAACTCTCCATATATTGCCAATTGGAATTAAAAATAAAACAATCACTTTGGAAAACATTTTGGCTGCTTCTTAAAAACTTAAATATACACCAACCATATGACCCAGTAATCCAACTCCTAGGCACTCACCCAAGAGAAACTAAAGTATAGCTCAAACAAAGACTCACATACAAATATTCATAGCAGCTTATTTGTAATATTCCTAAACTGGAAACAACCCAAATGTCCATCAGGAGCTGAAAGGTTAAATACATTTTTATGTATTCATTCAATGGAATATTACTCAGCAAGAAAAATGATTGAACTGTTGGTGTATGCAACAGCATGGGTAAATCTCAAAATGATTACGCTGATTTTTTTTTTTTTAAAGAAAGACCAAGGCCAGGTCCAGTGGCTCACGCCTGTAATCCCAGCACTTTGGGAGGCTAAACCAAGCAGATCACCTGAGGTCAGGAGTTCAAGACTAGCCTGGCCAACATGGTGAAACCCTGTCTCTACTAAAAATACAAAAATTAGCCTGGCGTGGTGGTGGGTGCCTGTAATCCCAGCTACTCAGGAGGCTGAGGCAGGAGAATCGCTAGAACCCGGGAGGCGGAGGTTGCAGTGAGCAGAGATGGCACCATTGCACTCCAGCATGGGTGACAGAACGAGACTCCATTTAAAAAAAAAAAAGACCAAAAAAGAACTATGTATTATATGATCCCATTTATGTAAACTTCTTAAAAATACAAACCAATCTATAGTAACCAAAGAAGGTCAGCTTGCCTGGGAAGAGGGGGCATTATGAGGGAATATGAGAAAACTTTTGTGGATGATGGATATAGTTATTATCTTGATTGGGGTTATCATTTCATCGGCCTCATCAAATTGTGTAATTTAAATTTATGCAGTTGGAATCAGTCAATTATACCTCAATAATACTGGCTGCAAAAAAGCTCATGGATTTGTGCTGAGGATTAAATGAGACAACATGCAAAGCAAGTAGATAAGTGTGTCATTTGGTTTTTCTTCTCTTCTTCCTCCACCTCCTTCTTCCCCCATCTCTACATTTGAAATTAAGTGACTAAGGTGCAAAGAAGAACGTTTCCCCTCCTTCTGCGTGGAGCTTGACAGAGTGTTCTGAACACCACAGATATTTCCTCAAAGCTGAGCCCAACTGTAGCAGTGAGAGCACATTCATTATGTTGGTTTACAGTCAGAGTCACAGAGTAAGGAAAACATTGCTGCTAGGACTTTCATTGAAGTTTTTTTTGTTTTGTTTTGTTTTGTTTTTTTGTTTTTGAGACAGAGTCTTGCTTTGTCGCCCAGGCTGGAATACAGTGGCGCGATGTCGGCTCACTGCAACCTCTGCATACCAGGTTCAAGTGATTATCGTGCCTCAGCCTCCCGAGTAGCTGGGATTACAGGGATGCACCACCATGCCCACTAATTTTGTATTTTTAGTAGAGACAGGGTTGCACCATGTTGGCCAGGCTGGTCTCGAACTCCTGACCTCAGGTGATCCACCTTCCTTGGCCTCCCAAAGTGCTGGGATTACAGGCATGAGCCACCAGCCACCAAGCACCGCCACACTGAAGTATTTTAAAGGACATTATAGCCCCCTTTTTCTCACTGTTGATTCCTTTCTGCTGACTTAACTACATTAAATCCTTGTCTTCATTTTTCTGTCCATCTCTACATCTACTCTATTGGGTTCTGTTGGGATTTGTCTTGAAATCCTTTATAATTCCTAATTTCTGGTCTATTTTTCATGTACTTGTCACAAGAGACTTTAAGCAAATTAACATAATTTAAAAATATAGTGCTAATATTGTATTCAAAGACAACAGCCTTTTTGACAATAACTGTTCATTATTCTCTTTGTCTAACTTTGTCCTTCCCTTCCTCTAGTTCCCCTTTCTTTCCTGGTGAATCATTACATAAATGTGTAGATGCACTCTGACAACTGTGGAATATCAGCATGTGGGTGGGAGGAGAGTGACTCACGGCCTATGAATAGTGAGTTCTGAAAAGTCAGATGCATGGTGCACAGGTGGGAGTTTAATCAGCATTACTGGAAAATGATTCAATCTGATTAACTGGACTTACCAGGTAGAGTCAACCATCCACAAACTTTTGTTAATCACCTGCTTGAGATCAGGCAAGCACTGTAATAAGCTCTTAGGAGATGGAACTCATAAATGCTTATAGAATCTTAAGATGTTCATGTTACCAAAGAGCATGCACGTTAAAAAACAGTTTTAATTCTGTTTTGCACCGTCTGACACCTGGACGTTATAGCTGAATGGGATTTATTATGACAGAATTCCTCAGCAGAATCCAGTAGTCCTATGGATCCTAAACTAAAATGTGTAACCCCATAGAGGCTCTGTGTTGATTTTGCAAGGAATTCCATTAATTTGACAGTGTACTATATCGCATACCCCTTGGTAAAGCCAGTGTAGGTACCTGACCTGGTTATAATATTTATTGTTTAAATTGTTTACTTAGCTAAGTAAATTGTTTAAGTTACTTTTCTGAAGGAATAACAGGACTATCCAAGACCAGGCTTACTTTAGACCGTATCTTAACATTTCTTTTAAAAGATGGATAAAGGCTATTCCATCTGAGCAAAGACTTGTGGAGAGTCTTTGGTTTATCTCGTTATAAAAAGTCATTCAAGAATTCTATGTGGATTTCTTTTCTTTTTTCTTTAAGATTTTTTTTTCATCTATAGAGACAGGGTCTTGCTTTCTTGCCCAGGCTGCTCTCAAATTCCTGGGCTCAAGCGATCCTCCCACCTTGTCCTCCCAAAGTGCTGTGATTACGGGCACGAGCCACCGGACCCGGCCTCTATGTATATTTCCGAAGGTGGTCTCAGGTCACCTGTGACAGCATATAATTCAACTGGAATGCCATCTAGATTTTATCTATCCTAATGTAATTGAAAATGTTTTGGCTTAGAACAGTGTCTTGTTACTTACGGTAATGACCAAATCCTTTGGCATTTGCTTAAATCATTTAGTGACTGTGTGTGTCAATGTTATGCTCCACACCTGTTGCTCATCTTTATACAAAAGAGATGAGGATTAATTGGACAGCTCTGGGAGAAAGGCCATAAAAGCAGCCTTTAACCCTTGAGGACAGAGTGGCATCTTCATTTCTGTAGGCACCCAATCAATATTTGGTGAGGGAATGAATTGGCAAACATATGGGCCACAATCACAACTATGATTTGCTGCCATGATCCTTCCAGTAGCCTGTCTTCATGGTGCTGTCTGGGGTTAGCCATCTTTTTGTCCTGTCCCCAGGCACCAAACACAGGCTGATTTCATTAGCTGTAGCTGCCTATTCTCAGATTCCACATTTCCTTTAAGGCCCATGAATGACAGCAGAAGTTCTAAGGCACAAAAACAAAAAAAAAAAGAGAAAGGGAAAATGAAAAGAATAAAAACTCAAAGAAGGACCATGAGGAAGGAGAAAGAGGAAAAGAACAGCAGAGACAGGGAAAAACAGGGTGACTGAACTAAAGAGACTGGTAGGAATAAAGGGGAAGACAGGACAGACACTGCTTGGAGGATGAGAAGTTGGAATTTTCCCAGGGGGTGGAAGGATGTAAAAGTCAGGGAAGAGACTCAGGAGAAACCACAGATGACCAGGGCATTGGGAGCAGCCCACTAACTCCTGAGCAGTTGAGGGTCCCTGGCTAGCTCTGCGTTTCAGCCCTCACAATAGAGTGGACAAATGTGTCCTCTTTGCCTTAGATGCCACTTACAGTCTGACCCAAATGAAAGAGAGAAGAGGAATGAGACTCTTTCCTCTTGAGTTCTGTTTTACCAAACCTTGGCTCACAGCCCAGATCTTGGAAATAGGCCATCTCTGATCAAGCAGTGCAGCCTGCAGATGAAGAACAGATCTGGGCTTGGCTCAACTAAAAGGGCACAAAACAAAGGCAGTAGAAACCTGCAAAAAACAAAAACAAATCCCAGACCCCAAACTGCCCAAACCATTTCTTTCAAGTAGTTCAGAGCCCTGCCCCCTGAGGATAAATTCAGAAAGAAGCTCCGTGGCTCCTATTTCAACTCAGGAGCCACTGGCCTGCCTAAAGTTTGCCCAATTAGTGGTGAAAGTAGAAAAGGACATTAGGGGTCCTCAATTCTAAGCTGTGTTAAACTTTTTCTTTAATCTTTTTGCCTTCATTTTAAAAAAATTAATACACTCCGTCACAAACTCATGATTGGTTTAAAATCACCACTATCACTTACCCACTTCATGCAAAAGCTTGGAGCATTTTGAGAGATCATCCTAAGTGTCTGTCACCACCAGGCAAAGACCTCATGGAACATGCAATCTAAATTATTCAAGTGCTCGGTAAAGATGATGCAGACACTGTGCTGAAAATCCCATGTGGGCAGACAGGCTCCAACTCTGCATCTTCACACTGCTTCTCCATGGAGGAGGGGAGATTCATTCTTTGAATTAGTTGCCGCTGAGTGGGTCAGAGCTATCATGAGACCAAATTCTTGATTAAAGGATGAAAAAGGGGAGAAAAAGACATGCTGAGTGAATGACCAGCATAAAGAAATTTTATGCCTTATGAAGATTTGACCCTCTGAGGTAGATTTAGATGCTCAAGTAATTGATCAACATTTGGTTTGTGACTTTATACTGGTGTTTTTATGCCTTATATTGTCAATTTTTTATCCAATGTAAGTGTCAAATATATGCTTTTCTTGCCCTACTATTACGCAATTCAAGTCAACTCAGCAAATGTTTATTGACTCTCTCTTCCCTGTCCAAACTCTGTTGTGCTGAATTTTTTTTTTTTTTTTTTTTTTTTTTTTTGGCGACTGTTTCACTCTTGTTGCCCAGGCTGGAGTGTGGTGGCACAATCTTGGCTCACTGCAAACTCCGCCTCCCAGGTTCAAGTGATTCTCCTGCCTCAGCCTCCCAAGTAGCTGGGATTACAAGCCCCTGCCATCACACCTGGCTAATTTTTTATTTTAGGAGAGACAGGTTTCACCATGTTGGCCAGGCTTGTGTCGAACTCCTGACCTCAGGTGATCCACCCGCCTCGGCCTCCCAAAGTGCTGGGATTACAGGCGTGAGCCACTGTGCCCGGCCTGTTGTGCTGATTTTTGTGGGGAATTAGAGATGAATATAAGAGGTTCTCTGCTTTCAGGGTATCGGAATGGCTTTTTCTCTTTTCTACTGCAAATTTCTAATGGATCAAAGTAAGAGTTTAATTTAAATGAAGACCAAGAAACAAGATGGTGAAACTTTAAACTTTTCTGTTAGTAAGAGACCCTAGAAACTACAGCCCATTCCAACCAACGTGATATTTGGTTGTGGTGCCCTGCTGGAGCCCTTGCTCAAGTCCCAGAAGCTGTGACTGGCATTGTGGACCGGCTCACCCAGTATGAGCTCTCTACGACAGTCTCTCCTGCCCACCAGAAAGGGCCGCTTTTCTGGTAGAGGACATGTTCACCTGTTGGAGGGAGCCTAGGGGAAAGCTTTGTTGTTAACAGAGCAGACACTGATGGTGCCACCCACTCCCAACTTTGTGCTGCCTGCCATGCAGTTTCAATTCCCAGAGTGTGTCAGTCATCTTGTGACTGTGAGACAAAGACCAATGGAATGACAGAGATATAAATTGTGCCCTGGAGAGGCTAAACCCCTGCCAGCAGCTATCAATTTTCATATTCCTCATTTCCTGAGAAAAGGAAATCCTAATTGGTATAAGCAAATTTTTAAAGGCAATGTTGTGTAATGGTTAATGACAGCAGCTCTTGCACAAGACTTCCCAGATTCAAATACCAACAGTACCACTTACTAGCTGGGTCAGTTGGAGCAAGCTACTTAATCTACCTCTGCCTTGATTTTCTCCTGTGCAAAATGGGGGTCTCTTGGGCTTTGAGGGCTTTTCTGGAACCAAAGTGCCACAGACAACATTGCTCCATTGGAAAAAACCATTTCAATTCACAAACCACCATGGTGTTGTTTGCTTAGCTTCAGAAAAAAACACCAATGAGGAGACGTGGGTTTTGCCACATATTTCAGATTAATTCACACAAGAAAATCTAAGGTGGCTATGGTCATATTATAGGTATTAATATCAATATTGGGTACCATGAGTCTATATGTGCAGCCAAGTTTTCTTTCACTTTAGCGATTTAAAATTGTAATATTTTAGATATTATTAACATTTCCTCCTATTTTCCAAAACAATTTTATATTGAAAAATATAATAATGTAAAAGTGTAAGTTCTCCATAAATTTAAGACAGAGTAGGGACAGGGCTTGGCTTCAACTCACGCCCACTAGAACATTCTTTCATGCACTCACACTGATCACAAAACCCACACCACCACTTCACTACTAATAGTCGTTTTACTTAAAGAATTCCAGGAACTGGCCTTAGGAGATCCAAAATATGGAAGCAAGGTTGTGGAGTGTCCCAGTACAGGAAGGAATGTTGAACAATTGATTTATAACCTTGTTGCCACCAGCCAGACCATCAGGTGGCCCGTTACTCAAGATAACCATCACAACCAGATATGCTGACCTGTGTACCCTACCCCTCACATACTGTGCCCAACCCAGCCTACATATCTATCCCTGATGTCAATTCCCATCCTTTGCCAAAAAAAAAAAAAAAAAGCCCTACTGGCTCTTTTCAGAGAGTCAGCCAGATAGCGCTCTCTCTCTCTCTCTCTCTCTCTCTCTCTCTCTCTCTCTCTCTCTGGTGCTGCCTCCCTTATGCACCAGCATAAGCTCCAGTGAAGCCTTGTCTGGGAAAACTCTCTGATCTCATGTCAATTTCTATTGCATTGGGAGACCAAGAAGGTGGGTAACAACTGATCTATGCAATCTCAATAAAAATCCCAATGAGTTTTTTAAAGGACATTATTAATACAATTCTGAAATTTAAGTGGAAATGCAAAGAACTAAGAATACTTAAGATACGCTTTAAGAAGAATAATGAGGGGAGAGTTTCCTCTTCCACCTATCATGATTTATTATAAAACTGTAATAGTTCAGTTGATGGCATGATATTGTTCCCAAGGATAAACAAATAGACTCATGACAAATGGAACAGATAGCCTAGAAACAGGCCAGTGCATATATTAACCCTTGATTTTTGAAAAGGTGGTACATCAAACAATGGGGAAGAAAACGATATTATTTTATATAAATAGTGTTGGGTCAATTGTATTATTTACCCTTTTGAAAACAGAATTAAAGTTGACCTTCTCACATAAAAAAATCAAGCTTAGGTAGATTGTAGACCTAAATATAAAAGGCAAAACAACATATTTTCAAGGAGGTAATAAAGGAAAATATTTTCACAGTCTTGAGTGTAGAGAAAGATTTCTTAAATAGGACACAAAAAGGGCTAATCATAAATAAAAAGATAAATCATTCAAATCACATTCAAATTAAGAATGTCCATTCCTTAAAAGGCACCATTAAGAGAGTGAGAAGGCAAGCCACAGAGAGAGAGAAGATATTTGCAATTCATGTAATCAACAAAATACTCAGATCTAGAATATCAAAAGCATCCCTAACGAATCCATAAGAAAAGATAGACGACTCTATTGAAAAATGAGCAAGTGATCCAGAGATTTCTCAAAAAATGTACTGTCCTAAATGGGCAATAAATTTATGAAAAGTTTCTCAATCTTGTTAGTAGTAATTGGGAAATGCAAATTAAACTACAACGAGAAAGACGGCCAATCACAAGTGTTTGGTGAGGATGTGGAGCGCACTGTTGCTGGAGCACAAGTTACTGCCACTTTGTTTTTTGTGTTTTGGGGGCGATGGAGTCTCACTCTGTCATCTAGGCTGGAGTGCAGTGGCGTGATCTTAGCTCACTGCAACCTCTGTCTCCTGGGTTCAAGCGATTCTCCTGCCTCAGCCTCCCAAGTAGCTGGGATTACAGGTGCGCATCACCAACATGCCCGGCTATTTTTGTATTTTTAGCAGAGACGGAGTTTCACCATGTTGGCCAGACTGGTCTCAAACTCTTGACCTCAAATGATCTGCCACTCCAGCCTGCCAAAGTGCTGGGATTACAGGCATGCACCACCATGCCCAGCTAATGTTTCACCATGTTGGTCAGCTAGTCTCAAACTCCTGACCTCAAGTGATCTGCCCGCCTCGGCCTCCCAAAATGCTGGGATTACAGGTGTGAGCCACTGCACCTGGCCAGTTACTCTCACTTTGGAAACTGTCTGGCTACATTACTGGAGTTGGAAATAAGTATCACTATGCCTAGGGTGACCATATTTTGAGAGTGAATGTAGGCTTTTACCAGATAGGACAACAGGCATAAATTGGGATTGTTCCAAGCAAACTAGGATGTGTGCTCACATCAATTGTGGTATATTCTCTTACCCAGCAATGCCACTTCTAGGAACGCCAAGACACAGGCCCAAGCAGACACAGAGCAGCATCTTATGTAAGAGCCCCAAACTGGGAACAATCCAAATGCCCATCCACTTAGAGTGTATACATAAATTGTGGTGTATTCATACAGTAAAACATTAGACAATTAGGAATACATCAGCTAGAGATACATGAAACAATATGCTGACTCTCACACAGTATCGAGAAAAAAGTGAGATACAAAAAAAGTGCATGTTGTATAATTTCAGGCAACATAACATAAATCATAGTGCGATAAGTCAGGATAGTGTCACGGTAGCAGACAGTCTAATGCCTTCCCTAAAAGATGTCCACACACCAATCCCCAAAATCTATGAACATGTTACTTTTGAGGAAAGAGCTTTTATCTGAGTAATGCAAGTCCTTTTAATTATCAGGCTCAGAGAGACCTTAAAATGAGGCAGCAATTGTGTCTTGCTTCCCCCCATGAGCTTCCCCCCATGTTCATCTCATGAAACTGCTTGCTATTGCCACAAGTAGCCATAAATTAACCCAATAATGCCACACCAGACACTATAACACACATCCTAAAGCTTAACAATGGATAGCCAATCACTAATCAATGTTATTCCTGTAAACCAATGAGAATTCCTAACAAACAACTTTGTATCAGCCCACTTCCTGCCCCACTTTTTTGCATTAAAAAATCCACTAGTAACTGTGGCTGTTCTGAGTGTATATTCAGGGCTACTTGAATCCAGGCCCTCAAGCTTGGCCCCAAGTGGACTTTCCACGTAATTTTGCATCAGCTTCTTCCTTTCAGGCCAGCACCTTATATGGCAAAAGGGACTTTGCAGATGTGATTAAGGTTGAAAACTGTGAAATGGAGAGATTATCCTGGACTATCCCAAGGGCCTAGTGTAATCTCAAGAATCCTTAGAAGAGAAATAGGGAGGCAGGAGAGTCAGAACCAGAGATGTGACAACTGAAGTCATGTCAGAGTGATGCCTTGTGAGAAAGACTTGACTGACCATCGCTGGCTCTAAAGACAGAGATGGGGCCATGACCCAAGGAATGTGTGTGGAGTGTGGAAGCTGGAAAAGCTTATTCCCTAGGGCCCCAAGAAGGAACACAGCCCTGCCCGCACCTTGATTGTAGACCCATGGATACTATTTCAGCCTCCTGACTCCAGAACTATGAGATAAATTAGTGTGTTAAGCTACTAAATTCATGCTAATTTGTTACAGCAGGGTCGGGGAGGAAAATAACTTAGCTCTAAATAGTTCTTAGCTGGGATCCATTGTAACAAAAGATAGACTAACCAGAGAAAAACAAACGACTATACAGCCACGTGTCATGCAACAATAAGGTTACATGCTGAGAAATGCATCATTAGGTGATTTCCTCCTTGCATGAACATCATAGAGTGGACTTACGCAAGTCTAGATGGTACAGCCTACTTCACCCTAGGCAATATGGTATTGTCTGAAATCTAGTTATGCAGCACTGACTGTATCAACATAAATACATCAAATATACATGGGAGATACCTAGGGAAAAATGAGTAAATCTCAAAGAGATGTCTTAGTATTTGGTCTTAAATACCATCTTAAGCTAAAAACAGAGAAAGAAGGGTGTGGGGAAGGCCAGTCATGGCCAAGTGCCTAGGAAAAGCAGGGTACCCAAGAGTCAGGTTTGCTATGCAGATTTCAGCGGCTGCCTCTTCATTGATAAGAGTCTGGTGATTTAGAGTCCTCTTTCTCTTCCTGGTACAGAAAAGGAGACATCCAAGCAAATGGAGATTTTCTCTACAAATGTAAATTTCCCCTTACAAAAGGGTCACTTCGACTTTTATTTTCAGAGTTTCTCCTGTGTCTGCAGTTTCACAAAATAACCAGGTCAAAATAATCCTTATGCTAAAGAGACATATTTTGGGATGGCATATTCTCGTCTTCTACAGGAGCAATGAGAAAACTCATTTAGCCATCTTTCAAAAGGAGGGAGCTCTGGGGTTCCTGGAAATATTCTATTCATGAATCTACATGATCATGTTACACGTGTTCTTTATGAGATATTTCAACAAACATCTCATAAGGTATATTTATTTTTTGTGTGCTTTTCTGTGTGTCACAGTGCACATGCACACACGCACACACACACGCATTTTAAAAACCTACTTAACAAGAAAAAAACACAAGTTACTCAGAGGCACCCACAATATGTTCACTGCCCCCGGGTCTAGTCATGATGGTCGGTCAGGAAGTCGCCAGTTCTATTGATGCTTCAGAATTAAGTGAAAGAAGCACAAATCTGTCTAACACAAGACAAGCTTTTGGGTGCCTCACTGAAGAAACTCTAGCAAATAACTACCGAATGAGAAGATCTGGAATGTTGCCTTTTCTTTTTTAATTAAATATTCTCTGTAGGAGATGAGGTTAATGGAGTATCTAGCACAGTGCCTGGCACATACACCCACACTAACTCCCAATGTTGAATCTGAGAGTTTGAGGATTTCTTTTTTTGCTGTTTGGGGATCCTATAAGGCAGATAAGAAATGAAAATAAATACTAAGTCCCCCACCCAACTAAATCAACCCCCTCTTGGCCAAGGGGACCCCAGAGAAACCTTAGAAATTGAGTTCCCGTCCGTGAGGGAACAGGAGGTGGGACACGCCTCAGTGTGCCCCTCCTCAGTAACCTTAAACCAGAATTCTCTCTGAGGAGGAAGCAGAATCCAGCACTGGAAAACAGGAAGTGGACAACTTATTCCTTTATCGCCTTTAGCCAATCATCTGAGGGCAGGATCAGACTCCCCCTCCCTCTTTAGTCTCAGCATGACAGCCCACCAGTTTCACAATGCACCTCTTCCTGATAACTGACCACCATTTCTGGTCTGGTTTTGGCTGAATCTCAGAGGACGCACACTGAGGGGCTTCATGTCCTCTGCTTCACCTTTTGACATCAGAGGGCCAAAATGTCTACCCTCGGATCATGCCACCACCACCATTTTTTGAACATGAGACCCATGAAGGGGCACGAAGCTCAGTTGCACATGTACACATGTCTTTCCTTTCATAAATATTCATGACTCCTCCAATAGCTTATTGAATATGCATATTCATCCCCCGACTCAGCTCCCTCTACATTCCCATTCCTGCTCCCTCTACCCTTCCCTCGAAGTGCTTTGTCTCTGCGTGCGCTGGAGGCTACCCTTCCCAGCCTGCAGGATGGCCACCTGTTATGAGAAATAAAGCTCTCCTTTCCAAATATATGAACCTCACAATTCTTCAGCTGACACAGGGAATCAGCATTTAGGCCTCGATTTACCAACAAAAGAGGTTTCTTCTTGCACTTCATAGCAAATACAATATTTTGTCTCAACTACTGCCTTGATTTTTGAAAACTTTGCTTTGTGAAAATTACTTGATTTAGGGACATTCCATGTAGAAAATGCCAAATTGAAAGGTTCAAAAAGAAGTCATTCTTGTTAATCAGAGAAAGCCATATAGGAAAAAAGAAACTAGAAAAGGTTATGCCACAGTCATTTGCCTTATTAAAGCAAACTCAAAATGTTCAAAATTGAGATTTAAAGTATTAGTGATGCTGGTAATTATAAAAGGGTTCTCTGGCCCACTATACTCTTCCTGGGAATTTATTAAGAAAATTATTCTACAGGAGACTAAGGAGAGTGGCAGCAGGTCGTTTCACTTGTAGTCAAGTATGATAGTCTTAGGTGTCAGTTTGATTGGACTGAAGGATACCTAGATGCCTGGTAAAGTATTGTTTCTGGGTGTGTCTGTGAGGCTGCTGCCAGGGGAGACTGACAGTTGAGTCAGTGGACTGGGAGAGGAAGACCCTCCCTCAATGCGAGTGGGTACCATCCAACTTGGCTGCCAGTGGAGCTAGAAAAAGCAGGCAGAAGAAGGTGGGATGAGCTGGCTTGCTGAGTCTTCTGGCTTTTCATCTTTGTCCCATGCTGGATGCTTCCTTCCGTTCCTCCTGTCCTTGGACCTCAGACTCCAGGTTCTTCGGCCTTTGGACTCTTGGATTACACCAGTGATTTGCCAGGGGCTCTCGGGCCTTCATCCACCAACTGAAGGCCGCACTGCCTGCTTCCCTGTTTTTGAGGCTTTTGGACTCGGACTGAGCCACTACTGGCTTTTTTTCTTCCCCAGCTTGCAAGCGGCCACTTCTCCCTAATAAACTCCCTTTCATATATAAATATATTCTATTAGTTTTGTTCCAAGAACCACCCTAGCTCCACTGAAGGGCCTCACGTATATCCACAAAATGACCGTGTCTATCCTACTGCTGCTGCTGTGAGTCAGTGATATGTGGGTGGGAGTGCGCAGGTGCAAAACTTGCATCGCATTTCCTATCTTGCTAAAACAATCAAGAGCAAGTTGAATGTACAATTACTTTTAAAAATGAATAATAGTCAAGTTATAATAATATAAGATGGCATGGTGAGAAAAGAAAAATAACTTTTAACTGAGGAATACGAGTTCTTTTGAATTACCAGGCCTAGAGACATTAAAATGAAACCACAATCACCTCCTACTCCCTGCTTTGAGCTGTGTATTCATCTCCTGAAACCGTTTGCTATTGCCACAGGTAGCTATAAATTAACCTAATAGCGCCTTACGAGACACTGTAAACAACACCGTAAAGTTTAACAATGGATAGCCAATCTCTAATCAATGTTATTTCTGTAAATCAATGAGCATTCCTAACGAACAACTTTGTATCAGCCTACTCCTTGTCCCTTTTTTGCCTTTAAAACCTGCTTGTGGTCAGGTGTGCTGGCTTACACCTGTAATCCGAATATTTTGGGAGGCTGAGACAGGCAGATGGCTTAAGCTCAGGAGTTCAAGATTAGCCTGGGAAACATGGCTAAACCTTGTCTCTACAATAAATAAATAAATAAATAAATAAATAAATAAATAAATAAAACCCACAAAAATTAGCCAGGTGTGGTAACATGTGCCTGAAGTCCCAGCTACTTGGAAGTCTGAGGTGAGAGGATCACCTGAGCCCAGGAAGTTGAGCCATGATCGCAACACTGTACTCCAGCCTGGGCGACAGAGTGAGACCTTGTCTCTAAATAAATAAATAACTTTAAAAATAAATAAATTGGCCAGGTGCAGTGGCTCATGCCTGTAATCCCAGCACTTTGGGAGGCCAAGATGGGTGGATTGCTTGAGCTCAGGAGTTTGAGACCAGCCTGGGTAACATAGCAAAACCTCATCTCTACAAAAAATATAAAAAATTAGCTAGGCCTGGTGGCATGCACCTGTGGTCCCAGCTACTCAGGAAGCTGAGGTGGGAGGATCACTTGAGCTGGGAGGCGGCAGTTGTAGTGAGCCAAGATCGAGCCACTGCACTCCAGCCTGGGTGACACAGCGAGACTGTCTATAAATAAATAAATAAATAAATTTGCTTGTAACAAAGGCCAAATGGAGCTCATAGCCAGGGTTACATGCGTTTGAGTCTTCTAGGCAGCTGTCTTCACTTTGGCTCAAGTAAGCTCTTTTAATTATATTTTGTGCCTCAGCTTCTTTCTTTTAGTTTGACAGGGAAAGAAGAACCTAGTGTTATTTCTATTCCACAGTTTCAATTAAGGAAGCTATATATGCCTAATACACAAAAGCTAGAGAAGAGCATATTTGCAAAGAGTCATATTCAAGTTAGGGGATTACAGATGATTGATTTTTTTTATTGTTCACGCCTGCCATAATTCTACTACATTGATTTTACAGTTAAATAAACAAGGAAGATTTATTGCTTTATGAAGGAATTTCACCATAAGATTCCTTTAATACTAAACACCCCATTTGCAAAATAATTCAATTGCAAACATTTAATTTTAAATAACAGTATTTGAGTAGAGCACACATTGCATGCAATAGGGCATGTCTATCCCCTGCCAAGCTTTATGAAGAAAGAACCAAACGGGTGAGATTCTGGTCACTGTATTCTGGGCTGTTTAATTTCAGGGTTTAAGTACCTTGTTTGGGATTTTGGGTAAGACATCTGCTTATCTTGGCGTGGCCTGTACTATTTTTGGTGTTCAAAAGAGAATTGGGATTGTATCATCTGGGACCTACATATAAAAGAACGTGCTTTTCTTGCCAACAATGGAGCTGGTGAATTCTCTTTAAAGCACTCTAGTCCTAAAGGAAAAGAAAAAAGTCCTCTTTAATATACACTGCATGTTCAGACTAAGCAATAGGTTGTAAAAAAGAGAAGAGGTTATTGCAGACTGAACTCAGCAGACATGCTTTTTAATGCAGAGCCAGCTTCTTAAATATGTCAACACTGTTTTCTGCAGGGGATAGAGGCAAGGGAAGCTTCCACAGCCCTGTCATGAGGTGCTTCCTGCTCACCCTCTCTATCTAATGGCTTGGCATTGTTTTTTGTTGGCAGTGTTGTGGCTAATGGCATGATTACCTTAGGGAAATTAGGGGCATAATGCAGAGGATGGAGAACTAACTGGCCAATATGTGAGCAAAATACCTACTGCCAGCTCTTTCCTAAGAGCAAGAAGCAAGACCACAAATCCAAAAGAACCAAGTTCAGGAATCTCAACCTCCTTTTAAAAATAAAGATGAAGGAAAACCAGTGGTAGCTTCATGTGCAGCAGCCAAAGATTTTACATCTGGAGGATTTCTTTCCTGGAGGAAAATTCAAGTGTGAGCAGAGCACCTGCAGATTGAAAATGATCTTGTGAAAACGCGGACTCGGGAGGTGCCCCAGGCATGCGTTCCAAAGGAGCCTCCCAGCTGTGCAAGGCACCAAGTAGGAGCTCAGAAAACGGTCACCACACTCAAGTGCACAAAAATATCAAGAGTATAATGGCATTGCTTATGGAAAAAAGTAAAAAAAAAATATGATTAATACAGAAAGAGAAGAGGACCTGCAAGAAAGACATTTAAGATTGAAGAGGGAAAAACTCAAGAGGAACAAGCTGTGAAGAGAGATTAGTGATAACAGACAGCACGTTTACATTGTGTGTAGCTTTTGACCTGTGAAAGATGGAAAACGTGTGCCATGTGCTCAGGTCATGCCGGCTTCATTATTGCACCCATCTAAGCTGACCATGTACCCAACAATGTACTGGACCTCAGCCACTGGCGAAGTGCTTCTTGTCCAGCAGGAGCTTGGGAAAGGCCAGTGGAGCTCCCATGGAAACGCCGAGGGGAGCTGACAGGGCACAAACACCAAGTCTCCCAAATACTGTGCACCCGTAGTCACTTCCTAACTTGGCCAGTCCAGGATCACTCAGAACCCACTGAGGAGGGTTGTCAAGGCTGTCTCTTTAAATTCAGCCCAAGTTCTCCCCAGGAGCCTAGCCTATTTCTATTAAAGGACTGCTGGTTTCTTTTCTTCTAACCCCAGGCCAGCAAGAATCATCTTTTTGCAAAGCAAGAAAAGGTCAGGTGGAGAGGTGCTTATTCCTGCCTTCTCTTTGACTCTCTTTTCAAAAGAAGAAAACAAATGGGTAAGATGAAATGTGCCCTGGGAGAAAGCAGAAGGTTTATCCATCAAGCTGTTTTGCTCCCTTTGATGGAATAGGTTTCAAATAGCTTCCTAAAATAGGAGTAGGTTGTGCCACATCTGGTTTATAGAGTTCATGTGTTTTAAGGGGCCAATTTTAAATTCTATAACCACCTGAAAATGGGAGCAGAAAAGAATTCATTTTTGTCACAAGCACCAGAGACCCTATCATCCTTTGCTTTTCATCCACATTTAACTGGAAGGGTATACATTTATTTCTGAAACTTCAGGGGTGGTACAACCCATGAGGAAGCACCTGCAACACAGATAAGTGGAGAACAGAAAATAAATTGGTATTGTGTGTAGCTTGCTTCCTCTGAAAAATTGAAAACATGTACCATACTCTCAGGTCACACCTGCTGGATTATTCCATCCAAGCTGACCCTGAACCCAACAATGTACCAGACCTTGAGGGGACTGCAAAGGTGCAACAAAGGTGCAATGTACTGGCTTAAAAATGAAGACAAGAGCTCAGAGAAAGGATGAGTTGTGTTGAGTGGAAGCAGGCATCGAATCCAGCATGGGAAGACCAATGACTCTGCTAACTTCCATGTCCCTGCCTCTGCCAGCCTGTGAAGTTCCCAGATCACCCTGTAATGCTGAACCCAAAGAGATCCTATCTCTACAAAAATTTTTAAAATAAGCCAGGTGTGGTGGCACATGCCTGTAGTCCCAGCTACTTGAGAGGCTGAGGTGGAAGGATCGCTTGAGCCCAGGAGTTCGAGGCTGCAGTGAGCTATGATCATGCCACTGCACCCTGCCTGGGTAACAGAAGGAGACCCTATCTCTAAAAAGAAAAAAAAAAGTGGGCAAAGGACATGAATAGATATTTTTCAAAAGAAGACATACAAATGGCCAACAAGCATATGAAAAAAGGCTCAACATCACTAATCATCAGAAAAATGCAAATTAAAACCACAATGAGATACCATCTTACACCAGTCAGAATGACTATTATTAAAAAGTGTAAAAACAACAGGTATTGGAGAGGATGTGGAGGAAAGGGAATGCTTATATACTATTGGTGGGAATGTAAATTAGTACAGCTTTATGGAAAACAGTAGGAAGTTTTCTCAAAGAACTAAAAATGGAACTACCATTTGATCTAGCAACCCCACTACTGGGTATCTAGCCAAAGGGTGAGAAATTATTATATCAAAAAGATACCTGCACTTGTATGATTATCACAGCATTATTCACAATGGCAAAGTCATGGACTCAACCTAAGTGTCCGTCAACAGAGGACTAGATAAAGAAAATTGTGTCACATATACACCATGGAATACTATGCAGCCATGAAAAAGAATGAAATCATGTCTATTGCGGCAACACAGATGGAACTGGAGGCCATTATCCTAAGTGAAATAACTCAAAACAGAAAGTGAAATACTGCATATTCTCACTTATAAGTGGGAGCTAAAGAATGGGTACACATGGACATACAGAGTGGAATAACAGGCACTGGAGACTCCGAAAGGTGGGAGGGTGGGAGGTGGCAGAGGGTTGAAAATTACCTATTTTTTACAATGTTTACTATTTGGGTAATGGGTACACTAAAAACCCAGACTTCACCATGACACAATATATGCACTTGTACTCCCTAAATATATAAAAATTAAAAAATAAATAAATAAATTTTTGGAAGAGGTGCTGTAGAAGAGAGGTGTCCAACCCCACACCTGGCCTTGCCACAGGCATAGGAGCTGCCACTTTTCCCAGTCCACCTGAAGTGATTTCTACCATCTCATTGATATGTTTTCTTTACCATTCATTTTCTTTGCTTCCTTTCCCTCCTCCTTTCCTGATTTCTAATTCATTGAAAAGTTTTCTTTGTTCCCATACTATTCCAACTGGTTTGGAAGTTATACATTCTACTTATATTCTTTAAGAAGTTATTCTTAAGTGTTCAACATGATTCTTTAACATGGTTGAAATCTGATAGATCACTTTGTTCTGGCCCTGTAGAATATGAGACTCTCAGACTTAGATCCTTGTAAATTCTTATCTTCTGTATTTATTGTTTTCTAATCTTTTAGTTTCACTGCCTTTTAAAAACCCATCTAGATCAGTTATCAATGTTATTATTTATAAGAAATACTAATTTGGATTTGTCAACATGTTCACGGACTTCTTTCTTCATTGTTTTCTGTATCCCAGTCTCTGCTTTTGAATTCGTTTCCATTTTTCCTGAAGATCAAGCTTTAGTTTTTTTTTAATATTCAAATGAGGGCCTGGGACTCGTGTTTACACTTTCAGAATCCCTGTGTGTGCCTGAAAAAATATCCTTTGTGCTCAGCAGTTAGTTAGCCTCAGCACTTTAAGGTATCATTCCATGTTTCTCTGGAATCTCTGGTTGCTGATCAGCTATAGTGCTTGGAAGACCACCAGCTGCCCGCCTGCTTCCTTTCCTCAATCTGTCATTTATCTCAGTGACTTTTAAGATTTTCTCATTGTTTTTGAAGTTCAGAAAATTCACTGCAATATATCGAGGTATGAATTTGTTTTCATTTATTCTGCCCAGAACTAAGTGTGTTTCAACCATCAGAGGGATGGTATGCCTTATTTTTGGGAGGTTTCTCTAGATGATCTCTCTCCTCTCTTTCCAAGGTCTCTTTTAGAGCTTCAGTCTGGGCCTTGGGATGCAAACTCCCTTTTGTGTTTTCTGCTCAGAGTTGTTTTCCCTGGGAGCTCGTCTTCAGTGGAGGCTGTGGTCTGTGAAAGTCCATACTCTGGAGCACAGAGGATGCAGATGAGGGCCTTGGGTTTGCTCTGGCACAGCCTTACAGGTTTCACCTCCACCACCCACACCACTACCCCTGCTGGTCACCCAACGACTCCACCCGCACTGTCCCTCCACCAACTCCACCACCTCCACCATCACTGTCCCTCCACCAACTCCACCACCTCCGCCATCACTGTCCCTCCACCGACTCCACCACCTCCACCCTCACTGTCCCTCCACCGACTCCACCACCTCCACCATCACTGTCCCTCCACCGACTCCACCACCTCCGCCATCACTGTCCCTCCACCGACTCCACCACCTCCGCCATCACTGTCCCTCCACCGACTCCACCACCTCCACCATCACTGTCCATCCACCGACTCCACCACCTCCACCATCACTGTCCCTCCACCGACTCCACCACCTCCACCATCACTGTCCTTCCACCGACTCCACCACCTCCAGCATCACTGTCCTTCCACTGACTCCACCACCTCCGCCATCACTGCCCCTCCACTGACTCCACCACCTCCACCCACCCTGTCCCTCCACCAACTCCACCACCTCCACCTCCACAGTGTCCACCTCCACGACCCCTACCACCACCACCACCTCAAATACCACCTTCACCAACCTCTCAACCACTGATACTATCACCTCCACTGTCACCACCATCCAAATATTTCAACTTGTGCGATTGCAAAGAAAACCTGAAATCCAGTAAGTTGTGTGATGCAGGAAACCTCTTCATACCTGTTGGGAAAGGGTGTCACCACGAAGGTGGTGCGAGATTAGAAGCAGATGGAAATCCAATGACAACAGGGGGGCCACAGTCCAAAGCAGTGACAACAAAAACATCAGCGAGGCCAGGGGCAAATCAGGGTGCTCTCTAGGGGCTTTTGTTTCAGGGGTGCAGCTCAGGGGTGCAAGGCCTGCAATACTTGATATAATCTTGATTGCATTAAAAGAAAAATAGATGAAGATACATGGTTCCACAAGTTTTTGTAATAGGGTGTTCAAGGGTTATGCTTTTGTCATAGTTTCAGCTAAAGAAAATGGAATAGATGCCAAACACCCCTATAACCTAAACTGAAATGTAAAGCACCAAGGCTGGATTTACTGAGTGATTTTGAAACCAGTTCTGCCAGCAGGAATCCTCTACCCTCCTCTAAGCCATGAATCATGGCAACAGAAATGTGTGGGCAGTGAGATGTTCAGGCCTAATCATCATCAGACTTGAGAATCGTGAGCCCAGGAGTCAATCACCACAGGCAACAGTCAAAACAAAATGTCTCTGTCTCTTAGAAACACACGCGGTGAGGATCATAAACCAGGTGGTTTGGTTTTTCCTTTTTGATAAGAATTGCACAAAATAGTATTGATCAGAATTCTTATATGTGTAGGCTTCTTCCAATCAATACTGCAAATAGGGGGTATATCTCTATATAGAGTTGCATGTTTTATGCATCCCAAGTACCAATAATAAATAAAAATGAAAATCTATCAGAAGAAAGACTGAAGGATCTTTCTAACCTCTCTATGCAAATGGCACTACAAAATTGATCAAAGAGTACATAGACAAAAAATGCAAGAAAGAAGTATGATGAAATGTGACAGGGAGTTAATAAAAATATGATGTAGCTTTCCTGGATTTTGTGATTTTTTTCAGCTTCTAAACATTTGTAATTTGTTGAGATTTGTTTTCTCATTCTAAAATATATTCTCCATTGTACTTAATTTTGTATTTGTAGTCATCTATTCTTTTGTTAATGAGGATCACAAAAACTGTAGGAGCTTTAGGCTTCCCAAAACTTGGATCCACCCTGCATAAAAATGCTATAGCAATATGAGGTATTAAATTATACATTTTCAAATAAAGGAAGGAAGTTACCACTCAAAGGAGGAATATGCTGAGTGAGACTTCAGCCAAAACACTGCCAGCCTTCTGGGTCGATAGGTAGACATTGGCCTTTAGCCTGCAGCAGAAAAAACCTGCACCCCAGGTATTGCTGTGTGGTAGGATACATCTTTCATATTACATGGCCATCAGGGCAGTTGCATATGGGTTCAGTTATTATTATACTAATTCTTCACACCCAGCCATGCACACACCAAGCTACGGTACAGTTCTACTGAATGTTTTAATTAGAAATGGACGGTTAGCTTATTTTCCTGGAAAATCAGCACTTTCTAAAGAGGAAGACTTTTTAAAAAGGAAGTACATTTAAATGGACAAAATGATTTAACATATAAAGGGGGGGTACAAAGACATTTTTTAATTTCTCTTGATTTTTAAATTTTTCTGAACAAACATTCTTTTCCATATTTCCGCCAGAGCTAGAACCACTTAACAATCTCCTGTATCAATTTTCCATGTATGTAGTGGTGAGCAGACCTGTAACAGTCCTACTTAAAAAGGACAAAAACGACGATGAGTTACTCCCAACCTAGTCGACGTAGGATCAAAACTGAAACTCCAAGGAGCCATGGGAACCCCCACAGTGAATGCACTTCCTTCTCCGTAAAGACACTCCGGTGCCTTTCCCACATCTAATTCCACAAAGGAAGTACTTTTTGAGCACTTACTCAGTGCCAGGCACTGAGCTGTCAGTAGGTAATCAGGAGTGAGCCAGGAGTGCTCTCCAGCCTCAGGAAGTGCTGGGTCCAGGCAGAAGCAATGTTGCCTCTGAGTCATGGAGAAGCAGCTTCCGATAGCACTGCTTGGCCAAGACGGCACAGCCCTCACACACATCATTTGAAAAATGACTGAATTAGACCAGATTATCTTTAAGGATCCTGTCAAGAGCCAATGATCTATTACTTTTTCCTAACATATTTTCTGGTCATATGTTGTCTGTTTAAATAGCTATATATGTATATTACAATTTGTTGAAAAAATATAGCTAGCACATCAATCCAGTGAATTCAAAGGTAGTATATACTCCTTTTTGAAAGAAATTCAATGATTTAAATGAAATAATTAAGTAATAATGGGTGGGCATTGTGTGGCACACAGGCCCGGCAGTCACACAGGTGGGATAGGAATGACTGAATCATGGGAAATAAAGAACTGAAGTTGGCCTGGGTCTACTGGGGTGATTTATTTTAGCCTTTTAAGTTTACACACAATAAAATCCACGTTTAGGGGTTCCAGGTCAACGAGTTTCTAAAAGTGCATAGATGATTGTAGCTACCACTGAAGATATTTTTTAAATTCTTTTTTTTTTTTTTTTTTGAGATAGAGTCTTGCTCTGTTGCCCAAGTTGTGGGCTCACTGCAACCTCTGCCTCCCGGGTTCAAGTGATTCTCCTGCCTCAGCCTCCCGAGTAGCTGGGATTACAGGCACCTACCACCACACCCAGCTAATTTTTATAAGTAGAGATGGGGGTTTCACCATGTTGGCCAGGCTGGTCTTGAACTCCTGACCTCAAGTGATCTGCCCGCCCCAGCCTCCCAAAATGCTGGGATTACAGGTGTGAGCCACCACCCCTGCTGAGATACAGAAAAATTCGAATACCTTGAAGATTCTCCTTGCACTGATCCTCAATATTTAAACCCTCATCTTACCTCTAACCCCTGAAACCACTAATCTATTCTCTATTTCTGTATTTTTCCCTTTCTCAACATCATATAAATAGAATAGTATAGTTTGCAGCATTTTGAAACTGCCTTTTTAGTTAGCATAAGGCATTTTAAGATTCATCTGTGTTATTCAAAATATCAGGAGTTCACTCCTTTTTTATTGGTGAATAATATTCCATTGTCTGGATGTACCACAGTTTGTTTAGTCGGCCACACACTGAAAGACATTTAAATTGCTTCCAGTTTGGGGTAATTATGGATAAGATAGCTATAAATATCCACAAACAAATTTTTCTATAAACACAACTTTTTATTTCTCTAAGATAAATATCTAGAGGTAGGATTTCTGGGGTCATAAGTGTATGTTTAACTTAAAACATTTATTGGACTTTATTTTTCAGAGCAGTTTCAGGTTCACAGCAAAATTGAGTACAATGTACAGAGATCCTATAGAGCCCCTGCCCCAACCATGCACAGCCTCCCCCATCATCAACATCCCCTACCAGAGCAGCACATTTGTTACAATTGATGAACCTCCATTGACATGTCACAGTCACCCAAAGTCCATAATTCACATAAGGGTATACTCTTGATGTTGCATGTGTTTAAATTTTTAAGAAAATTCCAAACTGTTTTCCAGACTATACCATTTTGCATTCTCACCAGCAGGTTACTGTGGTACCGTATCCTCACCAGCATTTGGTGTTGTCAGTATTTTTAATCCAGTCTAACATGTACTTAATTATATCTTATTGTGGTTTCATCTGCAATTCCTAATGACCAATTATTTTGAGCATCTTTTCATGTGTTTTAAAATTTTTTGACTTTGTATTTTTGTTCCGGAATTCTATCCAGGATCCCACACTGTATTTATTTGCTATTTCATCTGTTCTATTATAGTCTGTAACCGTTCCTCAGTTCTTTCTGGTTTACCTTAATCACTTGGTTGAGTTGGTGCCTGCTATTTTTTTCCACTGTAAAGTTACTATCTTTCGTTTTATAATTGTTAAGTGTATTGAGGGAGATACTTTGAGACTATACAGATCCTCAAAGTTTCTTCTCAACTTATGCGACTAAATTTAGCATATATTAGTGGATCTTGTATACATTTAATTCTATTGACTAATTTTAGCATTTATTGGTGGTTCTTGCATACATTTAATTTTATGGTGTTTGCCTAACAGTGATTCTCTATTTCCCTTCTTCTGTCTACATTAATTATTTGGAAATTCTACTGTGAGGAAGAGCTGCCTCTTCTCTCCGATTTATTTATTTGTCCATATATAATGGCATGGACTCATGAATATTTATCTTATTCTATGGCTTAGGTCACAAAAAAGAATGTTAGTAATTTTTATGGATAAATATTTTATTTATTTTTTCACTATTATTATTTTCAATAGTTTTTTGGGTACAGGTGGTTTTTGGTTACATGGATGAGTTCTTTAGTGGTGAATTCTGAAATTTTAGTTCACCTGTCACCCGAGCAGTGTACACTGTACCCAATGCTGTTTTTTATGCTTCACCCTCTTTCCTACCTCCTCCCACCTTGGATTTCCCACAGTCCATTATATTGCTCTGTATGTTTTTGCATCCTCATAGCTTAGCTCCCACTTATAAGTAAGTACATACTGTATTTGGTTTTCCATTCCTGAGTTTCTTCATTTAGAACAATGGCCTCTAGCTCCATCCAAGTTGCTGCAAAAGACATTATTTTGTTCCTTTTTATGGCTGAGTTGTATTCCATGGTGTATATATACCACATTTTCTTTATCCACTCATTGATCAGTGAGCACTTAAATTGGTCCCATATCCTTGCAATTGTGAATTGTTCTGCTTTTTTGCCTTTTTAATTATGGCCATTCTTGAAGGAGTAAGGTGGTATTCATTGTGGTTTTAATTTGCATTTCCCTAATAATTAGTGTTGTTGTGTATTATTTCATATGTTTGTTGGCTGTTTGTATATCTTCTTTTGAGAAACGTCTATTCACGTCCTTTGCCCACTTTTTGATGGGATTTTTTTTTTTGCTGATTTGTTCGAGTTCCTCGTAGATTCTGGACACTAGTTCTTTGTCAGATGCATAATCTGAATATTTTCTCAGAGTTGATCATTCTTGGTTAATTTTCCCAGGTAGCCAGTCAGTCCTTTCAATATGTAGATTCAGGTCTTTTTCTAATTTGGGAAACATTTCTTGGATTGCAATTTTAAATATTAGTTCTGCTATGTTGACATGGTTTTCTTCTTCAGGGACTTCAATAATAGAAATATTATTCCTTCTTAGCCTATCTTCCATTTCCCCTACTTTTTCTCCCACTTCTTCCTTCCTTCCTTCCTTCCCTCCTTCCTTCCTTCCTTCTTTCCTCTTGGCACTTTCCCGGCACTTCCATGCCAGGCTGGAGTGCAGTGGCATGATCTCAGCTCATTGCAACCTCCACCTCCTGGGTTCAAGTGATTCTCCCACCTCAGCCTCCTGAGTAGCTGGGATTACAGGCTCCTGCCACCATGCTCCGCTAATTTTTGTATTTTTGTAGAGATGGGGTTTCACCATGTTGGCCAGGCTGGTCTTGAACTCCTGACCTCAAATGATCCACCCACCTCAGCCTCCCAAAGTGCTGGGATTACAGGTGTGAGCCACTGTGGCTGGCTCTCTTTATGCCAATTTCATTCTGCTGGGTGTCTTCCTGCCTTTCTCTGATGCTCTTTACTAAAATCTGCATTTGACGCTATTCTCCTTTGGGCATTCTGTAATTTAATTTTTATTTCTGAGATAATTTTGTCTTTTTCTTCCATTTCCTTCTGAATTCAATCAACTTTTAAAAACTTTCTCCTTGTTTATTGTCCATTTCTGTTTCTAGTTTTTGAGTTTCTATTCCAATGTGTTTTATCATATCGTAAAATATTTGAGTACACACAATTCTGTTTGAAATGTAGATTTCCAGTTTTCTTCTTCTTTATGATTATTTTTTGAGGACAAATTTGTGTAAAAGTTCATTTCGTGACTTTCTGCAAATCAAGTTCTCTATGGATTTAATTTTTTTCTTGTTCATTTCAATGATATTGAGGTGCTTTAAATGATTCCTGGTTTAATGGTACATTCTTCTGTCTAGCAAAGTTCAGGTAATTTATAATAGGGCTTTTGTTTTTGTTTCTTTGCTTCTTTGTTTCAGCGATGGTGGAGGGTTTGTGGTGCTTCTGTCTGGAAGAACCTAACTCTTCCCCTTTACTTCTTTTCCTCATCATTGCCCGATTGCTGGAAGATGCTTTTTCCTTCTCTTTTTCCTTTACTCTCCCTCCAGAAGTTGTGCTTTTGGAAGGCTGTCTCTTAAATCATGCATGCTCCACTAAACGGAGTCTATCCCTTTAAATCAAGAGCCTGGCCTATTAAATGGTGGATACATTGAAACTTCTTACCTGCAGTCGGCTCTGAGCTGTCCAGTTTCTTTTTTATGTATTTTTGATTTAGGGTGGTTTTAATTCCCATGATATCTCTCCACCTCTGGAGCACCCCTTGCCTGCAACCCTCCTTTGTCTCCCTAGCTTACCTTTGTCCACCTGACCGAATTCCACATGTTTCTTTTGCTGTCAGTTAGAATACCTGATACTAAAATGTAGAGACTGTGGCTGTTCACTTCTCCTCCCGCAGCTCACGCAGTTTTAGGCAGAAAGTTCAGTAGAGGGCTTTTAAAAAGTCTCGTTTGAACTAACTACTAATGGAGGTGGCCTCTAAAATGTCTTGGTTCCAAAACAACAGGCATTCCTTCCATATTTCTACTAGTTCTATCATAAGAAAATTATAACCACCTGGAAATACTGTCCCTTTAGAGTTTAGAGAAACATGCGGTGTCATGCTTCTGTTAACTCTAAAGGGACAATGTTTTCTAAAGGGAAAAGTAAACTAAATTGGGTACTGGAGTGTTCTATCTCAATAGAAAGTGAAGAAGATTATTTCACCTTCTCTTTTGCCTACACCTTAAGTTGGAAGAATCACTAAGAATATCAGAGACCATTTATTTGGACAGAAATTTTAAAAATCTTCACTAGACTTTTCTAAGAACTGAGATCTTGGTAGATTCCTGTCCAGGGTCCTAAGTCTCGGCTTATGCAGAGTTGAAAAGACTGAATTGGGAGAGAAATATTTGTTATGAGGGAAAGTTTCTAGTAATATCCTCCAGTCTTTCCTTTGTGGTCCCCTAGCCATAATGAAACATTGAAATGTGACCGTATGAAAGGTAAGTTTTCACTTCAAACTCATTTCCCACCAAACCTTCTACTTTGAATTCTCATGAGCAAGTCCCACCTCTTTATTCATTCCATTTTTTAAAAATACTTAAATCTATACTTCTAAAATAAGATTTAGGACAAAAATAAACTAGGAAGCAACTCAGGAATATAGAGTTTTAAAAGCTATTACTGGCCCAAGTAGATGGAATTGAATCTTTCACAATCTGAAAAGCTGTTAGAATCACAGATAATTTCATCAACTTTATCCTGAGAAACGAAGCTGGCAGCTTCCTACCATCCTCTATAGCTATTTTCTGGAACTTCTTGATTTCTTGAAGAACAAGGAGATAAAGAAAGGAAAAGTGGTTAAAGACACTGGCATTTCAGACGTAGGCCAGAAATCATTGAAATTTGATGGAAAGTGTAGGTGGAAAGATATATGACATGACCAGCTGACTGGAAGAGCTGTCTGTGATTGTAAAAATTTTTTAAAAGATGGAAACTAAATTTTATTCAGGAGTCACCATATACCAGGCACTGTGTAAGCCTTTACCTGTGAGGCCTTTACTCTTTCCTCCCCTGAAGAAACAACCTCACAGAAATATCTTGACATATGTAATGGCTGGTAGACAATTTCCCATGTGTCTATTGAATTTTGGCAATGTTTTCAAGCAGAGGGACCAACTTTCTTTGTTGGGAACGATCCATCCTTTCAAGGGAAGTTTAGCCTTGTAAGGCAGAGATAAGGCAATTGGGTTTATTGTCCAATATAATAAAAATATCTCCAGGCGAAGGTCAGGCAAGCTAACTGCCTGATATGAATGTTTTGAGTTCCCTAAGCTACTCTACTATAACTCAAACACTGAAGGTAGAGTCACTGCCTTGCCCTCCTGTGCTTCCCGGGGGAAAGTGGGGCTTAGAGAACTGAGTGACACCTGCTGCTGTGGATCCTGCTGTGTTCTGGCCCAGGAATCATGGGTCTTCTTCCTAGCATTCGTGAAACTGCAGCAGACTAATTTGTTAGTTTGCAACTATGGTAAATTGTTAGACCTCTTAACAATTCTTCACACTAATATCATTCCCATTTTATTGATAAGAAAACAGAGGCCAAAAAAGCTAAACCATGGTGATGTAAGAAATCACACCTAAGATTTTTGCCTCCAAAGCCACCAAATGCTGCCTCCTCTTAGTGGTTTTTATTTTCATCTTTACATTTTTCATTGCTGTCTAATTTTGGCAATAAGCATGTCACTTTTTAATTAATTTCAGATTTTGAGATAATTATAAACTCACATGAAACTTGTTCAGAAATAATACAGAGAGATCCTGTGTACCATTTCCCCAATTTCCCCCAATGGTAGTAGCATTTTGCAAAGCTACACTACAACCACTTCATACCCATTAGGATGCCAATTATCAAAACAAACAAAGACAGATGTTGGTGAGGATGTGGAGATATTGGGACATTTCGGCACTGCTAGTGAGAATAAAAAATAGTGCTGCTGCTACGAAGAAAAGCATGACAGTTCCTCAAAACTACAGTGCAGTATCACGACCAGAATACTGGCATCAATACAGCGAAGATACAGAACATTTCTATCACCACAAGGTTCTATCATGGTGACCTTTACCTGCAACCAACACTTTCCTCTCACCTATACCTCTCCTTAACTCCTGGCAAACATTCATGTCATCTCAATTTCTGTAATTTTTCAAGAATATTATACATATATAACATTATATGATATGTATCCTTTTGGGATTGGCCTTTCTTGGTCCACATACTTTTCTGGAGATTCAGCTAAGCTTTTCAGCATAGCAATAGTTTATTCTTTCTTACTGCAGAAGTAGCATTACATGGCAGGGGTGTACCAGTTTGTTGAACCATTCACCTGTTGAAGGACATCTGAGCTGTTTTCAGTTTGTTTGACTACTACAAATAAAGCTGCTGTAAACATTGGGGCAC
Source organism: Homo sapiens (assembly GCF_000001405.40). Lineage (NCBI taxonomy): Eukaryota > Metazoa > Chordata > Mammalia > Primates > Hominidae > Homo > Homo sapiens. The sequence goes on along the minus strand of NC_000015.10, from coordinate 25,518,781 downwards.
AGGTTTTTATATAGAACATGTTTTCATTTCACCTGGTTAAATGCTCAGGAGTGTAACAGCTGAGTGTCATGGTAGCTACAGGTTTGGTTTTTGAAGAAACTGCCCAAATGTTTTCTTTAGAGGCTGTGCTATTTCACATCACCACCAGCAAAACGTAAGCGATCTGGTCGCTGCATCCCGGCATCCTCACCAGCATGCGGCACTTTCCTTCTTTCTAACAGCCCTTCTGTTAAGTGTGTGGCAATATTTCACTGTGGTTTTAGTTTGCATTTTCCTAATGGCTAATGATGTTGAACACCTTTCATAGGCTATTTGCCATTTGAATATACTCCCTGATGAAATGTTTGTCTCTTTCCCATTTTCATATTCGATTCTTGTTGTTTTCTGTTGAGTTCAGAGTTCTTTCTATATTTTAGATAGGAGTACTTTGTCAGATGTGTGGTTTGAAAATGTTTTTTTCAAGTCTGTAGCTTGTATTTCCATTTTCTTCACAAAGTGTTTCGTAGAAAAGAAAACATTTTCAAACTTAATAAAGCCCAGTTTACAAACTTTTTAAAAAATAGATCTTGCTTTTGGTGTCTAGTCTAAGAACTCTTGCCTAGCCTTAGATCACAAACATTTTCCCCTATTTTAAAAAATGTTGTATAGATTTATGTCTATGCTCCATTTTGAATTTGTTTTTAGATAATGTACAAGACTTAGGCTAAGGTTCATTTTTGCCTATGAATGTTAAATTTAGCCTTTATAATTGTTTTATAATTGTCTTGTCCAGAGTCAATTCAAGGCAGTCTGAAAAATTAAAAACAATGCTATAGGCAAAAAGTCAAGAATTTGGAGCAAATAGACTGAGATCATATAAAAATGCACAGAGGGGGCCGGGCGTGGTGGCTCACGCCTGTAATCCCAGCACTTTGGGAGGCCGAGGCGGGTGGATCACCTGAGGTCGGGAGTTTGAGACCAGGCTAACCAACATGGAGAAACTCCATCTCTACTAAAAATACAAAATTAGCCGGGTGTGGTGGCACATGCCTGTAATCCCAGCTACTCAGGAGGCTGAGGCAGGAGAATCGCTTGAACCCGGGAGGCGGAAGTTGTGGTGAGCAGATATCGTGCCATTGCACTCCAGCCTGGGCAACAAAAGCGAAACTCCATCTCAGAAACAAACAAACAAACAAAAATGCATAGACGGTAGACCTGTAGAATTACTAGAGATAGTTCTGAGTTTCCCACAAACTCAGTGCAAAAACAGAAATTTGATCTGTTATATGAATCACTCCTTGTCTCCAACATAATGACAAAATTGTTAATAAGAAGTAGTACAAACATCCTTGGTCTTGAGGATTAAGAAAATGAGAAAAGTCCTCATGAAAAGGACTCTGTACAACATCTTCATCAACGTGCTGTAACTAGGGTAACCCTATGATCTAAAAATCAGCCAAAACTGACTATCTTTGAGGGTGAACAAGGCACTATCAATAAAAATGCTGAGACAAAGGCATAAACTCAAACTATCCGCAGGAAGCTGGGGCTGGATTCACTTTTTAACAGTAACGCCAACATAGGGCTGTTACACATCCTGAACCTCAAAGTAGGCCTCCTTCAAAACCTAAATGCAGCTGGGCATGAGCGTTCAGTGGCAGGGGAATGCTGTATGCACTGTATGCCATTCTCATGCTGGAAATCGATTTCAGAATAGAAAATTAGAGAATATTTTTCTTTTGTCCATGATATTCCTACCTCTGACTTAAAGTTCAGCCACCACCTTATAAAACACATACTTGGGACAAAGTTATTGTCTGTGCTGAATGACCCTTTGTCCATTAGCAGGTATCGTTGGTGAAGCCCATTAATTACAATCCCTGAGAGTCAACTCATCCATTTGGGGTATGACATGAATCCTTACAAGTCAAAGTGATGTGTTCACAATTTCTTATCCAATAACTCGCTATGTCTTACAATGTATAAGGTCTTAATACATTAAATGTGAAGGGTGGACTCAAACAATGTTGGGGAATTTCAAAGAAAAAATACCAAGAGTGACACATTTGAGCTAGTTTCTGAACGCCAGGTCCTCATTCAGAAGGTTGGCAGGCAGCAACATCACCTAACCATCCACTCTATTTTAATTATTTCAAGAGATTGCACAGAGTTCTTGATATTGAAGAGTGAACCATGTTCAAGGAAGAAGAGATCACCCCATAAAACCCTTCCAGCTTGTGTTACAATCAGATGCCTCTAAGATGGACAAAAAAGGCACACAGAGATATTCCCTACTCAGGCTCTGGTCAAATCTCTCTCCACTTAATGGAGCATGGCTTTCAACTGCACCTGGAGGTGAGGAAGGGTAGGGGGCAGAGGGGAAATGGATAAATGCGGTTGAAGGGAGAAAGGAATTACACTAATGGGGCTTCTAGAGTGTTAGGCCCTAGGCCATGTAAAAGAGAAGTTATTCTGACACTTTTTAAAACAGAAAGGAAGACTTCATTTAAGTCTATTGTCAATGGGAGAGAGCTTGAACTCATCGACTGCATACAACAGGGACAGGTGGGGATAATCAGCAGAGGGAAGGAACAAATGGAAAATTCACACCAGGAACTTGATTAGGCATCAAGGGTACAGGGACTCTTGTTAAACAGACAACAGGGTTTCTTGTCAGCACTGGGCTAGGCAAACCAAAGACAGGACCAAGGATAAGGTAAAATAAAAAAAAAAAAAAACGGGGTTGGGGGGACGGCACTAAGGAGCCTCACTAAAGTTTGGTCAAGGTTAAGGTCCTTGCTCACCTTAAGCAAGTACTCAAACAATTCAAAAGTACTACTGAGACGGTATTTTTCCCATTGACTGGCATGTCGTGGATGGCTCTCCACCCTCCTGCATGACCTCACAGGCAGAACGTGCAACCTGTAGCAAGCCAGTGACTCCCATCACCCTCCCCATTCACAGGCAAACTGCCCTATCCAGGCCATCCTAAGGCACAACTCCCTCGCCGTGCTGAGTGCCATCTCCCAGGCCCTGCTCCTGAAGTTTCCCCGTGTCACAGTGCACACATGTGCTGTCCCAGGCCAGCAGGGCATCACAGCTCCCTTATGTCACCCCAAGGCAGCTTCTGGCCAGGTCTCCCTGCTTCTTCAGCAGATTCACCCCACTGAGGGTTTTTTTGTTGTTGTTTTTTGAGTTTTTTGTTTTTTAGAAAGTCTTTCTCTGCGGAGAGAGGCAAAACTAAGAAATGTCTATTTAAGTCCTCTGCCCATATTTTAACCAGATGATTTGTTTTCTTGCTATTGAGTCTTAGGAGTTCCTTAGATATTTTGGAAATTAACTGCTTGTCAGGTATATGGTTTGCAAATATTTTCTCCTATTCTGTAGGTTGCCTTTACACTCTTGTTTCCCTTGCCATGCAGAAGATTTTCAGTTTGATGTACCTAATTACAAGGAGCCATGTCTTGATCCTGTGTCTCCTAGGTTGGGTCTCCCACATGTGTTTCACTCTTTGGCTTCCTTTCTCCATTGCTAACAAACAAGAGGCTAGGCCAGTTACTCGTCCTTCCAGGGTCCCAGGCATGGAGGGAGAGCAACGATACTGTGAGGATGACGGAGGGCTTGGAGTATGAGGAGGAAGGTAGGACAGGGCATACTGGTTTCTCCTCACAGATCTTTTCCTCATATAAAGTCCTTAAGGAAAACTACCATTTGTACTCAAAAGAAAGAGCCACTTGCCCCCTAAGCACTCTTTACTTTCCCATCCTATAAGATGTATCAGAGCTGACGCATCACATGAAGAAAAGAAATCTAACAAGCTTCCTGGGCATTCACCGCGCCAAAGTCACCATCATGACTGTCACCTGCTGGAGCAGGGCAGAGCCATCCACGAGAGGCAGAAAATTGTGTGCAGGCACCGAGCTCCAGTACCACGATGGCACATGGGGAAAGCCTCAGTGAGGGAGGGGAGCAGAACCCTTGGTCCCCTCGGATCCCCTCGGAGGGACCGGATACACAGGAAGCAAACGGGGTGCATGAGGAAGGCACACAGGGAGGATGCTGGCTAGAGTACCTAGTCGATCTGGATTCCACACATTCCAAGACAGGTTTCGTCCACTCTTACAGGAACAAAGATGCATTTTGACAACATGCTAGCATTAATAAGCTAATAAGCACCCAGTGGTGTCCCTTGATTGTTTAACAAGAAGCTCACTGAGTAGACTCCAAGCTCAGGCCCTGAGCTTTGACAAAGGTGGGAATTTGAAGGTGGACTGAGAGTCAACTTCCTCTATTGTCATCTACGGCTCTGAATAAAATATTTACTGCAGACATCTGATTCCAATTTAATTATCTTTTCCAACAAAGGCAGCTTGGGTTTGACAGGCAACAGGAAAGGCAAGTTAATCGTGGGCATCTGCTAATTAGCATATTTTTCCCACAATTACCTCGCGGCTGCCATTTGCAGCTGGGCCCGCCTCACAGGCGCCGCAACAAGGGCTCAGGAGGGGGCTCAGCTCCAGGGTGGGAGCAGCGATAATGACCCACTCCACTCTCATCTTGAGGTCAATGGCAATGCCTAGGTGCCCACATACCTCTGTCTGGCAACAGTCCTCCAAGAGAAGGCTGTTCCCACGTGCCAGTGTAGCCAGAGGGCGAGAACTTGTCTTCATCTCCACCCTATTTGCAGTACCCTAGGAACCAAAGAAAGCCAGTATCACCAGCCACCTCTATGCTACATATGACCTTTTGCTTAGAAATAGATCACCCCACAGGTCTTCAACCCTCTTCTTGCTAGATCTTTTGATGAAAACACACACACACACATACACACACCCCACCTTCCCACCTCAGGCCTTTGCTTACACTGTGCTCCTGAAGCCACTTTCTTCTCACATGCAAATGTCTACTTCTACCTACCCACCAATGCCAATTCAAGCATGTCCTCCATGATCCCTGGTTTTCATTCTGCAGGCTGGAAGTAATCTGTCAGTCTTACAAACTCCTTCCCCTTTGTGACTCTTCTTTCTTCTCCTACAATAGCTTTCTAATGTTCACATTTAATTGTCGGTTGTGGAGTGTGTTTCCAAAGATTTCCACGATATCTCCCATCCCACAGGCTCTTTTGCAATGGTCTTGACTCTCCCTCCACAAGAGGCAGTGTTGTTTGTTTCCTCTCCCCTTGAATCTGACCTGACCTTTTGATTGCTTTAACCAATCAAGGCAGCAGAAGTGATGTCCTTAAATTTCCAAGTTTGGAAATTAAGAAAGAATGCAACTTCTGCTTTTGTGATCTGGGAGAAGTCAGCTGCTATGGAAGAAAGCCAATAGCCTAAGACCACCATACTGTAAGAAAGCCCATGTTGGTCACATGGGGAGGCCACATGGAGACTGAAATGCCAGATCAGCCCCTGTGTTCCACCCACCCAGCAGAAGCACCAGACACATGAGTAAAATGATCTGTCTTGGACATTCCAGTGCAGGCAGACACTACATGGAGTGAAGATGGGTGGTTCTCACCAAGCACTGCCCAAATGGCAGAATCATGAGCAAATAAATGATTGTTGCTGTATTAGCTGCTGAGTTTCGGGGTGGCTTGCAATGCAGCCATGGATAGCCAAAGTATTTGCCTTGATTAGCTAAGAGTGTGGACGGGCTTGGGTGTCAGCTGGCCAGGGTCAACATCCTGGATCAGCCACTTACTAGCACTGAGATCTCGAGTAAGGTCCCAGATAAACACAATAGCAGTGTGTTGATTGATTTCTTCATTCAGCCAATTTGTTTCAGAGCCTTCTCTTTTCCTGGGCTGTGCCCAATAGTTTGCATTTGACACAGATGAATATTATCACTCAGAAGATCCCAGACTTCTCCCACAATCTTAGGGTTCCTGGGCAGAACCCAAGCCTCTTCATGAATCATGCTGCCTGTTAAGAGCAATGACAATAGTTTGCTGTGACTTAGGGAAATAAAAGTATTTTATTATCTTACAAGTGCAGTTTAAAGGCATAGTGTCCTTGTCAAAGCAAAAGCATATCTCATTTTCCTTAATAAGTAATCAGTTTAGACAGATTAAATTATGATATGTCCATACAATTGTTGAAAAATAATTAGGAATTATCTATATACAAATACCGAAAGATCTCCCAAAATACACTTTTAAATGAACAAAAAATGTGCTGTGTGGTGTGAATGAATGATTCAGTTTGTATAAAAATAAGGAGATATAAGTATATTTGTATTCATCATAATTGAAAGAAGAGTACACAGAAACAGAGGACTGACCTCCGGGAATCAGGAGTGGAGGGCACACTGAATTTTAGACTTTGTCATACTATTTGGCTTCTTTGTTCTACCATGACTGCATTTCACTTTCATAATTTTAAAAACTATTTTAAAAAATTCCCGTCACCTTCATAACATCGCCCCAGTAATACCTGTGTGGGACAAAAATGTCTCATGCTACTTATTCTGAAATTTGATGACCAAGGTGGAATTTGGTTGTTTGGAGTTTGATTCAGGAGGAAATGGTTGTTTTCTGTATTTGTTTCCTGTGGTTGCTCTACAAACTACCACACATTGGTGCCTTACAACACCAAAAGCTATTCTTCAAAGTTCTGGAGGCCAGAAGTATACAATCAACTTCCCTGGGCTAAAACCAAGGTGTCCACAGGCCATACTCCCTCCAGAGGGGAGAATCCATGCCTTGGCTCTTCAAGTCGCTGGCACCTTTGGCAATTGTGGCTCTTGGCTGCACCACTCCAATCTCTGTGTCTTAGTGTGTTTGGGCTGCTATAAGAAAATACCACAGACTGAGTAGCTAATAAACAACAGAAATTTATTTCTCACAGTCTGGAGGCTGAGAAGTCCTAGATCAAAAATGCCAGCAGATTCAGTCTCTGGTGAGGGCCTGTTTCCTAGTTCATAGATGGTCATCCTCACATGGTGGAAGGGGCAAGGGCGCTTTCTGGGGCCTGTTGAAAAAGGCACTAATCCCATTCATGAGGACCCTGCCCTCATAACCTAATCACTTCCCAAAAGCCCCACCTCCTAAAACCATCACATTAGGGTTAGGTTTCAATATATGAATTTGCAGGGTTGGGTGGGTGGGGAAGGGTGCACAAACATTCAGTCTATAGCACTCTGCCTCTACCTTTACATCACCTTCTCCTCTTCTGTATGTAGTTAAATGTCTGTTTCTTTCTTAAAGGGATACATGTGATTGCATTTAGGATCTACCAGATAATGCGGCATGATCTCCCCATCTCAAGATCCTTAACTTAATCACATCTATAAAGACCCTTTTTCCAAATCAAGTAGCATGTACAGGTTCCAGGGATTGGGATAGAAATGTCTTTGTCGGGGGAGGTGGTATTTTTCTACCTACCATATCTTCTACTTGGACCAAAATACAGGACCAAATGCATGCATGAAGTCATTCATGAATTCCACAAATATTTAAGGGCCTCTTCTATCCAGAAACTGCAAAAGCCCAACCCCTGAGTTTTGAAAAGAGCTTGATCATCTTAGCAGGGACTGAGCACAAGTGAACCTTTGCAAATTGGCCCCTTCCCACACACTTCCTAAAAGGAGGTAGCAACCATCTCTAGAGGGGCCAGGGAAGGGATATCTGACTGAGTAAGGCCACAGACAGGCTCCCCGACCCTTCCTGGCACAACAGAAGGTAGGGAAGCCAAGGAAGGCACAATAGCTCATCTGGGCTTTCCTGGGGCTGCTCACTCACTTCCAGTCTAGTGAGAGTTTATATACTCAGTCTGCTGTTAAAGGGTGCGGGTAATACCCTAGCCTCCCTTCACAGGGTTGCTGAACCTCACCTGCTCCATCCTGCAGTGCTGGCTGATGCCAAGGACTTTAGTCTAAAAGTCACAAGTATTCAGGGCTGACAGCCTCGTCCTGCTTTCATTTCATCTGAAAAATCATTACACAAGCTAGCACTTTTTTGTGAGAAAAAAATACATATATATATATATATATATATGTATATATAAATGCAAGCTCTGAAAGGGGTCTTTATTATCTGCCTAGCAACAGTTTGCTATAAATAAAATCACCCTGTTTTGCTATTTTATAATTAATAGCTCAACATTCTCACAACAACATTGGCCTTGCTGGCATCCTGGTTCCTTGTTTTCAATGAGCCTGAATGATTCTACAACCTTTCTCTGAATGTGAATTAGGTGCACAGGGTTTTAAACAAAAGAAATGTTGCCTCTTACCACACATTCACATGCAAAGTAATCAGAGCTGCAGCATTCATGCCCATGAATTTCTCATCTCTGGTCAAATATCTAATCTTCATTTTCATCAATTATGCCAAATTAATAGGATTTATTCTGGGATTGTGTTGTTTGCAGTCTGGTCCTATGACCCCAGGCCTCTCCTGACACCTGCCCAATGTGAAAAGCACATATTGGTGCTAAGATGTCTCATTACTAACGGTGTGCCCCCACTGGGCTTGACATGCATCAGAAGCACAATCTGAGAGGTAACTCTAAGAAGAATGCGTCATTTTTCCGATTCTATAGTTGAGCAAACTAAGGCACAGCTCTAGTTAGGAGTTTGTCAAGATCCCACAGTGAGTCAGCGGAAAATGAAGGAGAATGTGTTTTGGAAATGGCTCTGGCTGCTTTGAACTTCCAGCCACGTTTCCCTCCCTCCCTCATAGGATTCAAAAAGTGAACCTTATCAAGAACAAGACCTTCCACATTGGATAATAAGTTGCTTTCCCAGAGACTGGAAGGGGTGAGCAAGTATGATGGGCAGCTGATTGATGCACAGATGTTTGAGAGTCCCGAGTAATTATGGTGAAACCCTGGGATGGGTGGAGGGGTGCAGGCTGAAGGCTTCTGGTCACGAATTCCCATGATGTGAAGGCAGAGAGGATGCAAAGTCAGCAGAAACTTGCATGCTTAATAGTACACCACACCAGGGAGAGGTTTCTAGTTCTCTTCTTTCCTGGATATTACTTATTGATGTATGCAATTTAATAAAATGAGCTGGCTCCTTAAAACACAAACCTTGACGACTACACCCTGGCCCTTCTCTCTCCCCTCCCTATTGTCGTTTCCACTTCTAGGTCAGTGGCTCCTGAATAGCTTCCAGCCTTGCTAGATCATGCTGTGGCCCACATCAGTTTCAACCACATGGATCAGACTAAAAACATCTTTCTGTCCAAGCCAACCTTCCTCCCCAGGTCTTCCATTTCTCTCAGTGGCAGCACCATTGATACCCTACATGTTCATGAGAGTCACTCTCTCCTCCGTATATTTGCAGCATCCATATGTCCTGGAGTTTCTGGAAACAGCCCTGATTTCAAACCTTCTGTTTTAGTGTCTGACCATGTGTCAATGCTTGTATTTTGATTTTGGACTGAGAAGACAAGAAGACATAGTGACTGTACCTGTCAATAAGCTGGCATGGCGGTCTTGTCTTCCTTCCTTATGCCTCCCAATCTGATCTTATTTCTAGTTACCATTGCAGGAGTCGCTGTTCTCGCAGCTGGATTTTGTAATAACATTGTCCTCCTCCATTTTGCTCTTCATGACTCCAACAAATAGATCCTCCAAACATAATTGCTCTTTATTCTCTCAGCAAAAGTACCCCAAAACACATAAAGCAAAACAAACAAACAAAAAAAACCAAAAACCCACAGTACCTTTCCACTCTCAACCAGATGAATTCACCCTCATTATCTTGGGGCTTCCTTCCCTAAAGCCTTCCATCTGCTCCAGCCCCCACAGACCTTCATCTCCCTGAAACAATATGACACTCATTTTTAGTTTTAGTATTTAACTTCCAACATTGTAAGTTGCTTTATTATTTGTCATCTCTCAAAAGAGGTTTTAAGACCCTTAAAGAAGGACAGCTCTTTAGCTGTTTTTGGATACCTTTCATCATGGGAAGCTGGTTTCAGGCAAATAGTAAGTGTTCAACAATTATCTTTTAAAAGAGGTGTCATTGCATAGCTTAGTATGTGAAATGGGTATCTCTCATAAACCAGTTCCCTTTACATGTACAGCTATTTAAAGGGATAAACAATATCATTATTTTCCAGAACAAAAATGACCACATGATAAATAAGGCTTTATGAAAAAACATGGACAAGTGTGTGTTGCTTTAGAATAAAGGTGGGGGTGGGGGGAAGCTTTGGGGGCTGTTTGCATTTTATATGTAAACAGTGACATCTGCTGGTGAAGATGCACAGCATTTACATGGCATCTTGAAGTGGATTCAGGGTTCAGAAGCATGAATGTCATTGAGTCTTCATCATGGTCCTCTCAGAGACACCCAAAAGCCCCTTGTGAGACCCCAGGATCGGGTCATGTCCTCATACTTGATGATGATGGATGTGTTATTCTGGGAAATCATACAATTTATTTAAGACGAGCATCGATAATTAAAACAATTCTCCCTTTATCAGTTTCATTAGCCAGTTTTAACTTTTAATTGTCTTCCCTTATGATACATTTTCCCCTTGAAAGATTCCTGCCTGGTTTCCCTAGGGGAAGTGCTTAAAAGCATCAATCTCATCATAGTTCAGCAATCATGAGATAATTTTGTTCCCTAATTCTGTTTTTCTAGCATGTTTGTAAACAATGCCATCAGGAATAAAAGTGTTTGAAGCTGAAGCTGGGTCTTCCATCCAAATGTGGAAAGCGTGCCAGAGGACTGTCTTTCCCATTCCCGCCCCACCTGCACAGCCATAGACAAAGCTCAGCTCCGGGATAAGGTAAATGTCAAGAGCCACACAGCAGCATGCCTTCCCTTCAAGACAGAACAAAGGGTGGTTTTCTTGGCCAACCTACTGCACAGGAGGAAGCCAAGCAACACCATTGATTTAAGCCCCAAGGAAAACCTAAAATCTTTGGCCACTTCAGGTTGTAAATCTGGCATCAGATGTCAGAAACTTGTGTGAAAACAGAGACTACTAGGTTTTACTATGGCTTGAAAGGAATAACCCAAAGAAAAGCCTGACCCCAAAAAAGGACTGTCCCAGGCTCAGGGCCCCACAGCGACCACATGCCTGGGCAGGGAACTGCCGGGAAGGTAGCCCAGAATGGTCACATCTCACTCTGCAGCCCCCTCACCGGACAAGGACACCTCCTGTCAGGTTCCGAGTTCTAGTCATTCTTCCTTGTCTCTGAGAGCTGTCCATCTTTTCATACCATTTCTATTGCCACCCGTGGTTCAGCCTGAGGTGCCTCGGAGGACTCACTGGCCAGGCCCCATGGGCACTCTACACACATGATTGAGCAAGACCTCTAAATGAGACCACAAAGCAGGCCCATTTCCTTCAGGTGACTGACATGGGAACTCAGGCTGAGAGCAACTGACCAAGCAGACACAGCTAAAAAGATGGAGCCAGGATTCCAGCCAGGATCTGCCTGACTTTAAGTAATATGTGTTTCCCACTAAACCCATGTCATGGCTTTCCCCAGCTCTCGAAGCTTTGATGGCCCCACTGCCTACTGAATTCAGTCTTAGCTGCCAATCCAGGGGCCAAGCCCTCCGTGCCCTGCCCTGCCCTACTCTTCAGCCTTGCCCAGCTTTTCCCCTCCATGAACATCCTCAAGTCCCCCCCACACTCAAGACTCCCCAGGAGTGTCCCTTTGCTCATCTGCAATGTCCTTACTACCAGCCCATCTGCCCTTTCCAAGTCCTGCTCACTCATCAATACTTCTGTGACCCCCTGCCGTGAGAACACATTCTCTGCTAAACCCCTGCTCTTCCAGCGCACTTTCCTCAGAGTTATGTACAGAGAGGGTCTCCCCCTGCTAGACTGAGCCACCTCGGAGGAAGAGCCTGTGCCTGGATTTTCACATCTTTGTATGTCCTTCCATCCTTAGCAAAGGCACCTGGAATGTAATCAAAATCACCAAATATGTGTTGGATAGATGAATAGGTGGATGGATTATAAATAAATAAAGTATTTATCTAGGTTGTTACCTCTCAGGATGCAAGGAAATATATTTGATTTATAGACATACAGAAGAAGCGACTACATATAGTATAACAAAGCAATGTTGTGTTTGGAATAACAGCAACTGATTAATAAGTATCTATTATGTTACACTGATGTCGTATCTCTACCATTAGACTAACAAGTCTTTATGTTTCACGAGGGCAGGAATAATGTCTACAGCTGCAGCTGCCAGATCAAGCTGGAGTCCCTCCCTGATCTGATGCCATAAAGTAGGAGCTCTCAGTCACCATAGGAGGAAATCACTACCTCAGGCTGCTCACTAGAACCTCTGGGAAGAAACAGAGCTCCCCACCATAAGTCACGGCTTTGGGGTCAGAGTCTCTGGATCCAAGCCTGGTTCTGCTACTTGAGCCTCTCTTGAGTCTCAATTTCCTCCCTGAATATAGGGATGATAATCCCTGTCCCATGAGTTGCACTGGGGAATAAATGTGATCATCTATACAGTGCACTCAACAGCGGGCATGACCTGTGGGAAGGGTCCCATTAGTGTCCACATTGCCAGTTATGCAGTGAATATCATTCATGTCTCAGCTTATGTATCAACCAACAGCAATGCAGAGTTATCCCTCCTGTAGTTAGTTGAAAGTAGCTGGTGCTGACTATACTTCTAAGTTCTTACCAGTTGTCACTAGACCTTGTCAAAATGGGAAAAGACAGACTTCTGATAAACTCACTGTCAACTTATAGGCAATTTTAATAGAAAAAAACATAATTCACTGCAGTTTTTAAAAAAATCTACAATGAGGTATGAGCTAAAAGAGGATTCCATAGACTTGAGGTCAAAGTTCATAGTGAATCTCTTAAAACCTTACCTCCCTTTGCCTTTTTAGTATTATTAGTATGTTACATTATAATTCATCCCCTGATAGTGTTTTCAGGGCATTGGAGTTTCTGAACACTTCAGATTGTCTCCTATGTCCTGCAAAGATACCCCATAATGGTGTAGCTCTGTGAGAGTGAAGTGGTGGCTCTGCACCCTCAAGGTGCCTGGAGAGTCAGGTCCACTCAGTCATGGTGTGCTGCCAGTTGCCAGACCTCTCTCTCTTCCTGCATGCCATGCAACTTTACAGACCAGGAAGGCACTCAAGGGCAGCACAGCCCTGGGGACACATCCCGGTGCCTTATGCTCTAATGTTCAAGACCGCCTCAGCATCTGCTTACTGTGCAGGAGCTAAGGGAGGCGATCACCTCCACGGACCTATCCTCAACAACAGCTCCTCTACACTAGAAGATACTAGAAACAAAAGAGCTGTGCTCCTCTGGGCTGAGTTAGGAACTGGAACTGTCCATCCCAGTGGAAGGAACTGGGTAAGCATTTGCACTAGCAATAAGCTCTCTGGCTTGTGGACCATGAGCCACGGGGATCCTTCAACACCAGTGGAGGTGAAGTGACTTTGAGTGCATGGACTCCATTCTCAGCAGGTTCACTTTTTATGCTGTCAGATCCGTAAACAAACGTTCGCCCCTTCCTGAAACAAAGCAGGAGAGGACATTGCTGATCTATCAGGGCATCCTGATAACATTCTGCCTCCACAACCAGCCAGTGGAGAATGATTAGAGAAACACGCTGGCTCTAATCAGCTGGGGATGTGAACACTGCTCATTGCTTGATTATGTACTTTAAATCATGAATACTCAGAACAATCATAAGATATATATACACTTAACATATACATATACCGCCTGTACACTCAACCAGAGGACATACATTGGTGGCTGCAGAACTCCGTTATGATAGCATGGAGTTTCATTTAGATCATTTCTTTTTTCACATGACGCCTCCAATTTACATTTTAGTGTTGTTGGTGATGGCTATTGACTGAATGTTTGCATTCTCATGAAATTCATATGTTCAAATCCTAATCCTCCATGTGATGGTTTTAGAAGATGGGCCTTTGGGGGGGTGATTAAGTCATCAGGGTGGAGATCTCATGAATGGGATTAATGCCCTTGTGACAGAGACCAAGAGAGCTCTCTGGCTCTCTTTCCACCTCGTGAGGATACAATCAGAAGGCAACCATCTGCAGCCGGAAGAGGGCCCTCACCGGAACCCAAGCCAGCTGGCCCCCGATCGTGGCCTTCCAGCCTCCAGAACTGTGGGAAGTGGATGTCTGTTGTTTGTGAGCCCCCCAGTCTACAGTGTTCTGTTACAGCAGCCCGAGCTGACTAAGACAGTGATATTACCAATGATGGCAAAACACCAAACAGTACATGCTGATCACTCAGAGTTCCTTCGTTGCCAGATATAGAAACGACTTTTCAAATTCCAGCTATAATCCTCCCAAACCTCAACTGAGGAAATGAATCATTATCACCAACTGCAAACTCGCTGTTACCCTCCAGCAATGACAAAGAGAGCCTTTCTCCTGTAGACCTCCCCCTAGGTGGGCCTGGGGCACACTTCCTTTCCTCCCAGCCGCCTGGGGACCTCGAAACTGCTTCTTCACTGACAGAAATAGCAACAGACAAGCCTGGGAAGCTCCCCTAACCTCTTGCAAGGAGAAATTATTTTTCATTTCCTTGAAGGTGTGGGCCCAGGCAGGCTGGCCGTACTCCCTCCCCACACAGCAATCCCAGCACACCTAGGAGACAGGGTGGGGCAGAGAAAGATGGGGGCTGCTAGGGCAGGAGGGCTGGCCCAGCCCCAGCAGGATAACTGCCCTGGAGAGTACACACACCGTGGAGCCCAGTCCCACTCCCAGGATCCATCCTGACCATGTCCAGTCAAGACTGACCAAGACTTCATCCTCAGAGAGGAAGTCATAAAGGAATTCCTTGACATGCTCCCCTTCTCTAATCTGGTATTAACAAATGGTATGACAGAAAAATGAAAAAAGGAGGGAAGGGAGAAGTAAATAAACTCCAGGTTTTGTGGACATCAAATTTTAAGAAAGCAAATGAGAACTGAGTTCAGTAATGATCCCAGTCATTCTTTAGCAAGGCAGGAGGAAGGAGTGAAATAGCCTCCATCTTCAAACATCCCCAATTCAAGGGACAAAATTCCATTGTACACTCCCTAACCAGTGAATTCAGCTATAGGCACTGCAGTCATATTGATAGGTGAAGCCGGCTGGGCTTCTGAGTCAGTCGGGACTTGGAGAACTTTTCTGTCTAGCTAAAGGATTGTAAATGCACCAATCAGCAGTCTGTGTCTAGCTAAAGGTTTATAAACGCACCAATCAGCATGCTGTAAAAACGGACCAATCAGCACTCTGTAAAACAGACCAATCAGCTTTCTGTAAAATGGACCAATCAGCTCTCTGTAACATGGAACAATCAGCAGGATGTGGGTGGGGCCAAATAAGGGAATAAAAGTTGGCAACCCGAGCCAGCAGCAGCAAGTGGGTTGGGTTAGTTTCCACAGTGTGGAAGCTTTGATTTTTCGCTATTTGCAATAGATTTTGCTGTTGCTCGCTTTGTGGGTCCACAATACGTTAAGAGCTGTAACATTCCCTTGGAAGGTCTGCAGCTGGCTTTGCTCTTGAAGCCGGTGAGACCACGAGTCCACCAGAATGAACGACTCCGTAGGCGCCACCTTTAAGAGCGTTAACACTCACTGTGAAGGTTTGTGGCATCGCTCCTGAAGTCAGTGAGACGACGAACCCAGCAGAAGGAAGAAACTTTGGACACATCTGAGCATGTGGTGGTACAAACTCTTGACACACCATGTTTAAGAACTGTAACACTCACCATGAGGGTAGGGGGCTTCGTTCTTAAAAGTCAGCGACATCAAGAACCCACCGGAAGGAACCAATGCTTGGACACAGTAATTCATGCACAGGGTTTAAGGCTTTTGCTGCCAGAAGTGCTTGGCTCTGTGTGTGTGTGTGTGTGTGTGTGTGTGTGTGTGTGTGTGTGTATTGGTCTAGGACACACACAAAGTGTGTGCTGCCTAGTTCAGCTTCATGTGTTTCCTACCTCAGAGAAGAGATGGTTTTTCTAAGACCGGTTCTTGGAATTTTGTAATGCGGAATCGGCAGGTGCGCAGAGACATCCGAGACTGAGGGCTGGAGGAGGAGGGGAGGACTAAGAAAAAAGCCCAATGGGAGTGGAGAGGGAACAGTCCCTCCACAAAGAAAGAGTGGGAGGGGTGAGGAGAGAGGATGCTGACAATCAGAGCCCAAGAAAAGCAGAAAAATAAGAACCCAGGAGCGGGAGAGAAGGGAGTCAGATAAAATGGGTTTCCCATAACCTGTAGATTGGTTCTTATGTGCTTTTAGACTGGCATTTCTTAAATTCGTATTTGCTGTTATGTCTGCTGTTCTTGACTATGACTCCTTAGAGCTGCGTGGGTCTTCAGCTCAGAAGATTTTCTCAGTCCTAGTCCTGCTCTTGCCTTACAGCTGACGAAATGCCAGCTCAGAGAAATAAAATCAGTGGCCTCAGTATGCACCACAATTTAGAGCTGAACTTTGATTCCTCTGCCTATATTAGTCCAATGTAGACTCTACTACCCATGCTAAAAATATGCTTGTTCCTAAACATGCTCCCAGCCACATCCCTCCCTACCCCGACATGCCTCCTTATGCTGTAAGTTTTACTGGAAAGATAAAAAACCATATACACACTCTTCAGTAGAGAGCATTTACATGTCTGAAGAGAAAGTGCCCCACAACAATAGAAAACGTTCCCAAAATGAACTCAGTTCTGGGGCTGGAAGCTGGGATGCATGCAGCTACAGCAAAGGCCTTACCTTGAGGAGACACTCAAGGTAAGTGTCTCCTTACCTTGAGGAGACACTTGTGAAGTTAGAAGGGACAGACATTGTTTAAAGGGCACACGTGTCTGAGCAGGACTCACATTCCATCCAACAGATGGCAGTAGCCACATATTTTTTTAAATAAGCACATAGAAGTCCAACGTTCAGAAGAAAAAAGAACCAGTGAAATGAGATGTAAAATCTTTCTGTCCTCATCAAAAACCAAGTTTTCATTCCGTTTGAATTAACATGAAATTCAAACAACAACAAAACCCATCTACCTAAGCACTGGTAGATAAAATCAACTAACAGCCCTCTAATGACATGTTACTGATTACAAATTATAACTATTTTTGTGTCTTGTTATTAGAAAGATGAAAGAGGGTTAATAATTGCTGTAATATGTTGGGTTTAGCTAACTTAAGTGAGTGGTTGAATATGGTTTCCATTTTCCACATACCAGCATTCTTGAAGTAAAAAATAACGGAACCTCTTGGTTGCTAACAATCTTTTATCCACCACCTAATTCTTAGAATTCTTTACACTTCTGAACATGACTTCCATTCTAGTTTTCAAATTGAGAAAGCACCTATATTAAAAAGCACTGGTTCTCTCCCCATTTGGGATTACACTTAAATGTATAAGGTAGAGAAAAGTCTAATAGAGAACATAATTGATGTCAGTTGTAATTGTATTCTGATGTCAAATACATAGTAAAATATGAGCTTATTTTTGTGGCACTGCATTAAAAATACATTTCTTGAGCTCCTTTTTTGGTTCATTCTATTTTTATCCCCCGTTTTTTCCTTGGCACTTCCTATCCATGATTTTCTGCATATCTAATATCGCGCAGAGGAAAAAGCACTGCCTGGACCTGTCCACCAGCAAGCGGACATTGCTTTGCATAAACAGGCAGAGGGGCAGGCACCTCAAGGGACTCGCAGAAGTGCCTGGGTATTTTTAAATACTTGAGGAGAACACAAGGATGCCTGTCGGACATCTCAGGAACTGCTAGCTCCAGGTAAATTGGTTTTAACATTAGGTTGCTAAATTTCCTTCCATGATGTCATATCTTTGCAAAGCTTGGTTTTTGGTGACTGTTGTGATAGTTGTGGGGGAAAAAGTGATATGTCCTATCTAATTCCAAGGTTTTACATATTGCTAGTGCCCAACTGATGCACCTACATATCATTAGTAAATAATTGTGGTTATTTAATATTACAATAAAATATGATTTATTTTCTTCCAATTTGTACATATTATTTTTTACCCAGCTCCTAAGTTGTTAGGACATAAATACTTATTAAGGTAGTTGGACCCAACAAGGTCATAAATAGAACTGTTAGGTATTTCATGTGGCCTCAGGGCCCTGTGAATAAGATTACTAAGACATTAAGGGTGCTGTGAACTGAAAATGTTTAGGAACTGCTGAACTAAACTATTCACAGAGGTGAGCTGGTTTATTCCTCTCAAACATCTTAGTCATTTCAAGGCTGGGCATGATAGCTCACAACTGTAATCCCAGCACTTTGGGAAGCTGAGGTCAGAGGATTGCTTGAGGCCAGGAGTTCGAGACCAGCCTGAGAAACATAGTGAGGCCACATTCTCCACACAAAAAAAGTAAAAATTAGCTGGGTGTGGTGGTGCACACCCGTAGTCCTAGCTACTTGGGGAGCTGAGGCAGGAAGATTGCTTGAGCCAAAGATGTTGAGGCTGCAATGAGCCATGAGATTGCACCACTGTACTCTAGCCTGGGCCACAGAGTGAGACTCTGCCTCAAAAAAAATTAATTAATTAATTAAAAATCATTTCAAAGTATGAACCATGAATTTAAATAACTGATATAAAAATCTGGAAAGAATGAATCAGAAATAAAAGAAAAGAGCTTGGGTTTGAATCTTGCCTGCCCCACAAACTGGGTGAGATCAGGTGACCTATCTGAAACTTGGTTTTCCTCTCCTTTGTGTGGGTTAGAGGAGATAAGGTCTCAGCACCTAAGATCCTTCCTGGTACTTAAAAATGCACAATAAGTGGTATCAATTATGATTTCTAAATCAGACATGACCCATACAAACATTTCCTTCCTGGAAAGGAGGGGTCTTAATTTGGGGAGTCCAGTGCAAAATAAAAATATGAGGATTTTTGTTCAAAAATTAGTAAGAATTTCAAGATGGTCTCAACAGAGCTGATCAGCTGTGAAGCTACGTGAAGCTGCCCCTGCTCTTGCCAATTTTCTCAGGGTTTTCCAGCTCAAATGAATCTTTCTGCACCGAATCTTTATACTCTTATCACCTGTGCCAAATAATTAGTAGCTCACCATTATCCTGGTCCCCAGTCAACTGTAGCAATATGTAATATCATCATATTCACTACTAGCTGCATGGTGACATTCTATTTCCCAAGTGGACTGTGTTAGTCTGTTTGTGTTACTATAGAGGAATGCTTAATGGCTGGGTAATTTATAAAGAGAAGAGGTTTAACTGGCTCACAGTTCTGTAGGTTGTGCAGGAAGAGTGATGCCAGCATCTGATTCTGGTGAGGACCTCAGGAAGCTTCTATTTGTGGCAGAAGGGAAAAGGGAGCAGTCGCATCACATGGCAAGAGTGGGAGCAAGAGAGAGAGAAGGGGTAGGTCTCCCCAGACTCTTTTAAACAACCAGATCGTGCATGAACTAACTGAGCAAGAACTCACTTATCACCAGGAGGATGGTATTAAACCATTCATGAGGGATTTGCCGCCATGATCCAATCACTTCCCACCTGGCCCCACCTACTACACTGGGAATCACATTTCAACATGAGATTGGAAAAAACATCCAAATGATATCACAGATGATCGCATCTTTGTGGGCAAGGGGCTGTAAAGAGTGCTGACTCATTTTCCACCCCACAGCCTCTAGGCACCGCTGGCACATATTAGATGCTCAACAGATACCTGTTGACTAAATAATTGATGGGAGGGTGGTATGGCTATATAGTTGTTAGCCTCTTACTACCATAATCTCCAGGCTGTAAAGGCTGTGAGTGGTAGACTGAAAGCATGCCAGGTAATCTCTATAGAGGGCATACTAAAGAAACTAAGAGGACATCGCACAAGTGGGTGTGTTCATCCTGTGTGTGTGTGTGTATTTCGTTTTCGTTTACGGTTTTTCATATGAATAAGCTTTATTTTTGGAACAGTTTTAGGTTCACAGTAAAGTGAAGCAGAAAGTACAGACAGTTCCTATATACCCTCTGACCCCACACATGCACAGACTCCCCCACTACCAACATTCCCCACCAGGATGGTACATTTGTTACTACTGTTGAAATGGTATTGACACATCATCACTCAAAATCCACAGTTTACATTAAGATTCACTCTTGGTGTTGTATATGGGTTTTGATAGGTGTATAATGACAAGTTTCTACTGTTATAATATCAGATAGAATAGTTTCATTGCCCTAAAAATCCTCTGTGCTCTATTCATCTCTCTCTCCCCCAAATCCCTAGTATTAACTGATCTTTTTGCTATCTCCATAGTTTATCCTTTTCCAGAATGTCACATACTTGGAATCATATAATATAAAGGCTTTCAAATTGGCTTCTTTCACTTAGCAATATGCGTTTAAGTTTCCTGCATATCTTTTCATAGCTTGATAGCTCATTTATTTTTAGAGCTAAATAACGTTCCACTGTATGAATGTCCCACAGTTCATTTATCCATTCACCTATTGAAGGGCATCTTGGTTGCTTCCAAGTGTTGGCAATTATGAATGAAGCTGCAGGTTTTTGTGTGGACATAAGTTTGCAGCTCCTTTGGATAAACATCAAAGAGCACAACTGCTGGATATTATGGTAAGGGTATGTTTAGTTTTTAAAGGAATGCCCAAACTGTCTTCCAAAGTGGCTGTACTATTTTGCATTGTCACCAATAATGAATGAGAGTCCCTGTTGTTCCACATCCTCACTAGCATTTGATGTTGTCAGAGCTGTGGAATTTGGCCGTTCTAATAGGTATGTAGTGATATCTCATTGTTTTTTAATCTGCATTTCCCTGATGGCATCTTGTGGAGCATCTTTTCATATGCTTAACTGACATCTGTGTATCTTCTTCGGTCAAGTATCTGTTAAGGTCTTTGGCCCATTGTTTAATCGAGTAGTTTGTTTTCTTATTGTTGAGTTTTAAGTGTCCTTTGTATATTTTTGGTAACAGTTCTTTATCATATGTGTCTTTTGCAAATATTTTCTTCCAGTCTGTAGCTTATCTTCTTATTTTCTTGAAATTATCTTCTGCAGAACAGAAGTTTTTAATTTTAATGAAGTCCGGCTTATTAATTATTTCTGTCATGAACTGTGTCTCTGGTGTTGTACCTAAAAAGTCATCACCATACCCAAGGTCATCTAGGTTTTTCTCCTGTATTATGTTCTAAGCACTTTATAATTTGTGTTCCACAGGTAGTCTGTGACCCATTTTGAGTTAATTTTTGTTAAGGGTTTAAGGTCTGAATCTGGATGGATTTGTTTGCATGGGGATATCCAATGGTTCCAGTACCACATGTTGAAAAGACTATCTCTGCTCCATTGTATTGCCTTTGCTCCTCTGTCAAAAATCAGTTGTCTGAATTTATTTGGGCTTATTTCTGGTTCCATGTTCTGTTTCATTGATCTATTTGTCTATTCTTTTATCAATACCACACTGTCTTGCTTACTGTAGTTTTATAGTAAGTCTTGAAGTCAGGTAGACTGTCAGCCCTCTCACTTTGTTCTTCCCTCTCAATACCAATATGGCTAAATCTGGGTCTCTTGCCTCTCCATATAAACTTTAGAATCAGTTTGTTGATCTCCACAAAATAACTCCCTGAGATTTTGATTGGGATTTCAATGAATCTATGGATCAAGTTGGGAAGGACTGACATTTTGACAATATGGAGTCTTCCTGTCTATGAATATGGACTATCTCAATTTATTTAGTTCTTCTTTGATACCTTTCATCAGTTTTGAGTTTTGTAGCTTTCCTTATAGAGATCTTGTACATATTTTGTTAGATTTATATCTAAGTATTTCATTTCTGGCATGGTAATGTTAGTGGTAATGTGTTCTTAATTTCAGATTCCATCTGTTCATTGCTGGTACAGGAAAGCAATTAAGTTTTTCTGTGTTGTATCCTGCAACCTTGTTATAATTGCTTATTAGTTCCAAGAGTTCTTCAGTGGACTCTTTTGGATTATCTAGTAGACATCTGCAAATAAAGACAATTTTACTTTTTCCTTCCTAATTGTATACCTTTTATTTCCTTTTCTTGCCTGATTTCATTACCTAGGACTTCTAGTATAACACTGAAAAGGAATGATGAGGGGGACATCTGATTCCTGATTTTGCGAGGAAGCTTTGAGTTTCTCACCATTACGTATAATATTCATTGTAGGTTTTTAGATAGATGTGCTTTTCTTTATCAGGGTGAGCAAGTTTCCCCCATTCATAGTCTGGTGAGAGTTTTTATCATGAATGGGTATTGGATTTTGTCCAATACTTTTCCTGCGCCTATTTATATGATCACATAATTTTTTTCTTCTTTAGCCTGTTGATGCGATAGATTATATGAATGGATTTTTGAATGTTGAACCAGCTTTGCATAACTGGGATAAATCCTAGTTGGTAATGATGTATACTTATTTTTACACATTGTTAATTTGATTTGCTAAAATTTTGTTAAGGATTTTTGCATTTATGTTTATGACAGGTATTTGTTGTAGTTTTTTCCTGGAATATCTTTGTCTGGTTTTGGAATTAGGGTAATGCTGGCTTCGTAGAATGAATTGCAAAGTCTTCCCTCTGGTATAATTTCTTATTTAAAAATTTGGTAGGACTCACCAGCAAACCCACTGGGCCTGATGCTTTGTTTTGGATGGTTATTAATTATCGATTCAATTTCTTTAATAGATATAGGCCTATTACAATTGTCTGTTTCTTCTTAAAAGAGATTTGGCAGATTGTGTCTTTCAAGGAAATGGTTCATTTCATCTAGGTTATCAAATTTGTGGGCACACAGTCGTTCATAATATTCCTTTGTTATTCTTTTAATGTTCATGGGATTTGTAGTGATGTTCTCTCTTTCATTTCTGATACTGGTAATTTTTTTTTCTTAGCCTAGCTACAGAGGCTTATCAATTTTATCGATCTTTTCAAAGAACCAGCTTATAATTTTGTCGATTTTCTCTACTGATTTTCTTTCCAATTTTATTGATTTCTACTGTAATTTTGTTATTTCTTATCTTCTGCTTTCTTTGGATTTAATTTGCTCCTCTTTTGCTAGTTTCCTAAAGTGGACTGTGAACTTCATAGGAGCTTCTCAGTTGCCCCCCATCCCTTAGATAGGACAGGATGGTTACAGGTAACTGGTGTTAGGTATTTCCCTTCCCCTGGGTAGGTTAGGTTCTGATAAAACCCCAGCATTTAGGCTCTGATAAAATAGTTCCTCCTCAGGGTAGGCCTTGTAATAAGAAGAATGCTCTGGCACGTTTCAAAGTGGTTGCTTTTCTCCTCCCTGTGAGAGAAGCATAAGGGAATTTTTCTCTGATCCTTGCTTTGAGAAGCTGGGAGAGTGCCTGTAGTTACACCTCATAGAAGTATAAGAGCCCTTCTATACCTGGGTCTTCCTGGAGTTTTTAACTCCATCTTTTCCACACTCAACCTCCGGCAATTTGCCAGTTACAATTCAGCTTTTCCCATGCTGGCACTGGCGCCCGTGGAGGTTTCTGCTCAAGAGTTTCTGCTGTGATAAAAGTAGATTCATTGCATCCACATGTCTGTCTCTCCAATTTGGGGACAGCAGCTTACCCTGTGTCCTCACTTTTCTGATAGATCTAAGAAGAACTGTTGATTTTTCAGTTTGACAGTTTTTTGAATTGTTTTTAGGATACAGTGGCAGCTTCAAGGCTCCTTTTGCACTGAAGTGAAAACTGGAAATCCTATGTTCCCTTTTAAACACTGGCACACTCTAATAAGAACAACTTAATGAGAGTTGACCCCGTTCACAAATTTCCCCTGCCTCAAATTGCCCTACATGTGCAGGAGTAGTCTTCAGACAGCCCAGTCCACACATAGGATGGGCACTGACCAAACTTCAGCAACTTGGAAAATCTACCCTGAGAATTGGGTCAGAGAGTCCATTTTCCCCAGTAGATCATCTTCCACCTCCTCGTGAAGATCAAAAAACAGAAGTTAATCTCCAGAGAGAAAAAAAGAATGAATCAGAAAGAAAAGAGATGCAAGACAGAGAGCCAGGATGATTTTTCTGTTCCTGGGTAAAGTCACAAGCCTGGTCTCTAGCCGTGCATCCTTTTAATAGACTCCTCTTTTCCACTTAGGTTCCCCAAGAAAATGTCTCTTTCTCTTTGCCATCAATAAGTCAAACTCAGTGAGAGTGAATCTGTCCATAAACTCTGGTGGGGATGAATACCACATTTCCATATCTCCTGAGCTCCTGGAAAGTAATTTGTCACCAGGGTGGCACCAAGGTCCAGAATTTTACCTAGAGCCCAGTCAACAAGGAAGAGCCAGCTGCCAAGGCCAGGGAAGCCAGAGTAGCCACATCTCAGCACTCCAGGGAGCATGAATTGCGGTAAAGTCAATGAGAGTAGTATCCTCAAATTTTGCCAACTAAGGATTCAGCATTAAATAAACCACACCCAGGAACAAGCAAAAAGACTGTTTCCTGGAAGAGAAAACTAGATCTGGAAGGAAACAAGAAAGCACCACCAAGCTGGGAGAGGATACATGTCAAAAACAGCCCCTAGGGTAAGGGACTACATATGCCTTTCTTTTGGCTGTGTCTGCAGAGAGGACAGATGTGTCATGGGAGACTACAGCCAAGAAGAGAACTGCAATGAATAACAGGGAGTCTAAGGAATCTTGGGATTCAAGAGAGGTCCAGGAAACTACAAAAAGACTATAGAGTGGAGTCTCTTGGTCTCACAAAAGTCTAGGCTCTGTCTGCTCTGTTTCTCCTCCCAGATCAGACAGCTTCAGCCGAGAAAGGGATAGAGGAGGAGGTCAGAACAACATCCTAGTGATGTCACCATGCAGTCTGTTGGATTTGGTCACCTTCAACTCAACCACAAAGTGGCAGGACATTTAATTTAAATATTCATTTGTGCTTAGTCACCTTATGGTATTCCCTTTCTGTTTCAGGAGGCAGAGGGTCTCTTAATCATCAAAAATTTTCCTGGTTGGCAGACAGAAACTACTGGAAGTTTCTTCCAGTTTTCATGACCTACATAGTCATTGAAGGGGTCATTCTTGTTATCTGGGTGGAGGCAGAGGCAGAGAGGAAAGATCATGTATTAGTACTTCATTCCTTTTTAAATACCAAATAATATTCCACTGTATGGCTGTACCTCATTTTGTTTATCCATTCATCACTTGATGGATATTTGAGTTGTTTCCGTTTTTGACTATTATAAATCATGTTGCTTTTTACATTGATATGCAAGTTTTGTGTGGACATATGTTTTTATTTTTCATTTTTCTGGTGTACATACATGAGAGTAGAATTGATGGGTCATATGAAAACTCTATAATTAACATCTGAGATTCTACCAAACTGTTCTCTCCACCATTTAAAATCATGCCAGCAATATATGAGGATTCCAGTTCCTCCACATCCTTGCCAATACTTGTTAATGTTTACTTTCTAAATTTCAGCCAACCTAGTGGGCAGTTTTCTCATTGAAAATTTGATTTGTGTTTCCCTAATGAAAAATGAATAACATTGAAAATCATTTAATATGTTTATTGGTAATCATATATCTTCTTTGGAAAAAATGTATATACAGATCTTTTCCCCATTGAAAAAATGGGTTGTCTATTAGTTGAGCTGTAAGAGTTCTTTATATATTCTTGACACAAGCCTTTTATCAGATATATCATTTCAAATATTTTCTCCTATTCTGTAGGTAGTCTTTTCATTTTCTCGATGGTATCCCTGGAAGCACAAAATATTATATTTTGAGAAAGTTCAATTTAGTTTCTTTGGTTGCTTATGCTTTTTGGGGTCATACCTAAAAAATCACTACCTAACTTAAAGTCATAAATATTTACTTCTCTATTTCTTCTGAATTTTATAATTTTAGCTCTTACATTTATGTCTATGATCAATTTTGAATTAGGTTTTGTATATGGCATGTTGAACACATTAAACTTTTAATTTTTGCTGTGGACATCCAGTTTTCCCAACACCATTTATTGAAAAGACTTTTATTTTACCCAATAAATTTTCTTGGCATCATGATTAAAAATCATTTGACCATAAATACGAAAATTTATTTTTAGATGATCAATTCTGTCCCAGTGATTCATATGTCTATCTTTATGACCGTGCCATGCTGTCTTGATTACCACAGCTTTGTAGAACATTTTGAAACTGGGAAGTGTAAGTCCTCCAAATTTGTTCTTCTTTTTCAAGATTATTTTGGCTCTTCTGGCTCTCTTGTATTTTCTTATGACTTTAGGATAAGCTTGTCAATTTCTGCCCAAAAGAGGTAGCTAGGATTTTGATGGAGACTACATTGAACCTATAAATCCATTTGGGAAATATTGCTGTCTTAGCAATATTAAGTCTTTCAATCTGTGAACATGGGGTGCTTCTTCATCTATTTAAGTTTGCCTTAATTCCTTTCAGTGACAATTTTTAGTTTTCAGTGTACAAGTCTTGAACTTGTATAATTCTTTGATTAAATTTATCCTAAATTATTTTCTTTTTAATTCTATTAGAATAGAATTGTTTTTCTTAATTTCATTTTCACATTGTTCATTGTTAGTGCCTAGAAATACAACTGATTTTTGTATATTGACCTGGTATCCTGCAAAGTAGGAGAACTTGTTTGCTAGTTCTAATAGTTTTAAAAATATATTATTTCTAGCATTTTCATGTCATCTAGAATAGAAATAGTTTTACTTCTTTCTATCTACTCTGAAAGCATTTTATTTCTCTTTCTTGCTTGATTGCCCAGGCTAGAATTTCCAGTACAATGTTAAATAGAAGTAAACATCCTTGTTTTGTTCACGATCTTATGTGGAAAGTATTCAGTCTTTTACCATTAAGTACAATATGACTTCTGAATTTTTCATAGGCTTCTTTATTTGGAAGAGGAATTTGTATTCTGTTTGTTGAGTGTTTTTTTTTTAAAGAAAGGCTGTTGGATTTTGTCCAATGCTTTTTCTGTGTCTATTCAAATTATCATGTGATTTTTGTTCTTTATTTTATTAATATGGTGTACTAAGTTGATTGATTTTTTAATGTTAAGCCAACATTTATCCTGGGGAAATTCCCATGTGGTCATGGTCATTCTCATCCTTTTTACATATTCTGGATGTGAATTGCTAGTAATTCAGAATTTTTGTGTCAATATTCACAATGGATATCAGTCTGTAGTTTTCTTATGCTGTCTTTGTCTGGTTTTAGCACTGGGGGTAATATTGTCCTTATAGACTAAGTGGGTAAATTCCTTACCACTTTGAAAGAGTGGGGGAGATGAGTATTCTACTTTTTGAAAGAGTATGTAGGAGACGAGTATTCTTTTTTGCATAATTGGTAGAATTTGCCAGTGAAGCCACCTGGGCCTAGAATTTCCTTTGTGAGAAGTTTTCAAATTATTAACTCAATGTCTGTACTTTTAATAGATCTATTTATATTTTCTATTTCTTCCTGAGTCAATTTTAGCACTTGGCATCTTTATAGGAATTTGTCCATTTTATCCAGATTATCTAATTTGTTGGCATAGAGTTTGTTTGTTTCGTTTTGTTTTGTTTTTGAGATGGAGTTTCACTCTTGTTGCCCAGGCTGGAGTGCAATGGCACAATATTGGCTCACTGCAACCTCCATCTCCTGAGTTCAAGCGATTTTCCTGCCTCAGCCTCCTGAGTAGCTGGAATTACAGGCATGTGCCACACGCCCAGCTAATTTTTGTATTTTTAGTAGAGACAGGGTTTCTCCATGTTGGTCAGGCTGGTCTCGAACTCCCAACCTCAGGTGATCTGCCCACCTCAGCCTCCCAAAGTGCTGGAATTATAGGTGTGTGCCACCGTGCCAGGCCCGGCATACAGTCTTTATACTTTCCCTTATAATCTTTTTATTTCTGTGAGGTTGGCTTTTTATTTTAAGACTTGAGTCTTCTCTTTTTTTTTTCTTGCATAGTCTACCTAATGCTTTATATACCTAATGGTCAATTAGGTCTATTTGTGTCACAGTGTTGTTAAAATGTTCTATTTCCTTCTTAGTATTCAGCCTAGTTGTTCTATTCACTATTGAAAGGGAGATATTAAAGTTTCCAACTATTGCTGAGTTGTCTATTTCTCCCTTCTGTCAGTTTGCTTCATGTATTTTAAAATTTGTGTTGTTAGGTACAGATATGTTTATTATTATTGTGTTTTCCAGAGGGATCACTACCACTTTGTCACTTATCCTTTGTGTTTAGTAACAAGTTTTGTCTTAAAAACTATTTTTCTTGATATTGGTATAGACACTTCAGCTCTATTTTGGCTACTGTTTGCATTGTATCCCTTTTTCCATCATTTTACTTTTAATGTATTTGGTTTTCAAATCTAAACTGTATCTCTTATAGACAGAATAGAATTGGATTATATTATTTCTTCTGCCAGTCACTGTCTTTTACCTGATGTATTAATTAATCATTTATATTTAATGTAGTTACTGATAAGGTGAGATTTATGTCTGCCATTTTGCTACTTGTTTTCCACATGCTTTATGTGGTTTCTGTCCCTGTACATGCCCATTAATATCTTATTATAGTAATATATATTTCTAGTGTACAACTTTAATTTCTTTGTTGTTCCTTTTACTATGTATTTTTTTAGTTATTTTTGAGTGGTTAATAACATAGTAACAATATCTTTCAGATTAAACTAACTTAATTGTAATGGTATTCAAAAGCTTCATTTAAATATAGCTCCATTCTCCTTTCATTGTGCATCATGGAAACTATATACATTAAAAGCTCATCAACAAAGTTTTATAATTATTGCTATGTGGAGTTGTCTTTTAAATCAGAAAGTAAAGTGTTACAAACTCATGCGGATTCAAGTTACTAATAAATATCACTTAATTTCAGCCTGCAATACTTCCTTCAGTGTTTCTTGGGGAGCAGGTCATCTACCACTGAACTTTCTCAGTTTTGTTTTTGGGGTTTTTTTGAGACAGAGTCTTGCTCTGTTGCCCAGGTGGGAGTGCAGTGGTGTGATCTCAGGTCACTGCAACTTCTGCCTTGCAGGTTCAAATGATTCTCCTGCCTCAGCCTCCCACGTAGCTGGGACTACAGGTACCTGCCACCACACCCAGCTAATTTTTAGTAGAGATGGGGTTTCACCATGTCTGCCAGGCTGGTCTCAAACTCCTGACCTCAAGTGATCCTCCTGCCTCAGCCTCCCAAAGTGCTGGGATTACAGGCATGAGCCACCACACCTGGCCTCAGTTTTTTAAAATCTACAGCAGCTTTAATTTATCCTTTATATATAAAAGATAGTTTTGCTGGATATAGAATTCTTGATTGACATTCTTTTTCTTTTGGCACTTTGAATATGTCATTTCATTGCATTCTCATCTCTATGATTTTTTTATGGAAAGCTAGCTATTAATCTTATTATAGATCACTTGCATGTAATGAGTCATTTTTCTCTGTCTTCAGTATTCCTTATTTGTCTTTTAACAGTTTTGCCTATTATATGTGTAAGTGTAGATTTCTTTCAGTTTATCTAATTTGATATTCTTGGATATGAACATAAATGCTTCCATCAAAATTGGGATGTTTTGGTCATTGTTTTCCTCAAGTATTCCTTCTCCTCCTTTTTCTCATTTCTCTCATTCTTGGACTGCCTTTATGGGTAGGTTGGTGTGCTTGATGGTGTCCCATAGGTATTTATGACTGTTAATTTTTCTTCATTCTTTTATATATTTCTGTTTCCCAGGCTGCATAATCTGAATTGACCTATTTTCAAACTCATTGATTCTTTCTTCTGTAAGATTAAATCTTCTGTTGAAACCCTCTAAGAAATTTTACATTTCATTATGATAGTTTTATTTATGTTTTGATTAATTAATTAATTAATTTTGAGACAGAGTCTTGCTCTGTCATCCAGGCTGGAGTGCAATGGTGTGATCTTGGCTCACAGCAACCTCTGCCTCCCAGCTTCAAGCAATTCTTCTGCCTCAGCCTCCCAAGTAGGTGGGATTATAGACACCTGCCACCACGCCTGGCTAATTTTTTGTATTTTTAGTAGAGATGGGATTTCTCCATGTTGGCCAGGCTGGTCTTGAACTCCTAACCTCAGGTAATCCACCTGATTTGGCCTCCCAAAGTTCTGGGATTACAGGCATGAGCCACTGCACCTGGCCTCATCTTATCTTAAGCTAAAACTTAAGATAGTTTTAGCTCTACAGTTGCCATTTGATTCTTTTATTATTCTCCAGATGGAAATTAAGAGAAATAAAGTGAAAAATGGAAAATTTGGGGCAAAGTTTAATGTGGAAGGACTCTCACAATGACCTTACGGTTTTTATTCTCTGGCTTGGCCAAAATGTAAATGGAAGTGGATGTGTCAGCCTCTTTACTCCATTCTCTGGCCAACTGTCCCTTTTTTAGTCCTGAAGAGGAAGACTTATTTCCTTCCTCAGCTTACTTCTTCCTATCTGCGAGTCTATTTCCTTTGAAAATGGTAAACTTTCTGTTAGCAAATGCTAAATGTGAGCAAAAGTGTTTCTTTCCCACACTTGAATCTTCAGTGGCTAGGCCACTGCCCAGTAAATACTAGCTGCTCAACAATTTTTTATTAAATAAAATGCACTATCTTTGTGGGTACATTCCCTTATAATTTAACTTATTAAAATTTTACCACCAGAATAGTAGGTTGACAATCCCTATGAATCTACCTTTCCATCAGAGCAATAAACACAGTAGCCAAAATTGTCAAAAAATCAGTTATTTAAGAGATCTTGAAATTAACCAAAGGTTTACAGTAATCTGAGGAGAGTTTGTTCCAGAAAAACTGCTGAAAGTGGGAAAGAACAGAGGGTTTATGGCATTGTAACATAATCTAGCCCCATATCCCTCTGTCTAGCTATACAATAGACTTGAAAACTATCTGGAGAATAATACAATTCTTAAAATAAAAAGTCTACAGTATGCCTTGATCAGAACAGCAGAAAAGGACCAATATGTACAGAGGAAAAAACTATTCTATTGCTAGATTTAGGGACACTGAAATGTCAAGTATAAAAAGTAGGTGACAGGAAGCAGAAAATAAAGCTAGAAAGATAAAAAAGACAATAGGCTGGATGCTATAGGTGTCTCCTTAATAGAAAAGGGTGCTTAGGGACAGCCATGGATGGATAATTTGTTTCAGGGGTTTAACTGGCCACAGGTCTCTGTATTTCCATGATTCAGGGGGTGTATGAGTCACTCTAATTTCATTTTAAAGTGATTTCACTTTCACCAATTCAATATTGCAAAAATACACGGATTGCTTCCTTACAATTTGACAGAAAGTATTTCTGCATCTTTATTAAATGACCAGATCTTTTCCTCAGTAATAAATCGTATTAAAAGCATTGGAGAAAGTGTCAAGGCCAGCTTAATCTAAGAAACATCATCCAGCAATAACACAAGTGCTGTGATGTTACCTAAACGTCCTCAGCAGAAACTCAATTTCCTTCCTCTAGGATGTATTCAGTTTCCTTGCTTGTGGCCTTGTTCACACCCAGAGGCTGTATTACGGTCTGGTTCAAGATAAGCTGATTCCATTACTGGCCTATGGAGAACTCAATACAACGCTATAGGATGGAGACAGAAATTTACAGAAGAATGACAAAGAAATGCAAAATCTATGAACAGAAATAATTTGGGGATAAGCACAAAGCCACCAAGTCAATAATCCTTAATGTTAGAATCCATCCTGGAGGCGCAGACAGAAGGAAAGCTTTTCTCTGGCAATTGAAAATATCCAGACCCCCGCAATTCTCTTTAACTGTAAACAGTCTATATTGCAAATGTCTTCACAGACCACCAAGGTACTCTAATGCAGACAGATGCTGTCAAACCAAACTGTGGTTTCTCATTTCCCTAGAGTAAAACCCCAATTGTTAATGTCTAACAAGAGGATACAAGCTGAATTACTAAAATGTTTAATGAATGTAATTTTTAAGATATGTGGTTTTATACATTTCTAGTACTCTCCAGAGCCAACAAAATTTGCCTCTTCATTTTCTCCTTTAAGCAAAATTCACTGCAGGATAGGCCAGGTGATGCTGTGGTGACAAACAACTTCCCAAATTGCTGCAATTCACATACAAAGTTTCCTGCTCACTCACGTAATATGCCGTCCAAGATCTGCAGGGATTCTGCTTCAAGCTGTCTGCATTCTTACTCTGGGACTCTGAGATGTGGGTTGATGGAACAGCTACCATCTGAAACATTGTCAGTGATGATGACACAGGAAAGAGTGTGAAGCAAAGGTTCTCCTGGCCCTCAAAGCCTTCACCTATAAGTGATACTCTTTCCTGCTTGCATTTCGTTACCCATATGAGATATATGAATAAGCCAAATTGCAAAGAGGTCTTGGGTGTTGGAGAACAATAGCACAGCCAGCCCAGCACACACACCCTGTTACACATTGTATTCTGTGCTTCACACTGGAGCTAGAGCCAGACTTGGTCTTACCTCCACAGGTCTACAGTCTAGTGAAAATACAAACAAGAGACCCCTCTGTGCTGAGATTCCCTGCCTGCCTGGTGGGTGGGCAGAGCCAGCAGAAGGATGTCACTATGACAAGTAGCCCAGCCCAGGAAACCTCTTTGTCCCCACTGGCCTGAGATTCCCATCCTACTCCAAGAGACACTCCATAGCCCAACCTGGGAGAACCTGTTCCGTCCCTCAAACAGCACCAGCAGGGAGTGGGATTCCCAGCCCTCATAGATAAACAAAGACCAAAGTCTCTGAAATATAACTGATTTAAAACCACAGCCCACAAAAGTAATCCAGGACCTGAGTGCTTAACCTAAACAGAGTGACTGCCAGCTAAAATAAAAAAAAGAAATTAAAAAAAATTAACAGACTCCAGAGTTTCTTAATATAATAGACAAAATGTTCCGGATACAATAAAATATCACCCATTTTGCCAAGAACCAAGAAAATCACAATTTGGATAAGAAAAGACAGTCAACTGACAGCAACACTGAGATGAGCAAGATTTGGAATTATCTGATGAAGATTTTAAAACAGTTGTAATAAAAATGCTTCAACAATCAATTATAAATTCGGTTAAACAAATAAAAACAATTTTAAAAATCTCAGCAAAGAAACAGAAGTTACACAAAAGGACCAAATGGAAATTAGAGAACTAAGAAATACAATAACAGAAACTTAAAAAAAAGACAACTTCCTAGATGGGTTTAATTGTAGAATGGAGATGACAGAGGATAGAATCGCTGAACTTGAGGATATAATTTGCCTAATTTGAGTAACCAATCTGAACAATCAGAAAATATCCTTAATAAATATTAAGGATATTCTCAGGGACCTATGGAACTGTAAAATAGATCTAACATTTCTGTCATCAGAGTCTCAGATGAAGAGGAGAAAAGAGAGTGGGGCTGAAAGAAGGAGTAGACTGAAAACTTCTGAAGTTTGGCAACACACACAATCCTATGGATTCAAGAATCTGAGTGAATCCCAAATATGATAAGCCCAAGAAATCCATACCAAAGACAAAGAAAAAACATTTTGAAAGAAACTAGAGAAAAATGACAAATCACCCATAGGGGAAGAATGATGGAAATGACAGTAGATTTCTTATCTGAAACAGTGGAACCCAGAAGAAAATGGCACAACATTTTTCGTGTATTTGAAGTGAAAAGAAAATTCAACCACAGATTTTATGTCTGGGAACACTATCCTTCAGGAATGAAGAGAAAATAAAGACATTCTCAAATGAAAGAAAAATTTGTGCCTAGGAGACTTATCCTTAAAGATTGGATAATTTATCAAACAGCAAGGAACTGTAAGAGGGAATCCTGAAGCATCAGAAAAGAAGAAGAAACAACAGAAATGAAAATATGGAAGCCGGGCATGGTGGCACACGCCTGTGGTCTCAGCTACTCACAAGGCTGAGGCAGGTCAAGGCTGCGGTGAGCTATGATTGCACCACTGGACTCCAGCCTGGGTGACAGAACAGGACTGTGTCTAAAAAAATTTTTTTAAAGAAATAAAAATATGAGTACATGCAATAGACTATCCTCCTTATGATTTTTCTAAATCACATTTGATGATTGAAACAAAAACATTAACACCGTAAAATACTCAAGCCAGCCGGGCATGGTGGCTTATGCCTGTAATCCCAGCATTTTGGGAGGCTAAGGCAGGAGGATCACTTGAGCCCATGAGTTCCAGACCAATGGGGACAACACAGCAAGAACTTTTTTCCCACTAAAAACAAGCTATACAAAGAAATATATTCAAAACACAGAAACACTAACAATACAGCCGGGCGCGGTGGCTCACGTCTGCAATCCCAGCACTTTGGGAGGCCGAGGCGGGCGGATCACAAGGTCAGGAGATTGAGACCATCCTGCCTAACACGGTGAAACCCCGTCTCTACTAAAAATACAAAAAAATTAGCTGGGCGTGGTGGCGGGTGCCTGTAGTCCCAGCTACTCAGGAGGCTGAAGCAGGAGAATGGCGTGAACCCGGGAGCGGAGCTTGCAGTGAGCCGAGATCATGCCACTGCACTCCAGCCTGGGTGACAGAGCAAGACTCCGTATAAAAAACAAAACAAAACAAAAAAAACACTAACAACACATCAAGGTAGAATCCAAAACAATTATTCAAATAACCTAAGGAAGGTAAGAAAATAAACAGAGGAATGAGAACCAGAAATCAAACAGAAAACAAATAATTAAAAAGGTAGACTTAAGCACCAACATATAAATACTTATCAATATCAATAATTTAAACAGCAATAAAAAGAGATTGGCAGATATAGTTAGACTGAAAGGGTCAATGATTAAACAAAGTGGTTCATCCATACCATGAAATACTACTCAGGAATGAAAAGGAATGAATTATTGATATACACAATGACTTAATGGATCCCAGGACAATTAGGCTAAGTGAAAAAAAAATCCCAAATGTTTCATACTGTATGTTTCCATTTCCATATCATTTTTTGAAATAAAACTTTAGAATTGGAGAACAGTGGTTGCCAGAGGTTGAAGGCTGGGGTGGCAATGGGGAATCCTATGGGGAAGTGGATTTAGGTATAATAGGGCAACACAAGCCGTTCTAGTGGTGATGAAAATTTCAGTATTTTGATTGTGGTGGTGGAAACACAACCCTACACGTGATAAAATTGTGTAGAACTAAACACCATATGCACGGACATACACACATGCACAAATGAGTATAAACAAAACTGGGGAAATCTGAGATCGATGGGGGATTGTATCAATGTCAATATCTTGGTTGTGATATTACACTATAAATTTGCAAAATATTACCATTACAGAAAACTGGGAAAGTGAATATGGGATCTCTATATATTACTTCTTCTTTATTTTATTTTGTTTTGAGACAGGGTCTCACTCTTACCCACGATGGAGTGCAGTTGCATGATCACAGCTCACTGCAGCCTCAGTCTCCTGGGCTCAAGTGATCCTCCTGCCTCAGCCTCCTGAGTAGCTGGGATTATGGGCACGTGCCACTAATTCGGCTAATTTATTTTTTATTTTTTTACTTTTTATGGAGACAGGGTCTTGCTGTGTTGCCCAGGATGGTCTTGAACTCCTGGGCTCAAGGGATCCTTTTGCCTTGGCCTCCCAAAATGCTGGGATTACAGGCATGAGCTATTGTGCCCTGCCTGTATTATTTCTTATAATTGCATATGAATCTGGAATTAGATCGATACAAATTTCAATTAAAAATAATTTGCTTCCTGACTTTTTAATGATCGCCATTCTAACTGGTGTGAAATGGTGTCTCATTGTGGTTTTGATTTGCATTTCTCTAATGACCAGTGGTGATGAGCTTTTTTTCATATGTTTGTTGGCCACATAAATGTCTTCTTTTGAGAAGTGTCTGTTCATATTCTTCACTCACTTTTTGATGGGGTTGATTTTTTCTTGTAAATTTGTTTAAGTTCCTTGTAGATTCTGGATATTAGCCCTTTGTCAGATGGATAGATTGCAAAACTTTTCTCCCATTCTGTAGGCTGCCTGTTCACTCGTGATAGTTTCTTTTGCTGTGCAGAAGCTCTTTAGTTTAATTAGATCCCATTTGTCAATTTTGGCTTTTGTTGCCATTGCTTTTGATGTTTTAGGCCAATGCCTATGTGCTGAATGGTATTGCCTAGGTTTTCTTCTAGGGTTTTCATGGTTTTAGGCCTTATGTTAAGTCTTTTTTTTTTTTTTTTTTTTTTTTTGAGACAGAGTTTCACTCTTGTTGCCCAGACTAGAGTGCAATGGTGCAATCTCGGCTCACTGCAACCTCTGCCTCCCAGATTCAAGCAATTCTCCTGCCTCAGCCTCTCGAGTAGCTGGGATTACAGGCATGTGCCACCATGCCCGGCTAGTTTTGTATATTTTGTAGAGACAGGGTTTCTCCATGTTGGTCAGGCTGGTCTCAAACTCCCAACCTCAGGTGATCCACTCACCTCGGCCTCCCAAATTGCTGGGATTACGGGTGTGAGCCACCCAGCCTGGCCACATTTAAGTCTTTAATCCATTTTGAGTTAATTTTTGTATAAGGTGTAAGGAAGGCTGAAGCTGGAAGCCATCATTCTCAGCAAACTAACACAGGAACAGAAAACCAAACACTGCATGTTCTCACTCGTAAGTGGGAGTTGAACAATGAGAACACATGGACACAGGGAGGGGAACATCACACACGAGGGCCTGTCGCGGGGGTGGGGGGCTAGGGGAGGGATAACATTAGGAGAAATACCTAATGTAGATGACGGGTTGATGGGTGCAGCAAACCACCATGGCACGTGTATACCTATGTAACAAACCTGCAGGTTCTGCACATGTATCCCAGAACTTAAAGTATAATAAAAAATAATAATAATTTGCATGTTCAGAGTTTTAAAACATGAGCACACACTCATCTACACGTACAGAGTGCAGCTTGCAATCTTCCTTCTTTATTGAAACAGTAATTTCCTTGGGGAGTTCATTGCTTCTCACATTGTCCCTGCCCTCTCCCCTCTGGAGTCTGTAAAATGTTTGGACAAAGAGAGGCACTGCAGAAAGCACACCTGGACGCGTGCCTCCGCCCCTGCTTTTGTCTTCAGCTCTGATTACCGCTGCTCAGGCTCTGAGTCGGCGTGAGCTGGCTCATTAGGAGCGTTAACACCACAGCCCTGACTAAGCCCAAATTTGGCAAGTCAAGAGAAAAAGCACAGAAAAAGGAAAGCCAAAACTGCAGGGAGGCAGGACTGAGGAAGAAGGATCTGAAGCCAATGCTGCACACGGCAACAGAGCTGCTCTCACGGGTCGTTTAGAGGCCACTGGCTCTTTCCCTGGCAGCAGGAAGCAGCAGAAGGAAGAACACTGCGCGTTCAGCCACATCTTTGTGATTAATTATAATCTTCCATCTTAACCCGCAGGCTGCAGGGGTTGTATGTGCCTTTCAGGACACACAAAAGGCACAGCTCTCCCCTGCTGCCACTTAAATTCTCCAGGAGACTAAACAGGTTAGGCCAGTGACTCGGTGTGTGTGTGTATATATATATAAAACACTGGTGCAAGATCATGTCATCATGAGGGGAGTACTGTTATTAATCACCTGTATACATTTGGTAGTTTATCAGTATTGACAGACATTAAGGGTATGGTTTAGTCAATCTGTACTCTATAATTAGGGCAGCAGCCTCTTCTCTGGGGTAGACATTGGTTTAAGACAAGGGAGACCTGAGCCTGGGTAAGGGAAACCACCGTCAGGAGTATGGGCTTCTCTGGGACTACCTGGGCAACCACTCCTGCTCACCCGCCAGCAAGCAGATATGGAGAGGAGCCTCACAGACCCTTGAAGTGGTGCATCTCCCTCTAAGGGAAGAGAGGTATTCACCTCAGTTCAGAGTCTGCTGTCCCTAAGATCTTCCCTGATCTGGCTTTTCCTCCCCTTTCGGCCATCAATTTCCCCTCTGCCCAGGCTGGACCCCATGGTCAGCACTGTAAACCACTAGACCCTCTGGGGGCCTTAGAATTGTTGCTTTCCAACCCAATTCTTTTCTGCATTTTCTTGCCCAAGGATTTCTGAAGAAAGTCACAAAGCTGTGTTATTTGGATTCCCAAAATTCATGCTAACTGTAATTTGGCCCTCAGAGTGACTGCACAGTGCTCAACTTTGTTCATCTTTTCTTGACTTTCCTGTGTATTGTCTAACGGGATGGTCCCTTCAAGCCCACAGGGACATTTCTGCCCCCTCCATTTTTATCAAATTACCATCCTCTCAGTTTTGTAAAATAGTCAAGAACAGCCAAGGAAAGCTCTCTCCACTTTCTCTTCTTTCCATCTTATCTCATGCCTTCTTATCTTCCCCTTTCTCCTCTCTTGCCACTTTCCTTTGCAGTCCAACCTGCACTTGGTGGGTCATCCGCTGTCGCCCAGCATTATCAGCCTCTCCCTTTCTCCCACATTTCCCTTTCCATCTACCACCCTATCCCCCATTCCCCATACAGATCCTGTATGGCCTCTGCCTCCCCACCCCCTGACTCCCTAGCCCTTGGTGGACAATTTTCACCTCCATTGCTCTACTGAGCAACTCACCCCAGCATCTCTCAGCACCAGGTCAGTCAAAGCCATTTTCTGGCTTAGCTGCCTTTCCTTTTACCGCACTTGTCACTGTGCCCATCTGCTTCGAGGAACTCTCTCTGGCCTTGTTTCTTGGGCACTTGCCTGGCTTGCAAACTTTACTGATGATTTCAGCTCTATTTCCTCTATGATTTTATTTCTTCCTGCAGACTAATTCATGAGATCTCTGGAAGCTTCTAATCTCACTAATTTCTCCTTTTCTGTTTGAATGTTCTTAGCAAACTCATCCACTCACAGGACTTCAGGGACCACTTTGGGCCTGGCTCCTGAGTCCCCATCTCAGACTCTGGCCCCTGCTTCTGCTCTGGTCTTTTATTTGGGGGTGTTGCCAGTCATCATCATGTGGAAATCCAAGTCCTTAGTGCCCATGTCTGAACTCACCATCTTTCACCCAAACCTGCTCTTCTCTGTGAATCCCGTTTACATGCCCATTATCAAACCCGAGAGCTTCAGCACACCCTTCCCTGTGTGTCCTCAGAGTCTACCCTAGGTCTTCATCAGTCCCACCCTGGCATCTGGGACAAGGCCTGATACAGATTAGTAGATGCTCAGTACATTTATGAACAGCCTCTTTGTCCTTCCCCTCCTCATTTGACCAGCTACTAAGTCCTAGCACTAAGAGCTATTCACTACCAATAATTCACATGAACTGTATGAAGGACCCAGATAAGTTGGCAGTGATAATGGAAATTGCAAGGAGTAGCAAAGACGTACTCAAGAGCTGACCTGTGTGAACCTGAAGCCCCTGTTTCTGCTCAGCATCACAGGGGCTTGATGTGTGTAAAGCACATCCCAGGAAGCACATAGGAAACCAACTGTATTATAGTGATTTTTCTTATTTATTTTGTATCCATCTCTACTAAACTAATGCTGGACAAGGGACTCTCATGGGTTTTCTAGCCTTGCCATTTAGCAATAGTGGTCATTTACTTTCTTTCTTTGCCATAATTATATTTCTTATTTATATTTCATTTCTATTACATTCTAAGACATTCTTAAATAATAAAACAACCAAATGTCCAGACTCTCATTCAGAGTGTCTCATGTGCTGAGAAAGCTTCTTGAAGGGACTAGGAACTTGTTGCAGTTTCCATTGTGGGGTTGTGCATGTTTTTTAGACACCTGCGCAGGCACCAGCTTTAGTGGGGAAAAAAAAAAAAAAAAAGGCTTTGTAAGGGCTGTATTCAAAATGCCAGTTAACGCCCATCACCATTTAACAGCAGTTAGGAACACTAACAGTGTACCCTGCATACATTATTACCCAGTTAGATATTTTTATTGCTAGCAGATTCATGTCCCTAAAGAAGGAAAGGAAATGAGGCTTAGATGGGAACACGACAGGCACTGTGCTCAGGAACCAGGCTGTGTGTACAGGGATGCTGAGAGGCAAAGCTCCTGAAACCTTCTTTCCTAAGGGGGATCTGAATACCTCAATGCTACACAGGAAGTGGAGGATGTAGTTCTCTCTGTATTTCATTCACTCTGCAAAGACAAAAAAAAAAACAAAAAGTCTCTAGCAATTTATTGAAATTATCCTGTAATCACAAGGTTAACATCAGCAGTACCATTTTTCTGTACAAAGGAAGAAACTAGGCTTTTAGTTTTATTTTCAGTGAAATCATTAAAACACAACATTCCCCAAGGCCTTTCTACCAGTGGGATCAGCCACAGTGATGTGAAGTGCCGGGTGTCTGGCTTTGTTTGTCAGAGAACTGAGAACACTCAGGGCAAATATTAAGTCACAGATTTTCTGCAGAGTCATCGCTTGCCATGGTCTCTCACCCAGGCAGCTCTGCATTCAGGTGGAGAAGGTGGAAATTAGGGAGTCATTAGTTGGCCTCCATCAAAACAGCATCATTGGTTCACTATGTCTCCAAGTAAAGCATCTACCATGTTTCAGGAACTGGGTTTGGTACAGTGATGAACTACACGAGTAAGGCCACTAGCCTTTCAAAACTCAGAATCTAGTGAGGGGAAGTATCAATAAATTTGTTAAAACATATATAAATTAGGAAATGCACTCTGAAGGAAAATAACAGGAGCTATAAGAGAGAGAATGATAGCTGCTTTAAATCACATTCACAGGCAAGGCCTCTTTCTGATATGGATGCTGTCACACCAAGAACATGACATAGTCCCTTGTGAGGAGGAAGCCTGCGGTGGGGGGCATAAGCTCCAGACAGCTGCAGTGCAAAGGCCTGAGGCAGAAAAGGGCTCTGCACATCAGGAAGCTATACGGAAGCCGGGACCCTAAGGCAGCAGACAGCAAGGAACAGGACAGGGCTGCACGTGACCAGGGGGCAGGAACGGGGCTCTGCAGGCTTTGTTGGAGGGTCTGGATTGGAGCTGACTGGTGAGTTTTGTT
This sequence comes from Homo sapiens, assembly GCF_000001405.40. NCBI lineage: Eukaryota > Metazoa > Chordata > Mammalia > Primates > Hominidae > Homo > Homo sapiens. The sequence goes on along the minus strand of NC_000015.10, from coordinate 25,477,884 downwards.
TGTTTGGAGGATAATAAGAGTAAATGTGGAGTACTGGGGACAAACACTGGACTGCAGAGAACTGAGGAGAAAGGTGGGGAAACAGGCAACAAGCATGGGGTTTGTTTCTTCGGGAGAAGTCAACTATAAAGGAATGCAGAGAAGAGGTGTTGAGAGAGGATTCTGTTTTCAGTGGGGAAGTGAGCATACTTACAGAGTAGGGAATGACTCAATAAAAATAAATGAATATGGAGAGGATGGTTACTCTCCATGGAGCAGGGAGTATTTCTCAAGGAAGGCCCACCAAATCCTATGGGAAGTTCTCCTGGGGGGGCTAAAGACAAAAATCCCTGGGCAACACCCAGCATCAGAACACAAAGGGGGAAAGGCCCAGAAATTCTCATTTTTCACAACGTCCTTAGTGTAAAAGCTTGGTGCCACCATGGTAGTCTGAGTAGGCCAGCTTCCAACAGGGGAAGGACACTCAATCCTTTGAGACTGGAAGACAATGAGGGCAGATGTAGTACAAGAAATGGCAGATCTGTCAGTGTAGGTGAGAGCAGAGAAAAGCTCACCCCAGAGGGCAAAGAGCCCACTCTCCCAGGCCTGCAGGAACACCAAAAAACACCCCTCTGCTTCTTAGCACTTTCTAACAGTTATGCTGAACGCCAGACAAACCTGATTCTCCTGGGCCCTTCTAAGTGTGTTAATTTGAGTGATGGCTGACCATCCTCTCAAGTGGGTTACAGTAGCCCTTCCCCCTAGGTCAGCGGCACCTGAAATGGATGCCAGAAAGACTGGAACAGAAGAAAACTGAAACTTGGCAGGTGCATGGACTCAGGATTTCTCTCTTCCTCTGTCTGGGCCCTGCTTGGGATACACACAACAGACTCTTGGCTACAGACTGATTCAGATTTAACCAACTGGTGAAGAGCCTATTGATATGGGCTTAGGATTGGTTACGATTTTCTTAGGACTTGGACAGGCTTGAGTGAAAATTAATGTTCTTAGTTTCAGAAGCTGAAAGGAGCTATGGAAAGTGAGAATTAATAGTTTCCCATTATTTTTTAAACACTTCCTCCTAGTTTTTGCATATCATTAATGATTTTCTGTTGAATAACAAAATATGGAAAAATTAACATCTGACTTTCGTGCTGTCGTGATACATTGTATTTATTATTTCAATTTTTCAGAAACATTTTATAAAGAACCAAAACCAAAATAATTTTATCATAACCCTTTTTCTTGATGAGCTTATGATAAAGCACTCCTTTTCCTAGTTTTTCTTCCCAACACTAAAAATTAGCATTTAAAAATAGTCAGAGAAGGCCGGGCACAGTGACTCACGCCTATAATCCCAGCATTTTGGGAGGCCGAGGCGGGTGGATCACCTGAGATCAGGAGTTCCAGACTAGCCCAGCCAACATGGTGAAACCCTGTCTCTACTAAAAATGCAAAAATTAGCTGGGCCTGCTGGTGGGCACCTGTAATCCCAGCTACTCGGAAGGCTGAGGTAGGAGAATCGCATGAATCCAGGAGGTGGAGGCTGCAGTGAACCAAGATCATGCCATTGCACTCCAGCCTGGGGGACAAGAGCGAAACTCCACCTCAAGAAAAAAAAAAAAAGATCAGAGAATGAATAAATACTTCAAAATGAAGAGTAGCTTGTTTTCCTGCTACCTCAAATTTATGGTGTAAAATACATGCACTTAGGATTTATCTTGCAACGAATTTTGCCAGTGTTTAAGGAATTACTCCCTAGTGCCAAGAGTTCATGGCCTGGCTCACCATACAAACTTATGTCAGTCATGTAGGAAACACTGAACAGCCAATACAAATGCATCTTATCACAGCACCTTGATTACAGGTGACAGAGTGATTGCAAGCATTCTGAGTCCAACACAGTTGGGTTTGAACATTTTTTTACCGTTACAATTGTGCTCCTGGAAACTACAAGCCTTATGAAATGGAGAGATGAACAATGTAATTGGGGAATTCAGAGTAAGTTGTTTTTTTTTTTTTGTTTGTTTGTTTTTTGAGATGGGGTTTCACTCTTGTTGCCCAGGTGGGAGTGAGACAGTTTTTAGGCTCACTGCAACCTCCGCCTTCTGGGTTCAAGCAATTCTCCTGCCTCAGCCTTCTGAGTAGCTGGGATTACAGGCATGTGCCACCACGCCCAGCTAATTTTTGTATTTTTAGTAGAGACAGGGTTTCACCATGTTGGTCAGGCTGGTCTTGAACTCCTAACCTCAGGTGATCCACCTGTTTTGGCCTCCCAAAGTGCTGGGATTACAGGCATGAGCCACCGTGCCCAGCCCCCAATAAGTTTTAAAAGCCACAGATAACAGGCATGTATTTGAAAGAAAATGTAAGTTTATTTCTCAGGACAAGTGTTATTCCTCAGCACAATCATTTACAAATATTTTCCAAGGTGCAATTTTGTAATCATAGAGGCACATTGAATTGTTTTCTAAAGTCTCACTTCTCCACAGAGAAGAAACAATATCAATTCACGTGTTTTGCTGATACATGTACTATTTGATATAAAAGAACACATTTTTAACTGAGTACTTCCACTTAAAATCATTTATCATTGGAAGTTCGGGTGAAAATGTATTTCTTTTTTTGGTAAAATAAGACAAAAATTACATGGATCTAGAGCTGCCTACAGTAGTCACTAGCCACATGCAGCTATTTAAATTTAAATTACTTAAAATAAAGATCAAATTAAAAATTCAGTTCCTCAGTCTCACTCCCCACATTTTAAGTGCCCAACAGCAGTGTGTGGTGAGTGCTGCCACATTAGACAACACAGACACAGCTTCCACCCTCTCAGACAGCTCTACTGGACAATGCTGCTCTAGACACAGTGGATGTGGTCTCGTGGCTTCACCCAGGTCTGTTACCTGGAACACGTGAATTGGATCACGTTGTATAGCCTCTATCCAGTGGTCCTCAATCCTGAATGCACAATAGAGCCACCTAGGGAGATTTTAAAGGGCAGATTCTTAGGACCCACCCCTAGGGAATCTGACTTAAATTGGTCTGGAATATGGTTCAGGCATATGCATCTCTTAAAGCTCACAGATAATTCTAATATACTGCTCTAGACTTATGCAAAATTTGTGTATAGTGAAATCAAGTTCAGTAGAATATTCAGAGCAGCTGTAAGGAGGAAGGATCATCAAAAGTTTATACCAAAATTGAGAATAAAACTACTAGACAGAAAATCATCAAAGACATAAAAGAACCAAACAACACAGGACCTATTAGAACCTAATAGATGCCTAAGTACATTCCAATCAGTAATGGCAGAATACTCTCTTTTTTTTTCAAGCACACCTATGAAACATTCACCAAGTGCCTCCCGTTAGACTTGCAAATACTCCATGATCCAAGGACTTCTCAGGGCTCTTAAATGACCAGCTGTGCATTACAACAGTCTAAGGGGGCATCGGGTGCTACCTATCACACAGTCCTCTGTCAACAGCACTCTGTATCCCTGGAGCAATCCAAGAGAACACTCTGGGGGAACACTGCAGATCCTTCCAGAGGCCCCAGAACAGTCCTGTTACAGCACCAAGGCTGTCCTCATACCCCAGTATGGGGGCGACAGCCTCTGAGGAAGTGACAGGGTGGTGTTAGGCCCACGAGAAGCTACTTTCATTGATTAAATGGTAAATCACTTTTTAAACAGCAGCTATATTTCTTCTACATATCATAACAATAAACACTGAAATGGGATAGATAGGTTTTTAAAAATGTACCCACTTTATTCCTTTCCTCATTCCAGAAATAGTGTAATGGCAAATTTACACTCTTCAAGTCTGTCTGAAAATAGCACTCTCTCAGTAAAAGTGAACTTTGTCAGAAAGGGGTCCTTATGCTGATTTTGAAATTGACATTAGCATCTGTCCTGAAGGAAGTGGAAGAGAAACCTCATAAGTCCGTGGCCATATGAGAAGAACGCAGGACCCCTCAGAGCGCTCATCAAATCTGTGGGTATCACGTTAACTTTTGGTGGGTCCAGATTTAAGTTGGGTTTCACCAGTCACATTTGGAAGTTTTTATTCATAAGATCCAATGTTTAAGTCAATCAATTTTCACTTCACTTTTTGCAGGAGCTACAGCAGATGACTGTGGTCGTGTCTTTCACAGGGAGGTGTGGCTCCCTAACGCTCATGGCCATAAAAGTCCCATGGGGGCCGGTAGGTGTATGTCAGTCAGCACATCTGCCACCTTCCTTCATAGGGACCCTAGCAGTCTCCAGCTGCTTTGTATACTCTGGTGCTTATCAGAACCATAAAACCAACCAAAAACTGTGCCAAGCTTTGGGCTGCATTCCAATGGTTGCAGAAGTTCTTACTTGCTTATAAATGCATCTTCTTTCCGTTTCCTAGCAACATAACCTCACACTGAGCCTCCATCAGCCTGTGATCACAAAATGAGGCCACCCTTCTTGGTTTGAAATCAAGCCATCCCTTACCCAGGTCTTCAGCTTCAGCTTCCACCATCCAGACAAACCTATCACATACCTACCTACCCAAAAGAAGCCCCACTCCTCTCACCCCACCCCTGCCCATTATGTGACAACACCAGCCATGCCCAGCCTGCAGTCTTAGGATCCTCCTGGGTGCTCGGTGCTGTCAGAGGTGAGGACAGTGGGCTGCTCCTACTTAATGCCACCTTCAGTCTCATGACCCCCATACAATTCTGCTCTAGAGTCATCTAGTCTTTCTTTGATAGTTTTGTCAACTTCTGACCTCTCTTCTCTACCAAGTCTTCCATAAAAAGTAGCTCTGTTCATTTCCCGTCTCCTTCTAACTGTGGAAACTCAAATCCAGTCTCTGCCCCCCTGACTCAACAAAAACTAACCCCAGTGACAGAATAAAAACTCTTCTGCATAGCAACAGATGCAAACACACACTCAGGGTTCAATGGCATGGGGGCATGTTAGAGAAACATGAGGATTATTTTCCTTCACAACTTCTGGGCTCCAATTCAGCCAGATAAAATCATCCTTTTATAAAAAAACAACAACATTATTTTATTATAAAAATAGTTTCTGTTCATTCTAGAAGAAAGTCTAAAGAAGGAACTACACATTACTTGGCTTCCACTTCCCAGAGATGAATACAATTTATGCTTTTGCGTTTCTTTCATATATGGACAAAACTAGACTCACACTATGTTTCTGGCCATTTCACCTTGAGCATTTTCGTGCTGGTCTTCATCACTTTAAAAATTTTTCTCCCATTAAGAGGGTAAAATGTGCCCATACTTGCATTGAGCAGCTTATGCCATCTTTATTGGAGAGCTAGGATTGGGAAAGTGGTTGCTCTCGTATTGTATCTCATGAAAACTCAGCAAGCCCCTGGCACAGAGAACATGCTCAATAGATATTAGCTATTGTATTAGCCTGTTTTCACACTGCTGATAGAGACATACCTGAGACTGGATAATTTATAAAGAAAAAGAGGTTTAATGGACTCACAGTTCCACCTGGCTAGGGAGGCCTCACAATCATGGCAGAAGGTGAAAGGCACATCTTACATGGCAGCAGGCAAGAGAGAAAAATGAGAACCAAGTAAAAGGGGTTTCCCCTCATGAAACCATTAGCTTTCATGAGACTTATTCACTACCATGAGAACAGTATGGGGGAAACCACTCCCATGATTAAATTATCTCCCACCAGGTCCCTCCCACAACACATGGGAATTATGGGAGCTACAATTCAAGATGAGATTTGTGTGGGGACACAGCCAAACCATATCAGCTACTATTATTTAGCCAATAAATTGACCTTTAGATCTATGAGACAGTTTAAAGAGTAGTTAAACCTTAGTATTTGGGGAATATCCATGAAAATCTCTGTCCCAGCACTAGTTAGTTATCATCTCATTTTTTTTAACCCTCTGAGTAGCCTTCTCCCACCATATAAATGAGACCTCTCAAGATCATCACCTGCTTCTCTCCAGGCCGGCCAGGTGTGGGTTCCTTGGATGCTCAGCCAGGGCTCATTGTGCTTATCTGGCTTGTTTTCTGTCCTAAAGTTTCTTTTGATGACAATGATACTACCTCAAATGAGGATGGGTACGGTTTGTATAACAGAGGCTACCTAGGCTCACAGGCTTTGATAAATACCAAGGTTAGCCAATGGAATGAGGAGCCAATCTTAGAATAAACCTATGCTCTCTACCTCAGAGGATGTCTAAATGGGCTAAGTCATACATCTGAAAGTCTTGTTCACATTTGAAATCAGATTCACTCTCGAGCACACAGATCCTTCACAAGCTGCCTTCCTGATTAACTTCTCCAGTTTCATCACTTGGTAGTAGCCCACCTCCAGCCAATACCCTCTCATATCTCCACGCCTTTTCATATGCTGTTCCATCTGCCTGGAGTCTCCCTGCCCACCCACTTCCCCCGATCCCACCCCCAACAACCACTCCTGCTTTGGAACTGGCCTCCAATTCTCGCTGCCCCAGGAAGCCTCCCTACACTCTCTTGCTCCCCTAACTTCTGTCTCCTCTTTGCTCTCCCTGTGCACAGGCTACTTTCACAGCATGCAGGATTTTTATTGTATTTGAGCACATTTTTCTGTAGACTGCCTGTTTCTGAAAGATGAGAATAGTTCTTTTAAATTTTGTATTCCCAGCACCTAAAAGAGTGTCTAGTACATAGAAAAGGACCAAAACTTGTTGAATATGTGAATAGGCACACACAGTATTTTCTCTATATAGGTGGAATAGATCTTGAAGAATTGTGGCATGTATTACTTTTATAATCTGAAAACAAAATTTTAATAAAAATGTCCAATGTAACCATTTAAAATGTTTATTTTTATTTTAAATAAAATGACTATAATCTATAAACTATAATTATTTGTGACATATGCAGAGTTCATCCCTAAGTTGGATGATTGCCTTAAGTCTTATGGCATTTTTTGCACTTAGGGTTCAAAAATCTATTTTTCTAGAAACAAGCATATAAAAAATAGCATAACTAACCATCACCACATGGCAATCCAAGCACATCCCCACATAAATCTACCCTTTCTAACCTCAAATTTTCCCAATAGTCCTCACTGAAGACAAAGAAGTTTGTTCCGAAGCCTTTTTTATTTTCTGGAAGCACGCCTTTCCGACTTCCCGTTCTGCCCACTATCACCTGTTCAAGTCACATCCTGCACAGTTCTTTTCAGAAATATAAGAAGGTGTATGTTGGTGAAGTTTTTGTGTACTCAGGTAGACATTAAACTTAGCTAACTGTTCTCTTTGAGATTCTGAAAAAAGATTATTTAATTAAATCAATACCTTCTTCAAACATGCTCTAATAGACACTTCTGCTGACTCAAGGACAAAGACCAGGATGACTTTCAAATGGATTCTAGTGAAAGAGAACCCCAATGGCTCTGTTCTACAGAGGCTGACATTGACAGGTGTGACTTTTTATGGTGAGGTTCTCAGGCAGGACTGACTCTGCCAAGCCTGTTACTAGAATGTCCCTCTTGAGGCAATGATGCATTCCAGAGCAACCTTATGGCCTAGGCTGGTTCTCTTCTCTGGATCTATCAGTTCCAAGCATTATTTGACATAGTCGTTGATTTAGACAACAACATATACTCTGTGCTGACCCTGACCTTTGCAAGTCATGGGACACTATATCATTCAATCAACAGAAAACTGAAGAATGGTTTTCTGTTTCTTGCAGCTCCATTACAGATTTTAGTATGGTGTTCTTAATACATCTCTAACCTCTTCACCTCTTATTTTAAAATTCTTTGGCTGGGTGCAGTGGCTCACACCTGTAATCCCTAGCACTTTGGGAGGCCGAAGCGCATGGATCACGAGGTCAGGAGATCGAGACCATCCTGGCTAACACGGTGAAACCCCATCTCTACTAAAAATACAAACAAATTAGCCAGGCATGGTGGTGGGCACCTGTAGTCCCAGCTACTCGGGAGGCTGAGGTGGGAGAATGGCGTGAACCCAGGAGGTGGAGCTTGCAGTGAGCCGAGATCGCACCACTGTACTCCAGCCTGGGTGACAGAGCAAGACTCCATATCCAAAAAAAAATATTCTTCAGTGGCCCTGTTTGCTGTTGTTTCTTCTCCAACAGGAAAAAGTATAATCCACCAATAAAAGACACCATGGCCAGGCCAGAAGTAACAGCTCAGAGAATGTGCCCACAGACACACCCTTCCTGTAGGCTGGTCCTGTCTTCTCCACATTGGGTCTAATGGAATTATTTGGGGATTATTTGTAAGGGTGGAAGGGACATTAGACACCCCGCATTCTCTCCTGCTCTCTGTGTCAGTTGTTGGCAGTGTTCCTTGGCAGAAGATCAAGGAAATGTGTCATGTTCTTAGCTAGCTGGTTGATGTCAGGATTTATTCCCTGGGCACTGCTTTCAGTAACATGCCAAATGCAATGACCTCACTTACTATTCCCTAAAATATATGCTGGGGATTCAGATTTGATTATACACAATGGTCAAATCCAATTCAAGTGAAACTCCACATAATACAAAACATCCCTGAGACTTAGCTGTCAATCTAAACTTTCTCAAGTAATATTTGATACAATAGAATTTGAGCACAAAAAAAATAATTTGGACAATCCTTTGAGCTTTATGGGTGTTTTCAAGGCCTTTTCCATTGGCACTACCCTCAAATTTTACATTATAAAAATGACATGCTTGATTTCTTTTTTCTTCCTATTGGGGTATTTAGGATTGGATACAACATTTAGACCATATTATACTTGCCTTCTGGCACTAACACTCTAATCATTTTCTTCCTCCCAATTCTCCATCGGGAAACATGTCCACACACATGCCAGGGGCCACCTGCACAGCACTCCTCTCCTGCCTGAGCTCACGATCTTATCACAGATGCTCCCACCTCCCTCAGGCAGTCCGAAAATAATAATTCACAGTTCATAATCACACAAGCTCACTGGCTACCATTTCCACGAGGCTGCGCAAACACAGAGCCGGAGGAAACACAGAGCCTGAGGACGTGATCTGTGTGCTGGCCGGCCAGGGCCCGCCAAGATGGCGGCCTCATGCTCTCAAAACTTTTGACATGATCTCTGACTCTCTCCTTTTTGTCCAGCTGTCCCGTCAGTCACCCATACTGGCAGTTCTGTCAAAATGCTCTCTGCATTTCTTCTCTCCAACTGCATAGCTCCTTACCTGATTCAGAACCACTTCGCTTTGCTCCAGTAACATTCCCCAAATGGCTGACTCCAGGCTCTCCTTTGAACCTGCAATGAGTGCTTCTGCTTTCCTCATACCCCTGCTTTATCAAAAGTCAGGGCTTCTTTTTTTTTTCTTTCTCCAGACAGAGTCTCACTCTGTCGGCAGGCTGGAAAGCAGTGGCGCGATCTCTGCTCACTGCAACCTCCCCCTTCTGGGTTCAAGCAATTCTCCCGCCTCAGCCTCCCGAACAGCTGGGACTACAGGCACGCGCCACCACGCCCAGCTAATTTTTGTATTTTTATTAGAGACAGGGTTTCACTGTGTTGGCCAGGATGGTCTCTATCTCTTGACCTCAGGTGATACGCTTGCGTCGGCCTCTCAAAGTGCTGGGATTACAGGCGTGAGCCACCGCCCCCGGCCAAGTCAGGGCTTCTTAATTCCACTGTTTAACTGTATATTCCTCTGCTTAGACCAAGCCCACCCCAATCTGATCCAATGACTGAACCTTATATCTTTCCTGCTTTGCAGGATGCACCTCTGTTCCATCAGCCCAGCCACCTCACCACTGATCAGCCATCATTTCACTTTGTACTTAGTATCTGATGTGGACTGCATAGCTCATACGTGTATGAAACTCTCCATTCAGCTCTGGGAACTGTGCCTCTGAGAAAAAGAGTCCTCAGTGACCACTCAGCAGTTTCTCCTTAAGTCAGCCTTGCTGCTCATCTAAGTCTCATCTTTCATTCCTGCCCTGTCCTCTGCTGAGCTCTTCCCTGCTTTCAATACTAAGGCTCTGCTTTTCACTTCAATTTGGATAGCTGTATCCTTCTCCAGCCTTCCCCTAGCATTTTGGTTTCATGTTTTTCCCATGCTAGTCCCACTTCTAGCCCTTCAAGTGTTTGGAGAGCTGTCATTTGAGGCAACCAGCAAGGCAGGGCCAAGTCGTGCTCCCTGGCGGCTCCCTGAGCCATAAGTCTCTGTCCTCAGCGTGTGGACAGCACCCTTGCATCACCTGCCCAGCTCCTTGAGCTTCTCTGTCCTCTAAATCCTGACCATGCCCTGTTCTGGCACTTGCAGGGGCTACCCCCTTTACCTAGGATGAGTTGTCCTTTCTTCATCCATATCCCAATTGCAACTACACTTCAATGACAAGTCAGATCTTCTCCCAAGTGCCTACCTTCCTACAATCTGTACTCAAGCTCCCAAAGAGGGCCTTCTCCTCAAAACTGTGGCACCTGTAGTCTGTACAGACTTATTTAACACTTCGCTTATTTATTCTAAAAGGCAGTATTTGTTATGCACGTACTTGACATGAGTCACTGTGTAAGGCACCAAGGGGAAAAAAAAGGCCAATACCATCCTCCACCATGAAAAAGTATCATCCTCTGGGAGAGAATGTGGTCCAGGATAACAGATGAATAACCAGCTAAGGGAAGTTTGCCTCAGGTCAGCCTTCCTGAGCTGAGCCTGCATCTGCACCAAAAGAAGAACTTGGGCCAGCAGAGTCCGCTCCACATGCCACACCACTGCCATAACCACTGTGCTAAAAACTTTCTCAAAACTCCATCCGGGCACTCCAAAGTCTAACTTCTTTATTTTTAAGGCCTTTTTCTGTTGGCCCCAGCCTATGCTCCAGCCTCATGCCCACACTTTGCCCTCACACATCCTGCATCTCTGACCCGCAGAACCCAAGCACTCCCCAGATACACCCAGCACTGTGTGATTCTGGATCTTGCACATGCTTTGCATACAGCAGAATTTCTGGATCATCCTTCAAGATCTAAATTAAATATCCCTTTCTTGTGAAAACTCCCCAAATACTCCTGCAGAACTATTTACTCCTTACCGTCCCAAAATGACCTTTATCCACTCTCAGTCAAGTAACTACTACCACTTACCTATGAACATATTCCTCTACCATTGAACTATGAGCTCTTTGGGGACCAAGCATATGTGCTTATGTGTGGCGCCTACCACAGTTCCTTATCACAGTAGATGCTGCTTAATGGGCTAGGCCTCGCCAGAGAGGAATTGGACCTGGAAATTTTATATGCCAACTCTACTTGTGGCCAGTGCTTCCAGTATCCCTAGAGCTGTTCAGTGAAAAACATGGTCTCATTTTGAAATAAGCATGGGAACAGCACTTAATTACAGTTCTGAACTTGGAGAACTGTAATACATGAAAACATGTTAAAAGCTCTACAAAGTCACATCTTAAGAAAACTACCTATATATAACTAAATGTCGCCTACATTTATTTAATCACCCCACACCCAGTGCCTAGTAACACCCTGCAGACCACACTTTGGGAACCCCTGGGACACAGACTGTAAAGTGGCCTGGATTTGGATGATTGAGGACAAGGTTCCAGGTCTGGAGGGTCACACGTGAAGCAGGGGCCACATTCCTAGCAGTTGTCCACATGTGGAGGTCAAGATCCGTTCTGGAAGGCAGGCAAACAGGGTCATGGTGAAGCTTGGAGCAGGCATTTATGCAGCTGCTCAGGCAGGTGCACAAGGTAGCAGTTTCAGCTGCTAACCTGTGGTGCTGGCAGAGAATTTCAGGCTCTGAGAGAACTGCCAAGAGTAGCTGTGCCCCAGTTCCTGAAGTGGGTTAGAAGATGGGAATTAGTCACCAGAACATGGCAAGAACCCAGGTACTGAACCTGGGGCACAAAGTCAAAGGAAAACTGCAACAAGGTCCCATCAAGGCATGCAAGGCATTGGAGAGGTCTGGGCTCTGAGCCAGAGAGAATTTTGGCTAGGCGCCTAGGAGGCTGGGTAGGTTGTTACAGTCTAAGGACAAGCACAAATCCTCAGGTGGGTCAGTGAGGAATCCCTCCAGAGCAAGTGGTCATTTGGCTACAGCCCAAGACAGGTTGAAAAAAGCCAAAACGAAGAGTGAAAGAGTACGCTGGGGCCATTTCATGGATGCTTGGATTTTCTCCTGTCCACATGACTTGAAGGGAGAGGAACTGTACTTGTGGAGGGTGCAAAAAGGCTTGGAACACAAGAGACAATGACCCTGCACACAACAAGCTGACAGTGGGTTTTCTTTGGTTAGGCAATAAGAAGGGGAAATGGGAAGTCTGGGAGAGAGAACTGACAGAATCTGGCAACTGATTCAATGTAGAATCGAGATTTTTAAACTAGGAGGATGTCAGAAGTGTTATTATGGAAAGGGAGACCATTTGACTTAGGCATCAGGGGACCAGTCTCAGCCAGTAAAAATTGTGTGATGTTGGAAAAATCAGGCCTCACTTCTTTAGGTCTCAGTTTCTTCATCTGTAAAATGGGGCTAACAATGCTATGCACCTGACAGAGCTGCTGTGAGAATCAAAAATGTAAAGCTCTTGGCACTGTCCCTGGCACATGATAAACCCCTGCTGCTGAGAGTTTAAAACAATTTGTTGATCAAAACATCTCCATCACAAGGAGAACCTGATTAGGGAATTTAAAAAACGATATGTCTCAGTTTAGACATTTTTAGTAGAGGTAGTGGCTCTATGGAGCACACATCTGGAAATACAGGCCTGGCACGTGGGGGAGAGACTAGAGGAAAGCTAAAGGCTGGGAAATGATCTTCATCAACGTAATTGCCACAGCCTTGAAAAAAAAATGCAATCCCCATAGCAGAGACAACTGACAAAAGAAGAAAGAAAGAAATCTAACAGCAAACCACAGTGACTGTTTAAATTTCAGAGTGACAAAAGACACTAGGGACCAAGGAGGATCTCTGTGGTTAACACAGGATCAGCACAGAATCAAAGTACTTGAGGAGCTGAGATGCTGCCTGAAAAATGAGAAGCTTTTAAGAGTATTACAGGATGGACCAAGTTCTAAGAAGATCAAGACTGAGAGAGTGTAATTAGGGCTTGCCTATTAAGATGTTACTAGCAAGCTTTGGGAAAGCATTCTCAGAAAAGTGGCAGAAAACTAAAAGATTAAGAACAGGTATTTGGCAGAGAACCAAAGATTAGGCTAGTGTCTAATCTTGAGCTCGAGTCTGTTACTGAAAGACAGGAAAAAAGAAGATGGAATAGTAACTCAAGAAGGTAAAAGATCAAATTCCACCCAGCAACTTCCACTTATATCTTATTGGTTGAAACCATATCATGTGGCTACCCCTAGTTGCAAGGGAGGCTGGGAAATGTTTTTTTAAAATTTGGCACAACATGGCCATAATTAATGTTGGAGTTCTGATGGTAAGAAAGTGAAGATGACTGGGGAATTAGTATGCAAGTATGTTTCATAGTAGAATGAAGTATGTACTATAATTACATTTCAATCTTTGAAGGGACAATGTCATAAATCTTGTGCCTCTCAAAACAGAGAACTATTCTAACATCAGGAAAATAGATTCAAATATCTTACATTCTATCAGTTGCCCCAGGTATGCTCCATTTTAGATGAATTCATAATTGTAGTATGATCTTCTACAGTTTTTATGTTCCTGAAATTTTTCATTGTCTTATCTTTTTTCTTGTTGAGAAAAGACTTCCAATAATTTCCAACATTTTCCTCGTTCCACTTATTGCTTAGAGTCAATCCACTTTTTCTTGACAATATTCTTCCTAGAGCTCACTAATATCCTAACATGGCCTCATAATTTCTCTCTTCCTCCTTCCCTCCCTCCCTTTCTTTCTCCTTTCCTTGCTTTGTTATTCTCTCTCTCTCTCTCCCCGTCTCATTCTCTTTTCTCCTATTCTGAAGGACCTGAGGCCACAGAGCTGAGTTAATGACAAAATTTACATATATTGATATATTAGTTGGCTATTTTTAATAACACTCACCTACAAACTCATCATCTGAACAAAAGCCAGAACCTTTACAAAGATCACACATATATCCATCTGAACCCCTCTCATCCAGATCTGCCATCCAACACCCCATGGAAGGTAACCAGCAATCTGAATTCCCTGTGCATCATTCCCAACTATTCCATTTAATATTTTTCATCACATCTCAACATATTCTTATGCAAAAAATACAGTCTTTATTTGGGCTTTCTGAGGAAACCTGAGACAAGGATTTAAATGAAAATAGCCCATTTGGGAAGTAATAACGCCAATAGAGAAGTGGAGAGGGGATACAGGACAGGAACTACAGCTAATAAAGGGTATTCAATTATTCCAGCTATCCCAGTGGATGAATGAGGGCTGAAGATCCCATGGAAAGCACTGAGAAATGGTGCAAACACTTGTCTCAGAATTATTCTATCCAAAGAGTGGGGCAGTGGATTTATTTTTGCACTAACTCCAACAAATCACAGGTTGAGGGATGTTGCTGGAGAGTGTTAATTCCTTAGTATTCCTGGCCTGCTTTTGGGTAAAATGGTATTTCAGTGAGACCTCATTTTGCATTTTTCTCATAATAATATTCACGTATTTAATGTCACATATTTACTGCTCTCATGTGCTTCTCTTCTTAACAGTATTTTCATGTTGTCTATGTTTTCCCTTGAGTTGTGTTTTCCTCATTGATATGTAGGAGCTATTTAATACCAATTATTTATTGATCATGTACATGGCAACTATCTCCCAATTTATTTCTTAACTTTCAGGTCCTTTAAGGGGTATTTTGATGAATAAAGTTCTTTATTTTACTTTAGCCCACATTATCAATACTTCATTTTATAGTCAACAATTCTATGTTTTGTTTAAGTTACTTCTCCAAGTTTTAAAATACTGACCTATATTTTTTGTATGGGTTTCAAAGTTTTGTTTTTGAAAGTCTTTAACTTAAATGAAGTTTATTTTGTAATTAGGTGAGGTTGGGATACACCTCCAACTTCTTCCACTTGGAGAAGCATTGTTTTCAGTTCCATCTTTCAGCTCCTTTCTCTACTGATAATATGCCACCTTTTTCTTATCCCCAGTGCCAAACATATGGGAATCTATTTCTGGGCTCCCTACGTATTTCCATTGATCGGTGAACTAATACCACTACTGTCTCAATTACTCTAGTTTCATAGTAAATCCTGACAACCAGCAAGGGAAGTGTCCTTTCCTGACGAAATATTTTAACTATTTCAGCCCTTAACTCTTCCATCTAGGATTATCACATGCTATGAAAAACACTGTTGAGGTTTTGATTGGAATTATTTTCAATTTATAGATCAATTTGGAAAGAACTGAGATATTATTCTATTAAAATTCCTATTCAAGGCCAGATGAGCTATCTATTTACTTGAGCCTTGTTTAATATCTCATAATAGAGCTTTAACATTTTCCTTGTAGAGCTAATCAGGTTTGCTGTATAACAAACAACCTCAAATTTTCAGTGACTTACAAAATAAGTATTTATTACTAGATACTTAAAGTTCTCTGATGCTATTATAAAGAGTATTTTTTCTTTACATTTTCTAGTTGTTTGCTGCTGGTGTATAGAAATGCAGCTAACATTTGTATATTAATCTTATTATTTCAAATAATGATTATTTTAGACTGATTATGTAAATGACCACACCATCTGCAAATATCAGTCATGCATCATGTAACAATGGGGATGCTTTCTGAGAAACGCATTGTTAGGTGATTTTGTTGTTGTGTGAACATCATAGAGTGTGCTTACACAAACCTAGGTGGTAGAGTCTACTACACACCCAGGCTATATGGTGTAGCCTATTGCTGCTAGGCTACAAACATGTACATCATGTTACTGTACTGAATACTGTAAGCAACTGTAACACAATAGTAATTGTGTATCTAAATACCTCTAAACATAGAAAAGGTACAGTAAAAATACAGTATAAAAGATTTTTAAAATGCTACACCTGTATAGAGCACTCACATGAATGGAGCTTGTAGGACTGGAAGCTGCTCTTGGGTGACTGAGTGGTGAGTGCATGTGAAGGTGTAGGATGTTACTGTATACTATTGTAAACTTTATAAACACTGCATACTTTGGCTACACTAAATTTATCTCTAAGGTATTTTTCTTTCTTCAATAATAAATCTTAGCTTACTGTAACTTTTTTACTTTATAAACTTTAAAATTATTAAACACGTTTTCCTCTTGTAATAATACTTAGCTTAAAACACAAACACATTGTACTGCTGTACAAAAATATTTTACTTATTTATTGCCTTATTCTATCAGCTTTTTTCTATCTTTAATTAAAAATTTTTTTTTTTACTTTTTAAACTTCTTTGTTAAAAACTAAGACATAAACACACACGTTAACCTAGGCCCAAACAGGGTCAGGATCATCAATAGCACTCTCTTCTACCTCTGCATCTTGTCACACTGGCAGGTTTTCAGGGGCAATAACATGCTGGGAGCTGTCATCTCCTATGCTAACAATGGCTTCTTCTGAATACCTCCTGAAGGACCTGCCTGAGACTGTTTTACAGTTAACGTGTTTTTATAAGTAGAAAGAGTATACTGTAAAGTAATAATTAAAAGTATAGTACAGAAAGTACATAGCCCAGTAACATGGTCATTTATTGTCAAGTGTTATGATCTGTACACCACTGTATATGCAATAATTTTAAAAGATTGGCAACATGGTAGGTTTGTTTACACCAGCATCACCACAAACGCATGAGAAATATGTTGTGCTACAACTTTACCATGGCTGTGACATAATTAGACAATACAGATTTTTCAGCTTCGTTATAATCTTATGGGACTACAGTTCTATACGCAGTGCATCATTGACCAAAAAGTTATTATGTGATTATGTGGTGCATGACTTTAATGACAATTTACTTCCTCCTCTCAGTCCTTATACTTGTAATTACTTTTTCTTGTCTTGTTGCACTGGTAAGGCTGCCAAGGCAATGTTGACTAGAAGTGGTTATAATGAATACCCGTATTTCTTTTGTCATTATAAAGATATGCTTTTAATATCCCTATGCAGAATATTGCCTTTTAGATTTTTAAATAAACACATTCTATCAAGTTAAGAAATTTGCTACTTTTAAATAAATAAATACATACATATATATGTTAAATTTAATATAATACTTCTTCTGGTATAGATTAAGATGGTTATATGGCTTCCTCCTCTCCTCTTTTTATTTTTTTAAGAGATGGAGTTTCCAAAACAGAGATATAGATCAATGGAACAGAACAGAGCCCTCAGAAATAACGCTGCATATCTACAAATATCCAATCTTTGACAAACCTGACAAAAACAAGCAATGGGGAAAGGATTCCCTATTTAATAAATGGTGCTGGGAAAACTGACTAGCCATATGTAGAAAGCTGAAACTGGATCCCTTCCTTACACCTTATACAAAAATTAATTCAAGATGGATTAAAGACTTAAACGTTAGACCTGAAACCATAAACACCCTAGAAGAAAATCTAGGCATTACCATTCAGGACATAGGCATGGGCAAGAACTTCATGTCTAAAACACCAAAAGCAATGGCAACAAAAGACAAAATTGACAAATGGGATCTAATTAAACTAAAGAGCTTCTGCACAGCAAAAGAAACTACCATCAGAGTGAACAGGCAACCTACAAAATGGGAGAAAATTTTCGCAACCTACTCATCTGACAAAGGGCTGATGTCCAGAATCTACAATGAACTCAAACAAATTTACAAGAAAAAAACAACCCCATCAAAAAGTGGGTGAAGGACATGAACAGACACTTCTCAAAAGAAGACATTAATGCAGCCAAAAAACACATGAAAAAATGCTCACCATCACTGGCCATCAGAGAAATGCAAATCAAAACCACAATGAGATACCATCTCACACCAGTTAGAGTGGCAGTCATTAAAAAGTCAGGAAACAACAGGTGCTGGAGAGGATGTGGAGAAATAGGAACACTTTTACACTGTTGGTGGGACTGTAAACTAGTTCAACCATTGTGGAAGTCAGTGTGGTGATTCCTCAGGGATCTAGAACTAGAAATACCATTTGACCCAGCCATCCCATTACTGGGTATATACCCAAAGGACTATAAATCATGCTGCTATAAAGACACATGCACACGTATGTTTATTGCGGCTCTATTCACAATAGCAAAGACTTGGAACCAACCCAAATGTCCAACAATGATAGACTGGATTAAGAAAATGTGGCACATATACACCATGGAATACTATGCAGCCATAAAAAATGATGAGTTCATGTCCTTTGTAGGGACATGGATGAAATTGGAAATCATCATTCTCAGTAAACTATCGCAAGAACAAAAAACCAAACACCACATATTCTCACTCATAGGTGGGAATTGAACAATGAGAACACATGGACACAGGAAGGGGAACATCACACTCTGGGGACTGTTGTGGGGTGGGAGGAGGGGGGAGGGATAGCAGATAGCATTAAGAGATATACCTAATGCTAAATGACGAGTTAATGGGTGCAGCACACCAGCATGGCACATGTATACCTATGTAACTAACCTGCACATTGTGCACATGTACCCTAAAACTTAAAGTATAATAATAATAAAATTAAAAAAAATTAAAAAAAAAAAAGAGACGGAGTTTTGCTCTATCACCCAGGCTGAAGTGCAGTGGTGTGATTATAGCTCACTCCAGCCTCCAACTCCTGGGCTCAAGTGATCCTCCTGCCTCAGCCTCCTGAGTAGTTGGGACCACAAGTACACGCTATCATGCCCAGCTTTTTCCCCCTTTCATGTTAGTGCAGTAAACTATATTTACAGATTTAATATTAAATCATCCTTACATAGCTGAAATAAACTCAAATTAGTCATAGCATATTACCTTTTGTATCCTTTGTTAGATTTGAGTTGCTTGTATTTATTTAGGATTATTGCATCTATATCAGTGAGTAAAGTGAGCTGATAATTTTTTTATAATGTCTTTGCCACCTGTAAAACTAAGCTATAAAACCATTTGACCCTAATTTTTTTGTGTGAATATTGTTAACCATTGCTTCAATCTCTTTAATAATGATAGTCTATTTTTAAAACATTTGTTATAATTTTTATATATTTTCAAAAGTTATAAAGTTGTGTATTATTTTATTTTCTATAATTTAGTCAATATTTTTTGTTTTTAATTTACATGCATATTCTAACTATATTTACAAAAATGAGGCCTTGTAGTTTTTAAGTTTTATACAAAATGAGTTTTGTGGTTTTTATCAGTTGTTTTTAAAGCTTTCAGTATATTATGAACGGCTTCCCTGGTCTTGTTCAACACTGAAAATAATTTCATATTATGAAGAAATAAATTTAACATCTAATCATTTGGGAGCTAGACATTTCACCTCTTTACAACAGAATTTAATACTTTGAGTACCAGGAGAAGTCCCAGCTATAAACACATTGTAATCTGTTCTTTTATAGTTTCATACGTATTACGCTTTGGAAATTTTTCTTTCAACTTAACCGTTTACCTTGTTATTCTGTATTATTGAATCACCAGTTTAAAATATTTTGAAGCTATTTTGTTAAGTACACACATGTTTAAAACAGAGGTATCAACTTGGTGTGTTGAATGACCTTTTCTATCTAATAATACGAAAAAGAATAGGACTTAAGACCATAAGCACTAATAGGGTTGGAAGGGATCACTACATAATGAGAAAAGGTTGGTGTTTGACATCCTTATACTTTCATCCTTATAGTTTCAACTTTTGCATGTTCATGTTTTTTTGACTGTAGGTTTCCTTCATTTACATATATTGACAGTACTGATGTATTTGGATCTGGTTAGTGGATAATGGATCTGCCCAGATTCTTGTGGATCCTTTTCAGCCATTTTTGCTTAGCCCCCACTGTCAGGGAGTTTTTTATTTCCTACAGCTATCACTTGCCACTGTTTAAAGTAACTGTCTCAGTCTCCTAGTCCCCCAGACCCTCTGGAGGTACCCAGGAAGAATTCATCAGTGAATGATGGGGGTGAGAACATAGAAGCCATAAACACACACTCCAGAGTTGCTCTTCCAGGTCACCCGAAGCCACCACTGCATGTTCATGAGGTTGTGCCTTGCTTCGCTTTGTTCCTGTCCATGTTCTGTTTCACCCACTCCATTACCAGTTTCCCCTGGGAGCATTTCTTTAGTAAAACATTTATACAAGTATTCTCATCTTACAGTGTGCTTTTAGGGAATCTCAAAACCCATTTTTACAATCTTAGTTTACTATTTCAGTTCTCTCCCACTTTTTCCATCATTTAATTTGTCTTCCTTTTTTTTGCGGGGGAGGGGGGATATTGACATCTATGTCTCTTTCACTCCCAGTGAAGAAAGAATCTTAGTACACTTTCAAATAACTCCAACTCCTCACTCTTTATGTTGGTAATGTCGGTTTAAAATTCAGAGTTATTATAAATACATTTTTGTCTTTTTATTTAATCTTACTTTTTAGAGAAAGCAATAAATGTTACCAAAGAATGAAAAACCCAGTTCCTTCATCTATGTCCTGCAGCATCTCCTGGATTTTTTCTCTCCACTTATATAAATATTTCACCCCTAAATATTCCCAAGTCAGATCTCCGTGTGGCAAACCTCCTGAGGCCTTCCATGCCTGAGAATATCTTATCACATCTCTGAATTTGAATGACATTTTGTCTGGATATAAAATTCTAGATTCTAAGTTACCAATGTGTTGAAAATCCTACTTTGTTGTCTTTTGCATCGAGTTGATAGCAAAAGAGATCTGATATCGATGTGATTCTTGGGCTTGTGATTCATTTTGTCTCTGAAGCCTTCACATTTCTCTTTGCCTTTGTTATTAAATCATACTATAAAGAGTCTGGTTGTGATTTCCTTCTCTCGCCTCTTGGACACTCTCTATGAGTTCTTTGAAACAGAAGTCTTTCATCTTTATTTAATCTGGGAAAACTTATCTCCATTATTTCTTCAACTACTTCTTTATCTCCATTTATATTTTCTTTCTGAGACACCTATTATCTGAGTACTACCACTTCTATTCCACTCCATATCTTTTTGGCTTTGTATACAATATTTTTTTTGTTTTTTCCCTTTGCAGAGATTTTTTCAATTTGTCTTCTAATTCATTAATTCAATCCTCCAACACATCCAGTCTGCTACTCATCCAATGATAGTATTCTTTAAGTATTATTTTTGATACCTACTATTCTGCTTAGTTCATTTTAGTGTTTTAATTGTTCTTGCTTAATATTACTAATTTTGTTCCTTATCTCATTTAGTATATTTATTGGCCTAATTTACCTTTTTTGTCCTCTTAACATTTTTTGCGTTGGACAGAATCTAAAATCGAGCATGTTACTTTCAGTTTTGAAACAGCCCTTTCAAATGATTTATTTCTGTGTAGGTGCATGAACCTTTGAAGCTTTGGAGAATCTGCTGGGCTATGTGGAAGGTAAGAGCCCCAGCTTGCCTGAACCCTAGAGTGGGAGGTGAACATGCCCAGAGAGGAGGACCCTGAATGCTACAAACTACAATCACTGCCCACAGTCAGAGAGCTTTATCCCTGTCCCCAGGAAGAACCACAATTGGTTTTCTTGTAATCTTTCTACAGATGTTTGTCTTTCTTTTCACTACTGTAGTTGTAATCCTTGCTTCTCCTTCCCGCCATTGTTTATTGATAGCTCTGCCACAGTGTGGTCCAAAGAATATCTGCATTAAAGTCTCCTTTGGGTGCTTATTAAAAATGCAGTTTCCTGGTCTCTACTTCAAGCCTATTAATCCAAGCTCTCTAAGTGGAGCCAGGGAAACTGAATGTTAACAAACTATCCAGGAGAGTCATATAGATATTAACAATTCAAAATTGTCATTAGTCCTTACTGTTATTTTTGCCCTTTAGCAGCCTTATTAAGGGAGTTGGAGAACTCCTAAAGTAGGACTAAACTTAAACTGTATGACTTAAACAAGATTTTAATGTATTACTGATACCATTGATTTATGCTATGCCTAGGCCCCATTAATATAAATAAGCAGGGATGAGTCTAGTGTACTTCTTGCAAGGGGCCAAATGACTTCAATAATCTTAAATTTAAAAAAAAGTCTTAAATCCCACTAGTCCTCATCACATGCCCTCTTAGCAAACACGTATTGATAGAAAAATAAGGAAAGTCCCTCTTCACACGTGCCCACTTCCCCTTTGACCTTTGTCATGTTTGAAACAGCACAAAAGCCCTCACCAGAAGCTGAGCAGATGTCAGTGCCTTGCTTCCTATACAGCCTGCAGAACCTTGAGTTAAATAGACCTTTCTCTATAAATTACCCAGTCTCAGGTATTTGTAGCAACACAAAATGGACTACGATAGAAAGTGTGGATTATTTTGTGTTGATGAATCATACTGTCTAGTGAAAGAATATGGCCAATCAAACGCTATCAAAGGTTATAAAACTGAACTGTAATAAGGAAGCTTAGAGTACTAGGAAGCTATTTCTGTGGCAGAAGAGTCCTTTGTTCATGATCCAGAAAGCAGCAGCTTATATTCATTTCAAGAATTTTTCCAGCAGCATTATTCATTATATTCAAAAATAGGAGAAAACTGAAATGCCCATCAGCAGTAGAAAGAATACGTTATAGTATATTAGCATTATATAGCAATGAGAATAAACTCACTGTAGCTCCATGCTACAACATGGATACATCTCAAAAACAATTTTGATGAAAGAAGGTGGACACAAAAGAATACATGCTGTATGACTCCTTTTACATAATGTTCAAAAAACAAGAAAAACTAAACCATAGTATTTAGCAATTCAAACTTAGATGGCAAAAGTATAAAGAAATGTAGGGAAATTATTTTCGTAAATGTCTCCTCTAGGGAAAAGGGAGGATTAAGTCAAGCTCATCCATCACTCCATACTGGCCCTTCCTCGCCAGTGATCTCACATGTTTATTCCAACAAGAGAGCTGGAGAAACTGTGTTTGTGCTATATCAACAATTCTCAGTGAATGTCTTGTTGACTGGGAAAGCAATGTGGGTCCTACTTTTCTTTCTTTCATTTTGTAAAACCATTTCTGATGAGCATGAATGAGTCCTCCATTTCTTAAGTAACTGACAGCACAGGTTTGATATCAGCAATCAAAGATCTGCCAGGCCTTGTTTATCATGCCTCACCTCTGTTGCCACATGTTTCCCAGGGATCGATTGAATGTGACTATGAGTAGCTCTCCATGTACACCATCTAGTGTCACTTCTGGGACTTGGGGGTTTCTGACTTACAGTCCTCTTCCCTATCATTTATTTACATATTCAGTAAATAATCATGAACACCTACCTTATGCCAGACAGTGTTCTGGGTGCTAAATATATAGTAGTAGAAGAGATAAAGTTTATGTTTTCATAGAACTTTCAATTCAGTACATGAGATGGAAAGGTGGACGGTGCCTGTAGTCCCAGCTACCCGGGAGGCTGAAGTGAGAGGACTGCTTGAGCCCAGGAATTTGAGACCAGCCTGGACAACGTAGTGAGACCCTGTCTCTATTAAAGTTTTTTTAAATTACTGATATAATTTAAGGTAGTGGTGAGTACTAGAAAAAATGTACCAGGAGAAAAAAACAGAAGCAAAAGTACATGTGGCCAATACTATTTTGATATGTAGAGGCCAGGAAAAGCTTCTCTGAAGAGGTAAACACAAAGTTGAAGGATGTACCATCACAGAGAGATGGAAGTTTTCCATAATTTCCTTGCATATACTATGGTGTGACTTCATTTTTTCACCCACGTCTGTTAGGCTGCTCAGATAAACTGCTTTTTTTTTAAACGAGATCTAAAGACCACGTACATTCTTCATAGTCCCTGAATTAAGTATTACCCAAACCATAGCTCATGGGCCACCTACCTGTTAATTTAATGTCTATGTATGCCTTCACTCTACAATGGCAGGCTTAAGCAGCTGGGACAGAGACCACATAACCCAGAAAGCCTAAAACTTTTATTCTCTGGCCCTTTACAGCAGCAGTCCCTAAACTTTTTGGCACCAGGGACTGGTTTCCCAGAAGACAATTTTTCCTCCTACTGGGGGTGAGGGATGGTTTCAGGATGATTCAAGCGCATTACTCTTACTGTGTACTTTATTTCTATTATTATTACATTGTAACATATAAGGAAATAATTATACAGTTCACCATAATGTAGAATCAGTGGGAGCCATGAGCTTGTTTTCCTGAAACTAGACAGTCCCATCTAGGGGTGATGGGAGACGTGACAGATCATCAGGCATTAGATTCTCATAAGGAGTGTGCAACCTAGATCCCTTGCATGTGCAGTTCACAATAGGGTTCGTGCTCCTATGAGAATCTAATGCTGCCACTGATCTGACAGGAGGCGGAGCTCAGTAATGTGAGTGATGGGCAGCAGCTGTAAATACAGATGAAACTTCCTTGACTTCCCTGCCCTCGCCTCCTGCTGTGCAGCAATTTCCAACAGGCCACGACAGGGGTTGGGGACCCCTGCTTTACAGGAAATAATGTGCTGATCCCTGGTTTAGATAATTGATTTTGAAATTTGATTCTATTTAAAACTATTAGTTTTCCTGTAAGCTCTTCTTTAGCTGCATTTAACTGGTTTTAATATGATATACTGCAGTATCATTCGATTCAAACTATTTTCTAAGATTCGAAGATTTGCTGTAACTTATCCTTTTACCAATGGGTTATTTAGAAGTGTGCTGCTTAATTGCTAAGCTATTGGAAATTTGTCTACTTACCTTTCTGTTCTTAATTGTCAGTTTAAATTCACTGTGATGTGGTCAGAGAATACAACCTAAATGTTATCAATCATTTGAAAAAATTTTAGGACTTAAATTAGGGGCCAGCATACAGTATACTTTGGTAACTGTTCCCTGTGTAAATAAAAAGAAAATCTGATCTAGAACTGTTAACTGTGGTATCTTACATAGTCAACTTGATTAATTTAATGAATCATGTTGTTCAAATATTTTATATTCCTGTTGATGCTTTGACAGCTGTTCTAATACTGAGAAGTGTGTGTGAAAATCTCCAACTATTATTATATGATTTTGATGTTTCCTCATCTAATTCTGTTACACTTTGAAATATAAATTTTGAAGCTATTAGGTGCATATAGGTGAAATATTACATACAGAATATTTTATGATTTTTCTGTTTAATTGACAGTTTTACTATTACAAAATGTTCTTGTGTTCTTCTAGTGATTTTTCTTGCTTTAAAGTCTATTAACTTGATATTATATAATAATCAACTTTCTTATAGCTATTGTTTGCATGTTATAACGTCTATCCTTTTACTCTCCATTTCACTGTGTTCTTATATTTAAACTGCCTTTCTTATCAATAGCACATACTTGAGTCTTGTTTTTGTATGCAGTGTGACAATCTGTCTTTAATTGAAATGTTTAGTTATACATATACAATATAACAAATAAAATAGATGGATTTATATCTGCAGTCTTGCTATTTATTTTCTATTAACTCCATCTATTTTCATTTCATATTTTTTCTCTTCTGCCTTCTTTTGAATAATCAGCTTTTTTGCTATTCTATTATTCTCCTCTATTAGCTATTCTTGAATATTTTAATAATTAGCTAGAGATTCAATACAAACTCCTTATGTTCTACAGTCTACCTTAAGCTAGTTGTTTTTACCACCTCCTGAGGGTGCAAGAACTTTACAACACATGTAATCAATTCACTGTCCTCAGTCTTTGTGCTATTGC
Source organism: Homo sapiens (assembly GCF_000001405.40). Taxonomy (NCBI): domain Eukaryota; kingdom Metazoa; phylum Chordata; class Mammalia; order Primates; family Hominidae; genus Homo; species Homo sapiens. The sequence goes on along the minus strand of NC_000015.10, from coordinate 25,452,128 downwards.
TGGCATATATTTTTACTTCTCCATGTTATATATTTCACAATACATCATAATTATTTTTAACAGTTATTTGTTTATATTTTTCAGATATATTTACCCAATCCAGTGCTCTTTATTTCTCTTTCTTGCAGTTTTATGCTTTCATCTGGGATAACTTTCTTTCAGCCTGAAGAGTCTATTTTAAAATTTTTTCTAGAAAAAATCTGCTGGCCATGACTATTTTCAACTTATTTTTGTCTAAAACATTTTTATTTTACATTTATTTATGAAGAATATTTTCTCTGAGTATAAAATGTTAGGTTGGCTGCTTTTTTTATTTCAGGTTTCAGAGATGCCTTTCTATTTTCTCCTGGCACCTATAATTTCTGATAAAAAGTCAGCTGTAAGTTTTATTGTTGTTCCTTTAAAGGTTATGTGTCTCATTTCTCTGACCATATTTAGGGTCATCTCATTCTCTTTGGTTTTCAGCAGTCTGACTGTGGTGTGCTTCAGTGGGGTTTTCTTTTACTCTACGTAAGATTCACCAGTCTGCAGTCTGTGAGTTGATAGCCATTCAACAAAAGAAAAGAACAGCAGCTACCATTGAAATCTCCACCTGATTAGACTTACAATAATCCACACTGTCATTCTCTAATATCCATCTGATTTTTTGCACAAGCCAAACAACCAAGTTAAGTGGGAGAGGTAGTAGAAAGCAACACCCCTATGTCTTCCCAATTTTAGGTGGTGGCACTAAATCACTAATATTCTCCTTGAGGCATGGTATTGCTTTTGGTTTATTTTTTTCAAATAGAGGACTACGTTCATAGGTTTATATCACGAGAGTCCCTCATTCTATGGGTCAGTGGAACAACTGAGGATCTTGTCAGATAACAAGTATGTCTATTACAACTCACATTCAGGATCTGAGGAATTAACAGGATGGCTCATGGACCTACTGGACCCATTGAGAAATGATGTCAACTGATGTTCACAAGCCCTCATCAGGCTTGAAGGACCAGAGTGTCTTTATGGTCGCCAGGAATTATTACATGTTAGCTCAGTGACAGTGCCCCCAAATCCCTGAAAGATCTGGATATTTCCTTTCCCTTGGTGAACAGTTATTCTGCTAAACGATCGCGTAGCTCCTTCAGGAGGGCTAGAAGGAAAATATACAGCATGAACTTATTGGGTTATCCTCAGCTGTACCCAGACTCACCTTCACTCACATGACTCTGTGTCTATGAACTGACTGAGGTTTGGGATTTGGCAAGGGGCTGTGAATCTCTATTGAGGTGGCTTAAGTCAAGCTTTGGTTTACTCAGAACTAGAATTGTACTTATCTAAAAGGACACAGTAAACTGATTACCTATTTCAGTCCTTGGGACTTCATGACCAATTCACCTGTCAAAGATCCCTGTAGGCTAAACTATTCAGATTGCTACTCTAGCTCTTTTGTGCAAGATTTCACCTCCTAAATTAGACTGCACGTGGCCTGCTTAATGACTTGAACCACAATCTCTTAAATCAAAGTCTTTCCTTCAAAAGCTACTTTAGTCCAGCTGACTACAAAAGATCATTTAACTGTTTGGTCACTGTGTGCCATGGACCACTGTCCCACTGCCAGCACTACTTAGATACTTACTGTTTTCAAATCCATTTCAGACACTAGTCCCAGATTTCTATTTCTTTAAGGATCTTTTGTCATCAATTCTGTGTCAATAATACTTGTTGGTTGGAGACAACAGAATCCATAGTAACTAGTCTAGGCAGGCATGTCAGATGATCCTAGATGACCCTTATGCTCAAGTATTTGCCGGAAGGACTCACAGGACTCAGAAAAGCTCTTACACTCATGGTTATAGTTCATTACAGCAAATGGATACAGATTAAAATCAGCAAAGGGAAAAGGTACATGGGATGAAATCCAGGAGAAACTAGGTCCAGGCTTCCAGATATCTTCTCTGCTGGAGTCACATGGAGATACACTTAATTGTCTCTGCAATAATGTGTAACACATATGAAGTAGCTTCCTGGTTGGCAAGACTTCATAAATTTTGCCATTATTTGAAGATAACCCACACCTTGGTGTCCAGGGTTTTCACAGGTATTAGTGGTCAGTCACATAGGCATATAGTACCTGTATGACTTCTATTCCAGCCACCGCAAACTTCTCCTCTCCCTGCTGGCTCCTGAGCCAAAAACAGGCATTTACCATAAATCACTTTGTTAGGATGAACTTATCTGGCCAAACTGATACAGCATGACCCACAGCCTCAGGTATATAAAACACTCTCATCAGGCAGAATGTTTCAGGGTCTCAGAGGTTAGTCAGGGGCTAGTCAAGGACCAATCCTGAAGGCAGGCCTTTTTTTTTTTTTTTTTTTTTTTTTGAGACGGGGTCTTGCTCTGTCGCCCAGGCTGGAGTGCAGTGGCATGATCTCAGCTCACTGCAAGCTCTGCCTCCCAGGTTCACGCCATTCTCCTGCCTCAGCCTCCTGAGTAGCTGGGACTACAGGCACCCGCCACCATGCCCAGCTAATTTTTTGTATTTTTAGTAGAGACTGGGTTTCACCGTATTAGCCAGGATGGTCTCGATCTCCTGACCTGGTGTTCCACCTGCCTCAGCCTCCCAAAGTGCTGGGATTACAGGCGTGAGCCACCATGCCCAGCCAAGGCAGGCCTTTTTTTGGAACCTACAGGGTTTGACCAACCCAGGACTGCTGAGTTAACCCTTTCCTGTGCAGCAAGAAAAGATTTATTTAAAAAAAAAATGGAAAATCACAGTTTAATCAGAAGGGATGAAAAGACAGCTTCTAGCTTGTATTTCTGAGAACATTTCCCAGAACCATATCATAAAACTGGCCTGCTAAGGAAGATGTCTCTGCTAACCCAGAACAAGGTTAAATTGCATGTGGTTTATGGTTATATATGGGAATGCCCTGGTTCTTATGGAAAAGATACAGGGATAAAGTGTTACAAAGTCTGTAACTTATGACAAATGGGTCCATAGCTGGAGATAACAGATAAATGGATAGATAGAACAAATATGGCCAGATATAAACTACCAGGACATCTAGCTAAAGAAAATATGGTTATTGATTATACTATGCTCTAAACTTTTCTTTAGATTTAAAAAATGACCAAGAAATAAGGAAGTACAAAAAACTATGGCATGTTTCATATGAGAAGTGTTTGACATAAAAGGGAAATTGGGAGGCTGGGTGTGGGGCTCACGCCTGTAATCTTAGCACTTTGGGAGGCTGAAGTGGGAGGATCGCTTGAGCCCAGGAGTTCAAGACCAGTCTGGGTAACATAGTGAAACCTAATCTCTACTTAAATATATATATATAAAATAAATTGAAAAAAAGAGAGAAATAGGAAAAAAGCTACTGAGAACTAGATAGTAGGTTTAGTAGGTTTGAAAGTCATGAAGAAGTTCAGACTGAAGGACTTCTAGATGTGAGGAGATTACAATCAGGTAATAAAATATAGTACAGTTGACACTTGGCACACATAGAAATGCCACAGAAATATGGAAAAAAAGGAAAATATGATTGCCTTTGGGTGTTAACCTGTTGGCTTATTCACATATGGACCAAAGCAGAGTTTGTTATAAGTCACTTAAAAAAAAGAGAAATGGCTTCCAGGCCTGCAAGATATAATGGAAGCCTGACATTTCTAAAGAAAAGGGCTAGTCATCAATGAAAACACTGGATAAAATCAGACTAGGAAAGTCTGGCTGTAACTTCCTAGGGGATATTTGCCCAAAAGCTTCAACATACTCTCATTCCCGTCAATGATGCTTCACGGAAGTTGAATGTATCAGGTATCAATTGTCCAGTTCTTTCAGTTCCTGTTCTGTCACTTCCCTTTGTCTAGATTTCAAGCTTCCTAAGAAGCTTCTGTTATGTGGGGACCCTGTGTGTCTTCTTACAGGGAAAAAATGCTCTGGTCACCTGCATACCAGTCCTTTCCAGCATTCCAGTCCCTCTGATGGGTACTTTTCAATTTAAATCAATAAACTGGCATTCCGATTTTATAATTCCATCTCTTGAGTTTGTTAAATGTGAGTTTGATTGGTGGGCTGGCTTAAATCAGTTTCTAAGCCTGCAATCATGAGGGCCAGACCTGAACTCTAGTCAACTCACCAAGTTTGGCTCGTTTGTTCATTTGTGTGGCAAATGCGATTGGTGCCCTGGATCTTCCTACTGTATTGTATGCCAGTCCTAGTTTCAATTGCCAGCTCCTGCATTTCTTGCTTAGGGCTCTCTCTGACCAGCTGGAGCTGCTGTGTCCCAACCACAGCAAGCCAGCCAGATGAGGATAACAACATTATACACTCACAGGATAATTGTGAAGTGTGTGTTCTACACTGGCTCCCAGAGTTCTTCAACATAAGCAAATTCCAGTTGCCCAAAGTGGACACTTGATTGATAATACACCCTTTTTGGTTTCCTCCCTTCCGTAACTCACTTACTTTCTTACCAGTGTTTCTAGGGATCACCTCCCAAATAAATTACTTGCACTGAAATCATTGTCTCAAGGTCTGTTTTCGTGAGAAACACAAACTAAGACAACTTCGTCCATTCATTCATCATTTATTGAGCTTAATCAATTATTAATAAGTCCTTAAGGCACAAAATAAGTCCTTAGCAACATGTTATCTCTTTTCTCATCACAGTATTATCCCCTTTACAAATGAAGAAATCAAGGTTGAAATAAATTAAGTAGCTGACTCAGTATCACATAATCAGGACAGAGTGCTGGAAAGGACTGATGGCAGATGAAGATGGCTGAGACTCCCAGATGCCCAGTCTTGAATGGAGAGTATAAAAAATGAGTTTTCTGCTGGGGTAATAATTTGAGTATATTATAAGATTGCTACGAAGCAATGAAAAAAGGGATTATTGAATGAGGAAACATTTCAATGAAATATATTTTTGAAATTTTTGTTTTCTAGGAAAGCAACATGCTACAATAAGAGCGCACACACATACACCTGTGGGTTTAAATCCTAGCACTACTAGTTTTTAGCTGTAAGACATGGGCAAGTTGCTTACTTACTCTAAGCTCAATTTTCTAATCCATAAAGTATATAATATCCAAGAATGTTGTATGAATTAATGAGATTTATTTAAACAACTGGCACCTAATGAGTGTACAAATTTAATTTGCAGAAATGTACTGTCCTTTCAGGAACTTTGTGGTAAGTACTGAAATATGGATGCAATCAGTACTATGCTTAGCAGTAACTTAAAAAAAGAAGCAATATAAAATTTGTATGTCATAAATGATAACTATATTACTATCTTTAAAAATCTTGGTCTTTCCATATGTAGTATGCTAATTTAATGTTACAAAATAAAAGTAAAATCAATAATTTTAAAAAGTCAGACTTTAAGTATAAAATTTTGTTTGAAGCAATGCCAAAGAATCCACATAGTAACATTTATCATTTTGATAACAGAATTTTGTGTTCTGTATGTGGGCCTCAAGCAGTACTAAAACAAAATAGTGTATCAATTATAAATGATACTCATGATTCTTCCCTAGTCAGATGTTTTTTTCAGTTGAGAGATTCTGAAGAAAAACAATAAGTGTAGAATGTCTGTACCATCTTTAATACTAAGATTTAATTGAATCAATGCATTTCCTTAGATTTAAAAATCATTTTGTTAGAGTCTGTGTTAGAATCAGTATGATACGTATTTAAAATGGAATTAGAGATATGGACTGTAGTAGGAATGACTTCAAATAACTCAAATGATGCGCATGTCAGAAAGAAACAATTTCTAAGGGCTGCTTCATTGATTCAAGTGGAACTGTTTTATTCAGAACAGCTCAGATTAGCAGCAGCAGCAGCTGGTGTTCAATGAAATGCTTCCCTTTTCCACCTACTCTCCAGCTGGGTTAAGACAGGCACAAAGAGATTGGGATGACCAAGGTCAAAGCATGATTTGATAGACTTCCAGGTTTTTGCTCCAGTAACTTCTTGTGTAGTCTTGGCTATAGAGGCAATTCGTGAAATTGGTGGTTGAAAAAGTCATAGCTTTAGAAGGACTTCATAGATCATCTTGTTCAATATCTTAATTTTATACTTCATATACCACGGTTCTAATTAAAATACTTTATTGTTGCATATTTATTGGAATTGACAAGAAGTTAAGATTTCTTACATTTATTTCATTTGCCTGATTTTTCTGTTCCCACTGAATTGTATAAGCAGGCACTACTGCACTTTGTATCTCTACTTGACATAGCTGAAAAATGAAACATTCAAAGATACACTACTTTATTACATGTTAGCTCAGTAAAGGGGCCCTCTATTAGACATGCTGGTCTCAGTTCTTAACTTTTACACTCACAAAGCCCGATTCACTCATTCAAACCTTTTTTGAGGAGTTACCAGGTTTTAGCCATTGAGATAGATACTGGGAACACAAGAAGTCAAGGGTGCTCTCCTCTCTCAAGAAGCTTAAGAGAAGACAGAAGTGCTAAGCACATACATCGAGTATGCGGAGGGCACACAGAGGTATAAGCAATGACCCTCCTTGAGTAGATCTGAAAGGCTTCTCAGAGGAGGAGCTTGAACTTGTCTAAAAGGTAGAATAAACTGCATGCAAAAGAGCTCCAAATGACTCTCAAGCTTAAGTATTGCCTAAGCAATACATTCATGTGGGAAGTGGGAGATGGGGCTGGAATGGAGGCAGAGGCCACATCCAATGGGCCGTTTTTGGAGTTTAGACATTATTCAGAAGGCCATGGTGAGCCACTGATAGAGTTAAGAAAGGCAGCAAGGTGATAACACATGTTTCTTAAGAAAACATACTGTGATGAGGACATTTGGCAGGAAAGTAGTATAATATGAACCAGCATTCTCTGAATGTTGGGGTTAAAATAGTGAATGAGGTAATATGATCTTACCCTTCTGGAACTTACAGTCTAGTTCAGAAACACAACGGGTCTAAACACTAAGGGTCTAAATTAAGGTAGTAGCAGTGGAAATATACAGAAGGAAATGGATGTTATGATAATGATGATGATGATATTGCTTATTACCATTTATTGAACACCTCCCATGTGTCAGGCACTAAACACCTCATATGCACTATCTTTGTCCATTCTCCACACAGTAGCTAGAGTTATTCTATGGATCTTGTCATAACTCTCTCAAACCCTTCCAGAGGCTTCCCACCTCATTCAGCACAAATACCTAAGTTCTTAGGAAAAGCTAAAAAGTCCTCCAGGCTGTGACCCACTGTGACTTCTCTGAGCTCATCTTCAACTCCTCCTTTCTCTCTCTAGCCACAACGCCTTGCTACTGTTCCTAGATGACTCTAGGCACCTTTCTGCTTCAGGGCCCCCTCTGTCTAGAAGGTTGTTTCCTTTGTATTTCCACAGTTCATTCCTCACTTCTGTCAAGCCTCTGATTAAACGAATTCTTTTCAATAAGATCTTCCCTGGCCACTCGGCATGACGGAACTCCTGTAGCACTCCCTATTCCCTTTGCCTTGCTTTGTATTTCTCCTTAACATATCATATTCTGACATAACACATATGTGTTGGTTTTCTTCCTCCATGGATCACAAACTCCATGAAGGTAGACTGTTTTTGTTCATTGCTGTATTCTCAGCACTGATAACAGTGCTCGCACATATCCATTCAATAAATATGTACTGAATAGATGAATGAAGGATTACAATGGTCCTATGAGGATGGTACTATTATTTTTTCCCACTTTCCTAAAGAGGAAACAGACACCAATTGAGGTACTCAAGGTTGTATTTCTGGTAACTGGCAGAACTGGGATTTGCGTGGGGCGGGGGGAAGCCTGCCTTTGTTGAGTTGTACTATGTGCCCAGCATTATTCTAAGAACTTTATGTACATTAACACTTAATCCCTACACCTCCATTTTATAGATGAGGAAACTAAATCAGAAAGGGGTTTACAATCTTGCCTGGTATCTGTGCACTTGCCAGTAAGTTGGGGGCCTGTGCTCTCAGCTACTTTGCTACACTAATTCTAAAGCCAATTCTTTAGAGAGATACAACTTTGCCTCTTAATTGCCAGGAGAGTGAGGGAAAGGAAGAAATCCAGGATTGCTACCATTATTATGACTGTGGACCGCCATAGATGGTAGAGTCACCAATCAAGTCAAAGAATGTAAGATGAGTTGGTTTCATTCTCCTCTAACTCTAGACTTCCACATCCAACTGCCTCCTGATATCTTTGCTTGGATATTAAGACACAAGGTCAGCTGCAGTTAAAGGGATTTAGAATAACCATGGCAGATCATAGAAGTTAGTAGCTGTCTTACATCAGAGTTGACCTGGTACACAGGACCTGCCCAATGAAGTCCTCAGGGCCCCAACTTGTTGCTCTGCAATCCCTAGAATGTTTCCCAGTGTCTTAGTCTTGTTTATGCTGCTGTAACAAAATACCTGAAACTGGGAAATTTGTGAAGAACAGAAATATACTTTTTCACAGTTCTAAAGGCTGGGAAGTACAAGCTCAAGACCCCCAGCAGGTTTAGTGTCTGGTGAGGGCTGCAGTTTCCAAGGTGGGACCTTACTGCTATATCCTCTGGAGGGGGTGAATGCTGTGTCCTCGTGTGGCTAAAGGGATGGAAGGGCAAAAGAAGGCCTAAGCTAGTTCCCTCCAGTCCTTTTACAAGGTATTAATCCATCCATGAGGCAGGGCCCTCATGATTTCATCAGCTGTTAGTATCATCACAATGGGGATTAAGTTTCAACATGAATTTTGAAGGGGACACCATCATTGAAACCACAGCATCTTTCAACATGGTTTACTACCCCAACTATTTAATACATACATTCATCAGAAAAGGACAAAAGAAAGGGCAAGTGACACCCAATTTCTTTTAGAAAATGATCTGGAAGTTGCATACATAATTTCTGCTCACATCCTACTGGCCAGAACTTAAGAGATATGGCCACACTTAAGGGTGTATTATAGGCAACCATGTGTCTGGCTAGATGTTCTATTATCATGGATAAAGAGCAGAATGCATAAGAGTCAGCTAGGAAGCAGTTTGTACAACAGATATCCAACAGGTATCTCAAATTTAACATTACCAAAACTAAATTCCTGCTTGTTCTCCCAAAACCTGCTCCTTTGCACTGTTATCACATCTCAGTCCATGGTGGAAGACAGAACAAACTCAGGGGTTTGATGTTAATCATGTTGAGCTTGAGGTGCCTGTAGAACACCCAGTACAGGTTTCCAATAAGGGGTTGAAGATACTGTGTCTGATGCTTCTGACTGAGATCTGTGTTCAAGATTCAGACTTGATTCCTGACTGAAATAAGTGATAGAAGAGTATACGTAAATGGTACTGTCAAAGATTATAACATGGTAGGCAGAGAACCAAGAATGGGGAGGGAGGATTCTGCACAGGAGACCTGAGAAAGAGTGGCCTAAGACAAGGCAGAAGAGCAGAGAATGTAAGGTGACAGAACCAAGGGAGCAGTTTCCAGGAGGCAGTGGTCAGCAGTGTGGAAGGCTGCAGAGAGATCAGATGTTATGAAAACTGAGAAGCAACCTTTCAATTTGGCCATTATGCCACAGTGAAATTGATACAAGCAATGTATACAGTAAAATGGAGGGAGCTGCTAAATTTCTGTAGTTGAAGAGGAATTTGGAAGGTAATAGCAATCTAAGTATAGACAGCTTTTCTAAATAGAAGGGACAAAGTAGAGGGAGAATTTATGAACAGGAGTGGGAATATTTAAGGGAGTAAGAGTCTTGAGTCAATCTCTCTTCCCTCAAGAAATAAAAATTACCTGTAGAAAGGACAGAAGGATGGCTTCTACCTTAAGACTCGAGGTCAGAAAGAATGCAAATTTAGACAGGTCTGCAGGCATAAGGGTGGGGGTATGTAGGAGTTCATGCCTGATGTGTGCAGTACTAAACAATGATACATATACTACTACTACTACCACTACTAAGCACTAACATTTACTGAGCACTTATCATATGCCAGTGTTCTTCATGGAGCTAAGTTTGCTTAACAGTATTTCTTAAATAATGGGAGCTATTCATATATTGAAAGCTTAGTGTTTTTCAGAAGTTGAGTGTGTAACATTTGGATGTGGCCTAAAAATAGCAACCGTGACTTCTATCCCACCATATCTGAATTTTGTCTCTTCCATGCTCGACTTATTTCTGATCCTGGGGCATGCTGAGTAGTAAAAAAAGTTGTTCTTGCATTTTGATTCATCTGTTATGACTGGCATCAATAAGAAATCTTCAGCAATAAAACAGCTCTGTCAAAAAACAACTTCACCAGCAATTTAGGGCAAAATGTTTCCTTTAAAAAAAAGTTTGTTGGCTGGGCATGGTGGATCATGCCTGTAATCCCAGCACTTTGGGAGGCCGAGGCGGGCGGATCACGAGGTCAGGAGATCGAGCCCATCCTGGCTAACACGGTGAAACCCCGTCTCTACTAAAAATACAAAAAATTAGCCAGGCGTGGTGGCGGGTGCCTGTAGTCCCAGCTACTTGGGAGGCTGAGGCAGGAGAATGGCATGAACCTGGGAGGTGGAGCTTGCAATGAGCCAAGATTGCGCCACTGCACTCCAGCATGGGCGACGGAGCAAGACTCTGTCTCAAAAAAATAATAATAATAATAAAATAAAAAGTTTGTTAGTATTAGCAGATACATATTACTAGGTACCCCCCATGCTCAATGAAGTGTTGGGTTACTCTGAAAAAGTGTCCAATCTTACAGGTGTGACTTCCTCTGGAACTGCAAGTTCTTGAGGGCAGGGATAGAGATTGTTCATCTTTTATTGTTTCCCAAGGTCTGGCACATAAATAGTAGTTCAAGTAGTCCAACATATGACACATAAATAGTTCTGGGTAAACATTAGCTCAAAGTTTGCTCAAGGCATTGATGCAGATGCTTATAAAATTAAATTGCTCTTTTTACTGTATACCTGAAATGAGAAAATTATTAGAAACTACTGGGTCTCATTTGGACTAGAAAAGTCTGAAGAAATCACTGTTCACTTAGTAGATACAAAGTTGTTTTTCTGGGAAAAACACACCTAAAAAAAAAAAAACACATGGGTCTGATATGGGAGAATTTTTTTATTTTTCATATAAACAGGTGTATAGGGAAGTGGAACACTGCTAGTATCTTAAGGATTCCTGAAAGTATTTATGTTGGTAAGTTTGATGAGCAAACATTTCTAAATTTGAAAATGGATAAAACAAAAAGCACAGTGAAATCTTGAAAGAATTCTAATACTAATGTCACACATAAGAATACAGATTTAAAATTAATGAACTAAAACGGATATACGTAATTTCTCCAGGAGGAATTAAGATCCTCCTTGATCTCAGTAAAGCAATGAATAGTCATTCTGACATCTAGCTAAAAGCAGACTTATTTCCCTTCGGTCTTTAATCTTTTTGGAACTCAGGGATTTCCGCCACACTTTGATACACCAGGCCATTATAAAATTACACTTAATTTATTGTCAATTTCTACTTAAAAGGAAGAATACCTATAAGTATCTCCATATGCTAGATATAGTAGAAATGGTATGCTTTAATTAGTCCAACAATAAAGTCCTTAAAGATTTACATTCTTTGTTGCCTATTTTGAAAACTTGCGAAGATAAATTTTTTTAAAGATTATAATTCTTACTAGTCCTTTCCATGAAATATAACAGCAAATAGTTTCCAAATGTGGATGTGTAATGAGAGGAAATGAAAAGTGAGTAAAGAGCTGAGTTAAAACATCTTAAAATCGAATATGGCTTAATACTATCATTATCATCAGTTGTCCTGGAATAACTTAAATTCTTCTAGCTTATTGTTGGTTTTTCAATGGTTGGTTATAGTTGTGAGGCGGATACACACACACACCCACACACTTGGCTATACAAAAAAGATGTTCCGAGACTGACAGTTAAAAATTACACTGCTGGCCGAGCACTGTGGCTCATGCCTGTAGTCCCAAAACTTTGGGAGGCCGAGGTGGGAGGATCACTTGAGGCCAGGAGCTCGAGACCAGCCTGGGCCTAACATAGCAAGACACCATTTCTAAGTTTAAAAATAAAAATAAATTTAAAAAAGATACACTGCTATGTACGACTGTTGATATAAAAAATCTGAATACTAGACATGGGTACTCATCTAGTACTTCAAGGGCTTATCAACAAAGTTGCAAGTTGTAACACTATGAATTGTTAGTGATACTCTTTTGGCTTTGCTAGCAAGTGTTGTAAAGCTATACACACACACACACACACACACACACATACACACACACACCTTTTAAAATGGTGACCCTGGTACCAAATATGACTTTAAATGGATTTAATTTTAATGGCTTTAACTACGTTCAGCTGTCATATGGATCAAAATTAGCCTCTATCCAGCTGGGGTCAACCAGGGAGCCACTTTTCTTAACCGACGACCTACTGAACGTCAACAACTGCAGGAGACGGGACTTTACCTTCGTCTCTGGTAAACTAGTTGACACATCCTGTGTTGGCAAGAGGCCTAAGTAGATGACCTTGGTCCTCTAAAATCTGGCCTGCACTCTCGGGGCACCCCTGCAACATCTACAAAGGCAGCTCCAGATAGAAAAGGGTTGGGGTCGAAAAGCCAATAACGGCAGGCACCTGCCCCGCCTCGGGGCTGGGGGGCTATTCCAGCGGCTTCAGCTAACTTTCAGAGCCATTCGTTTCCCAACAAAGTCTGAGGCGTTCCTCTGCTGGGTACACCAAGGGGCTCTGCAACCCTCCTGGGGGGGGGGGTGCCCAGAGGGCTTCCGGAAGTCCCAGGTTTATTCTTTCGGGTCACAGACAGCAGAAACTAAAAAGAGGGATTACCCTTTCTGTCCAGTCGCAAGATGGCGACCGAGCCTGGTGGGACTCCGAGGGGCCGCAGGCCACCTCCTCTTCCCAATGGCCCGTGCGCCGGCGGCGACGGCAAGCGGGAGGGAGGCGGGGCCGGCGAAGGAAGGAGGGGCGGAGCGCGGCGCCCTCCCGCGCGTCTTGGCCCCGCCCCACGTCCCCGCGTCCCGGCCTGGAGCCCTCGCCCGGCCGGGCGGCGCGCGCTGCCTGCCGGGATACTCGGCCCGCCCAGCCAGTCCTCCCGTCTTGCGCCGCGGCCGCGAGATCCGTGTGTCTCCCAAGATGGTGGCGCTGGGCTCGGGGTGACTACAGGAGACGACGGGGCCTTTTCCCTTCGCCAGGACCCGACACACCAGGCTTCGCTCGCTCGCGCACCCCTCCGCCGCGTAGCCATCCGCCAGCGCGGGCGCCCGCCATCCGCCGCCTACTTACGCTTCACCTCTGCCGACCCGGCGCGCTCGGCTGCGGGCGGCGGCGCCTCCTTCGGCTCCTCCTCGGAATAGCTCGCGGCCTGTAGCCCCTGGCAGGAGGGCCCCTCAGCCCCCCGGTGTGGACAGGCAGCGGCGGCTGGCGACGAACGCCGGGATTTCGGCGGCCCCGGCGCTCCCTTTCCCGGCCTCGTTTTCCGGATAAGGAAGCGCGGGTCCCGCATGAGCCCCGGCGGTGGCGGCAGCGAAAGAGAACGAGGCGGTGGCGGGCGGAGGCGGCGGGCGAGGGCGACTACGACCAGTGAGGCGGCCGCCGCAGCCCAGGCGCGGGGGCGACGACAGGTCAGTGTTGCCGCGGCCTGCGCCAGGCGGCGCTGGCTCCCCTCCGTCACTCGGCCGGCCTTCGGGGCCCGCTGTGGCGAGGTCGACACCCCCCTTCCCCGCCCCCCGCCGCCGAGGCGAGTGTTTGGGGGCGCGTGGTCCGAAGGGGCTGGTGCCAGAAGTAGGCCCCTGGTGGCCGCGGCTGCTGCAGCCGTAACTGTCAGTCCTGGCTGAGCGACGGCGGGAGGGTTTTGTCGCCCGAGGGGACGCGAGCGGGCCCGGGGCGGGGCGGGACGTGCGAGGCGTCGAGATTTGGGCCTCCTAGGAGCCAGGCTCTTCGAGCCAGCCGGGGCCCCAGACAGGGAAGGGCAGGCCCTTTCCTTCAAAGGGGAGCCCTTTCTCGGCGTTTTCAAGGTTTTTGGCTCTCTTGGGGAAGACATATTTAGCCGTGTGCTTGGTGGGTTGGGGTTTTGGGGGTGGATTGATGGGAAGGGAGGGCGGATGAAGTGGTATGTCAAGCCCAAGGGTTGTGCGCACAGGTTACTCTGTGTTACCGGCCACCAGGATTTCTGAAGTTGAACGTGAGTTATTGGCTTTGCCAGAGACTGCTGTGTTATATGCAGACCTGTATGCAAGCAGTTGGCCTTTTTTCCCCCCCCTTTTCAGTGTAGAAAATGAAAAGGATGCTTTCCTCATCTTGGTGGTAAAGGCTTTTGTTGGTAAAGGTAGAATTGAATGTACCAAATGCCTTAGTCCGTAAAATTTTAGAAATAATTTTAATACAGACACTGGTGAAGCTTGGCAACCTTGAAAGAGAATTTAGCGTCTACATTTTTTAAATGACTTTTTATGGATATGCTAAATTAGTAACAGTCCAAAATCTGTTTGAGATTATTAAGTGGCGAGGGTGCTGTTGAAAATGTAAACTAATAGCATATGGGGTTTACAGTGCACAGTTAACCTCAATCATGAAGAAATGTGGATATGACCCGTAATTTTGGATCATTTTACTGCCTGCAATATTGAGAGAAGCAGCAAATTATTACAGTTTTTTTTGGGAGACGACCTAAAGTTTAAGAAATACAACTGTTGAAAGTTACCTGTCAGAGACACAAAGGTACCCAATCAATCTTGTTGAATAAATTGGACAAGTGGGATAAGGTGTTTGTCTCACACTTCTGATCAATAAGTACTCTTACTTAAGAAGTGATTTGGTAAATCATGTAAAATTTAGAATTTAGGAGAGATAAGAAAGTTGTAACTTGGTGTGTATAGTGGAAATAGCTTTGAAATTAGATCCTGTTTTTAAATCCAAGCTACTTACCACATTTTTAGTGAAATGAATACATTATTAATGATGCTACTGATAAGCCCTAAGGATGACCAGAAGCCCTTTTAAGAAACACTAATACAGTTGACCAAAAAATAAAAAAGGAAATAGCTTCAAGAAAT
Organism: Homo sapiens; assembly: GCF_000001405.40. NCBI lineage: Eukaryota > Metazoa > Chordata > Mammalia > Primates > Hominidae > Homo > Homo sapiens. The sequence goes on along the minus strand of NC_000015.10, from coordinate 25,437,057 downwards.
AATTTTCAATCTTTGTGTATTTATAATATACACAGGAGAAATAAAAGAACAGAATATGAAGAGGTAACTTATAATCTTTACAAAATTAGAATGTAAACTATGCTAGTCTTACTGTGTCAATATTTATTAACCTGCATTAGTTTGCTAAGTAGTATGCTCACTATCCTCTGGACATTGCCCCTGTCCCTGAGGAGCTTAACTTTATACAGAGATACAAAATACTGTGTTTTGATTTCCTTTCAGAGGATTTATAAGCTACTTATGTTTTATCTGTCCTAAATTCTGCCCTTTTTTTTCCCATGGCTGAAAAAATAACTTCCTAAGAAAGGTACATACTAGTCAGAGGTGTGGGGAAAACGTGTTCTCATCCCACTTGTGCAGTCCATTTAACAGGATTTATTGGGTACCTACAGTGTCTTTGACATGTAACATTTAATCAGTTGTATTTCTTAAACTTTAGATAATTTCTATTTCGATCATTTCTATTTCAATCTCCTCCCTCTCCCCTCCAAAAAAATTTACTGTGTAAACTGTGATAATACACTGTTTCTCTCAGTGTCAGTCAGTGGAATGATCCAGATTTATAGGTCATAGCAAAATTTTTCATCCCAAGCTCTTGAAATGATGTTTCCAAATGTCCATTTTCTTAAATGACTGCTAGTTATGTTCTCCAATCATGTTACACATATTTTGTTTAGACTTATAATTGTGTAGGTCTAAATGTAGAAACATTACATTATGTACATATGCAGCTGCTGAAAGAAAATTAGTTTTCTAATTTTTAGATCGGGGTGAAGACAAACTTTTAGAAGTGATCTTTCGGTAAAATACTGGATGAAGTCTTAGGTGCTCTTTTTATGTTGGTTCAGGACAAAAGTTTTTTGACTGCTTTTTGAGTTTTCCCCTCACTGCCAAATGTAAGGATAAAATGTAGTAACAAGACATCTTGGTATGTATAGTGGTAATATCTTTGGAATTAGACCCTAATTTTAATTCTGGCCTTATTAATCTTGGTAAGCCACAGTTTTGTCATCTGTAAAATGGGTTGGTGAAACTTCCCCAGAGTTGTGAGGCTTAAAGTATGTAAAACGCCTAACACGTAGGCACTCAATAAGTATTACCTTAGAAATCTTCCTATCCAGTTTTTCTGAATGGTCTGGAAGCACCTTGTATGTAGTGGACTACAGCATGTTATCCTTTATGTTGTTTATTTCTTTTCTCATTAGCTATGAACTTTTTAAGGCCAGGAATTCCTAGTGTTTACCAGAGAATGTGTTACTAGATGTCTTAGTCTGTTCTGGCTGCTATTACAAAACACCACAGACAGCATGGCTTATAAACAACAGAAGTTTATTTCTCACGGTTCTGGGGGCTGAGAAGTCCAAGATCAAGGTACCAACAAATTTGACATCTTAGTGAGGGCCCTCTTCCCTTGTTCATAGATAGCTAGCTGTCTTTTCACCATTACCTCATGTAGTAGAAGAGTAGACGGGGCTCTATAGGGCCTCTTTTATAGAGGCATTAATTCCATTAATGATGGCAAAGCTTCCCAAAGGCCCCACCTCTTAATACTATCACCTTGGAGGTTAGGCTTTCAACATGAATTTTGGGGGACACATTCAGACCACAGCACTAGAGCAGGCATGAATTGGTTATTGGTAAATCAGTAAATGATCAACTAACATTTATTAGGTTCCTCCTGTGGCTTCTATGAGCTGAGCTAAGTACAGGACCCACAAAGACAAGAAAGATGTCTGTCTTTTTTGAATGCTTATAGTTGAGTGACTTTCTCACATTTGTGTGTGTGTGTGTGTGTGTGTGTGTGTAAAACCCTATCACATAATGGAACTTCATTTTCCCATGCCCTTCCAATCTAAGAGCAGTTCTATGGACTCAATACCTCCTACCCACCAGCTGCTACTGTAAAGATTTACTTTTTTACTCCTTTTAAAAAGTTCAACCCTCTGGCACATGCATTACTTCATTCCTTGGTCCCAGCCCACCACCCCAGTATCTGGCACGTAGTGTATTAGTATTTGTGTGTGTGTGTGTGTGTGTGTGTGTGTGTGTGTGTGTGTGTGTGTGTGTATGTATATAGAATTTAAAATTTTTACTCCGGCAGTTGTCTTCAAATACTCTAATTTTGGGGGGCATGATTATCATTCTGTCTTCTGGCAGTACATGGATAGATGCTACCTGAGTAGGATTGTCTATGAGGTCAGCTGCTCCAGTCATTTTATACAAGAGGAAATTGGAGTGCAAAGCTTTAAAATGATTTTCTTAAAGTCACCCAGGTGTCAGAACCAGAACCAGAGTCCATGTCTCTAGTTCAGGACTCTGCACACATTGGCACATGTTCTGTCCTACCTTTTGGGATGAATAGTTATACTTGCTTTGTGATTACTCACCCACCTTTTTGGAGACATATGAGTGTTTTGTACACTATTAATAGAAGGCAGCCTTCACAAAATGCCATCTGCAGATCTGTTATTTCTTCTAATAAAGGAAATGATGTAAAATTACCTTAAATAGAAATAGTGTTAATTCTTCTGGAGACATATTCCATAATCCAAACACGAAATGTTTGAAATACTTGAAGATGCCATATAAATAAGTCCTTTGTAAAAAGATAATATTAAAAATTTTTGTTTTATAGAGATGGGGGTCTCACTGTGTTGCCCAGGCTGGTCTTGAACTCCTCAGCTTTTACTTTAGCTTCCCAGTGTGTTGGGATTACAGGCATGAGCCACAATACCTGGCCAAGTCCTTTTTTTTAATCAAATGACTTATTAATACACAGTTTCTTTGCCAGCTTTTGTTTTCATTTGCTATCAAAAATGTTGCTTAGTAGTGCTTTGATCTGAGTTATCAATAACAGGTAAATGCCATTATGGATAATAATTCAAAAAGAAGCTTATTAATTATTAGGCCTATCTGAGAGTGAAGTAAAGTTAGCATTTTCTTTTTGTTTATTTTACTTATTGTTTATTTGTTTAGAGACAGGGTCTCGCTGTGTTGCCCAAGTTGGAGTGCAGTGGTGCTGTCATAACTCATTGCAGTCTCAGGCTGGAGTGATCCTCCCATCTCACCCTCCTGAGTAGGTGGGATTAGCATATGCCACCATGCCTGGCTAATTTTTTTATTTTTTAATTTTTTTGTGGAGATGGGGTCTTGCCGTGTTCAGGTTGGTTTCAAACTCCTGGTCTCAAGCGGCTTGGCCTCCCAAGGTGCTAGGATTACAGGTGTGAGCTACCATGCCCAGCTGAGCATTTTTAAAAAATACTGGTCTTTGTACATGAGTCGTTACTATTTGATTCTAAGCCTTATGACTGATATCCCTAAAAATTATTTATAAAATTTTAAGTGCATCAGAGTCATTGAAATGGAATGAGCACTGTCTTTTGGTCTTGAGGTTGTTTTAACTAGCTTCGTAATGGTCATGAGCAGGTTATTTAGCTTTTGAAGCCTTCGTTCCTTCTTTTGTCAAATGAAAGTGATAGTTGCTTTGTTTTAAAAGAGTATGCTTTTCAAACGTGATCATTCTTGAAAATGTAGATTAAGAGCTTTTTAGAGGCCAAGTGCCATGGCTCACGCCTGTCATCCCAGCACTTTGGGAAGCCGAGGCGGGCGGATCACGAGATCAGGAGATCGAGACCATCCTGGCCAACACGGTGAAACCTCATCTCTACTAAAATACAAAAAAAAAATTAGCCGGACGTGGTGGCGCATGCCTGTAGTCCCAACTACTCAGGAGGCTGAGGCAGGGGAAACGCTTGAACACGGGAGGCGGAGGTTGCAGTGAGCCAAGATCATGCTACTGCCTGGCGACAGAGTGAGACTGCCTCTCAAAGAAAAAAAAAAAAACTTTTTAGAAACGTTGTTTTGGGGAATTTTTAGTGTGTGAATTCATTTTAAATATGTGAACTCCATTTGACATGGACAATGGATCTTAATAGTTTGTGATACATTATTCAGTGTATTAATCAAAAGTCAAATCTCTTTTGTAATTTGCTGTACCAGACCTGTTGTGTTAATCTGATCAATGGCAAGTGAATCATAAGATTGACCTGAAAGGAAAAGATATTTTTAGGGGACATAGAATCATATTGGATAAGATTATTCCTATAGTTCATTTTCAGGAAATCTGAACAGGAATCTCGTGTAAGGAATCACATGTGAATTATAGAAGAGAGTCTGATGTAAGACTTTATTTATTAAGGTCTGCATCTGTGTTTCAAGTAAGAGCATAGAGGTAGTATATGAGCCCTGAACACTCATACAAGTAGGATAAAATTTTTCTTAAAACTGTTGGCTGGACAGTGTAGAGTCTAATGCTGTGACTCTTAACAGTTTTGTGTGTTCCAGAAGTTCATCTCCTCAGGATCAATTGAGGTTAGTCTAGCACAGACTTTAGTTATAGAAACCAAACATGAGAAAAATTTTTTGACCCATGTCTTCGTAGCATGCAGGCTTGGTAGCTCTTTCCTAGTTCTGGATGTGTGCCCGTTGTATATACTTTCAGCAATTCAGGATGTTCCTTTTCATATTTAAGACAAGCACTCTTGCATACAAATTACATAGCTGTGGGCTGAATGAAGATGCTACCATTGCTGTACTTCTACACAGGTTCTTTTCATGTAATGAAATCAGAAGGGATGGCTTTTCCATTTCAAGCTTCTGTTAATAAGTAGTCTTAGAATTGCCTTTGTGTACTGTAGCCAACACCCCAACTCATATATTTTTATAATCTTTGTGATGCAGAATAAATTCTGAAACTTTCCACCTCCTAATTAAATATAGAAATACTGAAAACAATAAAGCACCATGTATTCACTATGGACATATGTCACATTTTGTCACTTTCTTGCACTCTTGTAATCCCTCTCTAAAGCTCATGTTAAACTCATGTTCTTTATTTTCTTCTCAGATGATTCCTTTGGCACTGCATGTAACAGTACAGGAATTTCTTCCTTTCGTACTTCCAACAAATACTTTTTTGTCTCTTAACAGATGTGAACCATAATGCTGTTCTTTAGAAAGCAAAGGATGAAGTGCACAGCAGTGTTTTCTATATAAAGCTAATGGGTCATAAGGGGAAATATGGGTTATTTCCAGCTTGTTAATTGTCTTAATACATTTTTCCTAAGAATTCTATTGTGCCTCTGTGGTTATATGCACCAATATTGATAATCTTACAGCGTGCCATAAATAAGGATTTTTATATTATCTTTGCTAAATATTTTAAGTTTTTGTTTTGGGAATTGAAAAAATCTTTTGTGCATCTATGGTATGTGATACGTATACTAATGGATAAATCCTGTTTCACACAAAGATTAATTGGGTAACATTTTTCTTTCCTAGTTTTCTGAAGTCAGTGGTCATGTTGTGTGTTGGTGATTGAAAATATGCTGTTTAGGCTGGGCGCCTTGGCTCACTCCTGTAATCCCAGCACTTTGGGAGGCCGAGGCACACGGATCACCTGAGGTCAGGAGTTCGAGACCAGCCTGGCCAACATGGTGAAACCCTGTCTCTACTAAAAATACAAAAATTAGCTAGGCGTGGTGGCACACGTCTGTAATCCCAGTTACTTGGGAGGCTGAGGCACGAGAATCGCTTGAACCTGGGAGGCAGAGGTTGCAGTGAGCTGAGATCACACCATTGCACTCCAGCCTGGGCAAGCAAGATTTCATCTCAAAAAAGAAAAGAAAAGAAAAGAAAATATGCTGTTTAAGATCATTCAAATTCAGTTTCTAAGAAGTGTAAAGTTTTCCTAATTACTTAAGCTGCTTCATTCTCATTCCCTTTTGTAACACATTTTGCCATCTCTGTAACATGTTGAACATGTTTAAAGAACAGAGTGGGAGAATAGGAAGTTACGTGGATAAAGTTTGGTAATCAAGGTAGGAATACATCCTGCTTCACAGAATGGGAATATTTCTGAAAAGTTGACTGTAGTATTGAAGAACACTTAAGTGTAGTGTATTAGACGAACTGAGCTAATTTTGGTCTTTTATACACATAAATCAAGATTTCTGCATTTCAAATCATGCATATTTCTTTAAATTTATTGCTCAGTGTACTGTATTTCAAATATTGTAAAAATGAAAAGATCTTGTGGTCTTATTTAACTCAGTATGGGATAAGTCCTTCCCACCTTCCCATTCTTATTCCCTCTTTTAGGCTGAATGAAAGGCTGGGGGAGTGAATTTAAAAATAGATGGATCTCAGCTGGAGAATGGGTTGGTCACGTATCTCAACTGATATTAAATAATTTCTTAAATCCTGGATTGAAGATTATAAGAAAACAGTAAATGTTTGCTCTCAGTTCATTTCTTTGTTTTGTTTTTTCATGTACAGTTTTAGGCACTTGTAACTGCTGGATGCATGAACTACTTTCTAGTTCTTTCAGGCCTACTTTTAGATATCTGCTGTGGGGACAGTCCTCAACACTTAAAGTAATTTTAAATAGTGATAGGCAGAACTAGGGGTCAGTTTTACTGCCTATGCCTGTGCTGAATTTGACATGGCATTCCTAGGAGGGGAGGTGGAACGAGGGCGGTGCACACATTGTCCATATTGCTAGTCAGTGCCAGATTTTGAGAAACTGGGGCTAATCTCTCTCTTAAATGGTCAAGATCTAATTCCCCAAAGTGCTGTTTCAGATAACCTAGTATTTGTCCAAAATTGCCCTGCTACAATAGTATTTATCTTATATATATGTATTATATATATAATATATATATAATCTTATATATATGTATTATATATATTATATATATAATCTTATATATGTATTATATATATAATATATATATAATCTTATATATATGTATTATATATATAATATATATATAATCTTATATATATGTATTATATATATAATATATATATAATCTTATATATATGTATTATATATATAATATATATATAATCTTATATATATGTATTATATATATAATATATATATAATCTTATATATATGTATTATATATATATAATACATATAAATATATATATATATATATATATAGGTTTTTTTTTGTTTTTCCTCCTGAGATGTAGTCTCGCCCTGTTGCCCAGGCTGGTGTGCAATGGTGCAGTCTTAGCTCACTGCAGCCTCCGCCTCCTGGGTTCAAGTGATTCTCCTGCCTCAGCCTCCTGAGTAGCAGAGACTACAGGTGTGCACTACCACGCCCGGCTAATTTTTGTATTTTTAGTAGATACAGGGTTTCACCATGTTGGCCATGCTGGTTTCAAACTCCTAACCTCAGGTGATCTGCCTGCCTCAACCTCTGAAAGCACTGGGATTACAGGCATGAGCCACCACACCAATCCTATTACATTCTTAAAAAAATGTTTGTTTGTTTGTTTTTGTAGAGATGAAGTTTCACTATATTACCCAGCCTGGTCTTGACTCCTGGGCTCAAGTGATCCTCCTGCCTTGGCGTCCCAAAGTGCTGGGATTATAGACATGAGCCACTGCGTCCAGCCTGTATCATATTTTTATTCTGATATCTTTTGTAATTTTGTTTTTAGTGAAGTAGGGAGGTTTATATTAGATAATCTTCCAAGGTAATTATCAGCTTGGACATTATATGCTAATATGTCTTTTGTTTGTTTTTAAAATAAGTGTATATGTTTTAATTGTAAAATTTTTAAAACATCCAGAAAATGACATAGCAAGTGCCTATTTATCCACCACCTGGAAATATAAATTATGTCCATTTTTATCCCTTGGGGGAAAGGATGCAGTTATATAATCACTTTTAACAACCCCAACTGTTCAAGTCCTGTTACCCGTCTCTACACAAAGTAACAACTGTCTTGAGATTCTTAAGTAAATTTCACATCCTTGTTTTATACTTTTACTATACATGTGTACATGTATCTGTAAGTGATATGTGGTGTTGGTTTTTGTATTAAATTTTTACAGACATGTATAACGCTGTCTTTCAATAGCTTGATTTTTTTAAACTCAGTATCAAGTTTTTGAGGTGTATATGTTGATGCGTGTACATGTAGTTTATTCAGTTTCACTGCTGTATGGCACTTCATTTTATGCATAGATAAAATGTATGTGTCCCACTATTGATGGATATTTTGAGTTGTTTTCTTTTTGCTATTATAAATAATGCTGCAGTGTTTATTTTTACATGAGTGTATGTGCAGGTGTTTTGGGAAAAACCGTAGAAGTGAAATTGCTGGTTACTAGATATTGGTAAATTCTTTTCCTAAATGGATATGCCCATGTATACTTTATCAGCATTATGTGGGCATTTCTAGCATCCTCACCCATACTTGGGATTGTCAGATTTTAAAATAGTTACTAATTTGAGGCATGTGAAATGCTATCTCATTTTAATTTACAGTTGCTTGATTATTCTGAATCGTAGGTAAAAGGATAGGAAATTTATTATTTTCTGTATGTTTTAAATATCTCAAAAATAAATGTTTTTAAAGGAAAGGCACACTATCGTACAACATTTATGTTGAAAAGGACCATGAAGATCATTTCATCCAACCTTCTTACTTTACAGTGCAGCCAAAGAAAGTTACCAGAATAAGAGTAAAATATAAAATCCTGCCCATTGTAGTATTCTCTGGTAGTATGAGCCTTAATTTTTGATGTAAAAATCATGTCTTTTTCTTTATGATTGTGCTTTTTGTTTAAGAAATCCTCTTTTTATATTGTCTGCTAATAGTTGAGGATTTTTTGTTACTCTTTGTTATTTGCATTTAGGTTCATCTGAAAGGAGTTAGGATTTTTTATTTTAAATATGAAAAGCTAGTTGTTCCAGCATTAAGTATTGAATTTTTAAAATTTTGTATTGAGGTTAAATATACATACATAATTTACCATCTTTTTTAAGTGTACAGTTCATTTTTAATGATTTTTTAAGTGTACAGTTTTTTAAGTGTACAGTTCAGCAATAATAAATACAGTTATGTTCTTCTGCCTTTGTCCTCTCACTCCCCACTTCGGCTGCTAGTAACCACCAGTCTATGCTTATCTTCTTGAGATATACTTTTTTAGCCCATGTATGAGTGAGAACATGTGGTATTTGTCTTTCTGTGTTTGGCTTATTTCACTTAACATAATGGCTTCTTGTTCCATCCGTGTTCCTGCAAATTACAGGGTTTTATTCTTATTTTTATAGCTGAGTAGTATTCCACTGTGTGTATAAACTACATTTTAAAGTCTATTCGTCCTAATTATTGAATTCTCCCCACCCCACCCACCTTTTTTTTTTTTTTTTTTTTTCCAGGAGACAGGGTCTCCCTCTCTTCCCCAGGCTGGAGTGCAGTGCCATGATCATAGCTCCCTGCATCCTTGAACCCCCTGGCCTCAAGCGATAGTCTTGCCTCAGCCTCCCAAGTAGCTGGGACTGCAGGCAGGCACCTCCAGGCCCTGCTAAGTTTTGTGGGTTTTTTTTTTTTTTTTTTTTTTTTTTTTTGTAGAGATGGGGTCTTCCTATGTTGCCCACTTTGGTTTGTTAGTTTTAGTAGTTTATAATTCCTTTGTATTATTGTGAACAAATAACAGTTATTTTGAAATAGAAGAGTGCTTTCTATTTAAAATTTTGCTTTGATAGGGTTCTGTCTACTTTCTGAGCCTTACCTTCCTGTGCATTCCCCTTTGGTCAGTACCATCTTACCACACAGGCTGCTTTTAGTTTCTTGAGTTATCCATCTTCCTTCTATCTTATAGGGCTCAACCTAAATATTACTCAGGGAAGCCTTCCTTGAGAGTCTTTCTTTTTGCACTCATTGGTTTGGGGCTTCTTTATATTATACTGTTAATTGAATTCTGAGTCGTGTTTATCTCAACTGAGATTAGGTAATTTATTTTGAGAACAGTAAATGTTTATCATCTGTCATTCTTTTTTTCATGCCCACATTCAGTTATTTGTAAGTGCTGAATGTATAAGTGTTCATCTACAGATAAGGATCAGTTCTTTTTTCCCCAACTAGAAATGTTACTCCAGTTGATAATAACAGCTCAAACGGAAATATAAGGCAGAGGTGAGAGAGTCACTTGAGGCCACGAATTGGAGACCAGCCTGGGCAACAAAGTGAGACCTTATCCCTATGAAAAATAAAATTAGCCCAGCTTGGGAGGCTGAGGTGGGGGGATTGCTTGAACCCTGGAGTTCCAGGCTGCAGTGAGTTGTTATCACACCACTGCACTCCAGCCGCGGTGACAGACCCTGTCCCTTAAAAAAAAAAAAATTATAACCAGCCACATTGAAATATTTTGTAAGACATTAATAGAAGACTAAATGTTCTCATATGTTTACTGTTTGTGTTAAGTACGTATGGTTTTTAGAACAACAGTTTTCTATCAAGTGTGGTCTGGTTCACTTAGAATTAGATGGGGTAGATTTTTTGAAAAGCGTTTTGAAGTTAAATTAGAAGCTAATGGTTTTTTGTCACTAAATCAAATTTTGTTTTATGCGTTTAAGTGCTACATTTATTTGATAGGCAGGTGAATGTAACAGATTAAACTTGAAAATAATGTAGCTATGATTCCTTCAAGGAAAAACCCACCTACCTTTAGTTCTTTTAGTATATTGCATTATAAGTCTTTTGTGTGTGCATATATAGCAGGCATAAATTGGCATAATTCTGGGTTTAATTTTAGGCTAGGCGCTATGGAAGTTTGAACTCTAATTACAGTGTAAAAATAACCCAGAGGAAAATTTCAGAATAATAAATCATTGGGACTATATGGTACAGATGTCCCTGTTTTCAGATTGTAGAATTGTTGACCAGTAGGAATGCTTTATGATTAAAAGCCAGGAAATTAAAGTAATTCTGATGATTTGGTATTTCTAAAGATTTTCATAGATGACAGTTGAGAACTACTCTCAGATGAGATTCTTCCATTGCTGGTAAGTCATGTAATAAAACACTTAAGTAAATATTTTAATGAGGAATGATAACATTTTAATATTGGCACATTGTGAGTCTACCTTCTGTAGTTAGTAGGTAAATAAGAAATAAACATACCTTATTTAAAAAAAAAATTTCAAAGAACCCAAGGGAGGGGAGAGCCAAGGTGCACATTAGAAGGAGATTACAGTACTCTTCCAGTGCACAGTGGATGTGTTGTGATTCCAGAGTTCTATGTATGTATGACTGTGTAGCCCAGATTTACCAGCATGGGCTCAGTTTTAAATGTTAGGTTAGGCTCATAAATCATGAAAAGTTCCTAGGAATTCTAACATTTTTACATTTCCAGAAGAGAGCCTCTTGTATTTTGTGGTAGTTGCCCCACCATCCCTCAAATATTGGTGTGTAGAATCTATTTTTGAGGATGAGGAAATACAGAAAAGAAAAATAAAAAGCTATTTTTTTTTAAGTATAAGAAGAAATGAAAGGTTTCTCTTCGCTTCATAGCCAATTCTAAAACTTAACAGTTGTTAAGTGTGTTTAACTGTAGAGGGAAAAAAATGCCTGGAAGGAAATTACCAATCAAATATAAAATGTAAGATAGCTGTAAAAGTACTGATATACATACAGCTTTTTTCCTTTTGGGGAGGCAGTATTTAAAAAAAATCCTACCAAACATATTCTCTAACTTTCAAAACTGTTAATAGCTTTATTGAGATAATTCACATACTATAAAATTCACCCTTTTAAAGTTTTTAGTATATTCACAGTTCTGCAGCCATCACCACTATTGAATTTTAGAACATTTTCATCATCCCCAAAATAAATCCTAACCTGTTAGCAGCCATTCCCCATTCTTTCCTGGCCTCTGGAAACCACTAATCTGCTTTGTCTCTATGAATTTATTTATTCTGGATATTTCATATAAATGGGAATCATACAGTATGTGTCCTTTTGTGTGTGGGTTCTTTTACTTACCATGGTATTTTCAAGGTATGTTCATTGACATGTATGTCTGTTTTTTTTGGGTAACACACACTCTTGATTACTGTAGCTTTGTAGTAAGTCTTGAAACCAGGAAATGTGAGTATTCTAACTTATTCTTTTTCAAAATTGTTTTGGGTCTCTGGGTTTCTCAAATTTCCATAGAATTTTAGGGTTAGCTTGCAAAAAAATGCAACTGGGATTTTAATAGGACTTGGATTTGTGTTGAATCTGTAGGTCTATTTGGGAAGTATTGCTACCTTAATACTGTCTTCTCATTCATGAGCATGGGATATCTTTCCATTTATTAAGGTGTTCTTTAATTTCTTTCATGTTTTGTAGTTTTCAGTATACAGGTCTTGTACTTATTACTTTAAAAATTTATTTCTAAGAATTTTATGTTTTGATGGTATTGCAAATTGAATTTTTTAAAATTTCATTTCAGGTTTTTAATTCCTTGTGCATAGATTTTTGTGTACTAAAACTTGTGTTTCATATAATTTTTTTTTCCTCTTAACTGTGTTATAGGAATCTTTCAAATGGTTGGCTACATACACATCCATCTGATTCACTTAGTAAACATTTCTTGAACACCTACTGTGTAGTGGGCCTTTTTTTCTAGGTCCTGGTAGAGACAGCAGTGTATAAAACCCACTCAGTCCTTTGCTTTCATGGCACTTAAATCCTAAAAAGAGATCATAAAGATAGGTAAAATATATGTTACATAGTGCTAAGGAGAAGAAACAAATAAGGGAAGTGTTTGCAGGTGAAAAGGATGATGGGAAATTTTAGATAGGGTAGGTAGAGAAAACTTCACTGAAATGGTAACTTGGGTGAAGAACTGAGGGAGATGAGAGAGCTAGCCATGTGGATATTTGGGGGAAGAGCATTTCAGGCAGAGTGTAGTGAATAGGGAAACCCCAAAGTGAGAGTGCCTGATGTGTTTGAAGAACTCGAGGTGTGGCCAGTGTAGCTTTAGAAAAGTAATTGATGGGAAATAGAGAGAATGGAGGGTACAGATATTTTGATCATAATAAGGTGTTTGATTTTTACCTATAAGTGAGATGGGAAGCTATTGGAAGTCTTTGAGCAGAGTAGTGAAAAAGTATGACTTATGTTTAGCAAGGTCACTCTGGTTGCTGTGTTAATCATAGACTGAAAAAGGGGACAAGGGCAGAAACAGACCAATTGGTAGACCATTAGTACAGATTAAGACGTGACTGAAATGGACAGAGTGGTCACAGTGAGGGTGGTGAGAAGTGGTTGAATTCTTGATATATGTTGAAATAGAGTCCATAGGATTTGGTAGTAGACCAGATGAAAGTGGGAAATAAAGGGAGGAGTAAAACATGATGCCAAAGTTTTTTGACCAGAGCAGCTGAGAGAATGGAGTTGGATAATTCTTATAAATTATTGCATTAAATCTGTGCATCATATCACATGCCCACTTAACTACAGGTAATTTTACCATATAAGCTTGTGGGGGGAAAAGAGGAAAAACAGAAAAAAGGATGGAAAAGCATGTTTTAAAATATAATAAATTAGGCCTTAATGAAAAATTGTCCTTGAGAAACCTGAGATGGAATACTCTAAATCTGATGTGTTCTCTCAATCTTTAGAACTGAACTAGGAATTAACTCTGAGAGTTCATGATGTTATGAGACCCTTTGCCTGTTTTGGAAATTCGGTTGTTTTCAATATTTGCTTTTGCAATGATGGTACCTGTTATTTTTTCTGTAAGGTAGATTCCTACAAATAAGATGTCAGGCCATTAGATCATGTCAATCTAAATATTTGATAGGTTTTGCCAATTACCTTTTAAAAAATAATTTTAGCAAGTTTCATTCCTTAAAATATATTAGGGACTGCTCATTTACCTTGTTTTGATTCATGTATATATAAAATCTGTTTAAGTCTTTATAAATAACCTGGGAAATTGCCTGGTTTTTTGGTCCATTTCTATTGTGGTGTTTGTTTTTTAAATTTGTAAGCATTCTTTATATATCATTTAATTCTTTATTATAATTTGCAAATATTATCTCTACCTACCTTTAATTTTATAGTATCTAGTCATGTGAAATTTTAAAGTTTTTATGTAGGCAAATCTGTCCATCTTTTATGGTTTCTGGGTTTCAGCATGCTAACAAAGTTGATATAAATATGATCTCATATATATATTACAAAAACTTTTTAGAGATAGGATCTCACTCTGTCACCCGGGCTGGAGCAACCATAGCTCCCTGCAACCTCAAACTCCTGGGCTCAAGTGATCCTCCTGCCTCAGCTTCCCAAGTAGCTAAGATTATAGACATGTGCCACTATAGCTAGTTGGTTTTTTTTTGGTTGGTTGGTTTTTTTTTTTTTTTTTGGTAGAGAACGTATCTCAGTGTGTTGCCCAGACTGGTCTCAAACTTCTGGCCTCAAGCTATCCTCCCACCTCAGCCTCCCAAAGTGCTGGGATTACAGGCATGAGCTACTATACCTGGCCAATCTCTTGTATTTTCTTCTGATACTTTTGTGATTTTACTTTATAGACTTTAATTTAGAAAGTTAGATATGAGCATTCAGCATATTTTTGGATATGGTATGATATGGTTTAGATCTGGATTGCATTTGTCATGGTTTGGGAATTATATCTACCTTTTATTTTCTTCCACTTGGGTAGCTGATTGTCTTGTAAGGCATCCTTTCCCCACTGATAATGCCACCTTTTTCTATATTAAGTTCTCACAAACTTTGAAAAAAATCAAGTTTATTGATGTATAATTGATACACAATGAAATGCACCCATTTTAACTATATAGTTTTATTGATTTTGATAAATATATACACTATCACTGCTACTACAATCAAGCTTTAGAACAATTGAATTACCTCCAAAAAGTTCCTTCCTGTCTGTAGTCATTTCTCCCTCTTGGCCCCAGGCAACCACTGATCTGTTTATTAGTTTTCCTACTCTAGAATTGCATATCCATGGAATCAAGTAACATGTACTCTTCCATGCCTGGTTTCTTTCACTTGGCATGTTTTTGAGATTCATCCAATTTGTGTTTGTCACAGATTTTTGTTTGTTTCGTTTTTTTAAATACAATATGACTATACCACAGTTCATTCATTTTCTGGTGAACATTTAAATTGTTTTCAGTTTTAGGCTGTTGCGAATAAAGGTACTGTTTTGTGTGCATGTTTTTGTGTGAACATATGTTTTCATTTTTCTAGGGTAAATACCTTAAATTGGAATTACTGGGTCACATGGTAAGTTTATGTTTAAATGTATAAGGAACTGCCAAACTATTTTCCAGATGATTATACTACTTTACATTCCCATCATCAGTGTATGAGAGTTCCAGTTCTCCAAATGTCAGCATTTGATGTTCTCAGTCTTTAATTGCACACGTTCTGAGAGGTGTGTAGTGGTATCCCATTGCAGTGTTTTTTTTTAAGTGGTACTAAAATACACAACATCAAATATACCATTTTAACTATTTTTAAGTGTACAGTTCAGTGACATAAAGTACATTCACATTATTCTGCAGCCATCACCACTATCCATCTCTGAAACTTTTTCATCTTCTCAGTCTGAAACCCTATCCATTAAACAGTAACTCTTCATTGCCTACTCTCCCTATCTGCTGGTAATCACTGTTCTACTTCATATGTGAATTTGACTCTTCCAGGTACTTCATATAAGTGGAATCATACGATTTTTGTCCTTTTGTGTCTGGCACATTTCATTTAATAATAATAATGTCCTTGCGTTAGGCCATTCTTGCGTTGCCTTAAATGAATATCTGAGACTGGGTAATTTAAAAAGAAAAGAAGTTTATTTGGCCCCTGGTGCTGCAGGCTGTACAAGCATGGCGCCACCATCTGCTCAGCTTCTGGGGAGCCCTCATGGTGAGTTTACTCATGGTGGAAGGCAAAGGGGGAGCAGGCGTGTCATATGGCGAGAGCAGGAGCAAGAGAGAGGGTGGGGAAGTGGCACACCCTTTTTAAACGACCACATCTGCGAACTCACTCTGTATCCCAAGGAGAGCACCAAGCTATGAGGGATTGCTCCCATGACCCAGTTACCTCCCACCAGGCCCCACCCCCAACATTGGGGATTATATTTTAACATGAGATTTGGGCAGGACAAATATTCAAACCGTATCAGTCATCAAAGTTCATTCATGTTGTAGCATGTATCCAAATTTGATTCTTTAAGGTTGAGTAATATTTCATTGTGTGCATATATCACTTTTTGTTTTATTTATTTATTTGTCAGTGGACATTTGGACTCTTTGTAACTTTTAACTATGTGAATGATGCTGCTATGAACATTGGTATATAAGTATCTGTTTGAGTCCCTTCTTTTAATTCTTTTGGTTATGTACTTAGGAGTGGAATTGCTGGGTCATGTGGTAATTGTATGTTTAATTTTTTTAGAGACTGCCATACTGTTTTCCACAGTGACTGCACCATTTTACATTCCCACCAGCAGTGAATAAGGGTTCCAATTTCTCTGCATCTTTTCTAACACTTGGTAATTTCTGTTTTTTATTTAAAATAATTGCCATTCTAATGGGTGTAAAAAGTCATTATGGTCTTAATTTACATTTTCTTCATGACTGCTGTTGAGAAGTTTTCTTTTGTGTGTCTGTTCAAATATTTTCACATTCTTTTCAGAACATATGTTCTTTGTCAGATAGATAAATGTATTTCTTCTGTATCCTTACTGATTTTCTGTCCACTTACTAATTACCGAGAGAGGAATGTTGAAATCTTCAACTATAATTTTGAGTTTATCTTCCTTCTGCTCTGTTCATTTTTTCTTCATATGCTTTGAAGCAAAGTCTTTAAAGTTGTGTCCTTAGGTGTGTTCACATTTAGGACTGTTAGATCTCCTTGATTAATTGATGTCTTTATCATTATGAAATGTCTCTGTTTATCGCTGGTAATGTTCCTTATCTAAAGTCTACTTTGATATTAGTGTATCCATTCCTTTCTTATGATTAATTTTTGCACATTATATCATTTTGCTGTGTTTTTATTTTCAGCTTATTGGTCATTTAATGTCTTTCTTTTAGATAGCATATAGTTGCATCTTGCTTTCAGATTGACTTTTTACGATCGTTGCTTTTTGATTAAGTCCATTTACATTTATTGCAGTTGGCAATATAATTGTGTTTAAGACACTATTTGTTTTCTATTTGTCTAATCTTTTCTTCCTTTTCTGCCTTCTTTTCGGTTAATGGAGCATTTTTGGAATTTTGTATTGTCTCCATTATTAGCTTGTCCCTCTGTTTTTTTTCCCCCCAGTGATACTTCTAGGATTTACAATATGCACCTTTAACTTACCTCAATCTACCTTCAAAAATATTATTCCTCTTAATGTATAATGTAAGAATTTTGGAATAGTATACATCCATTTACTCTCCCTCATTCTTTTTGGTATTATGATCTTAACATTTTACTTCTATATGTGTTATAGATTCCACAGCAGCGTTTGAAACTATTTCTTTCAAAGGCCAGTTGTCTTACGAAGAAACTTAAAAACTAAGAATAACATTCCTTTATATTTACCTTCATATTTACCATTTTTATTTATTTTTCTTTGTGGAGATTCCTTTTTGTAGATCCAAGTTTGTTGCTGGTGTTATTTTCCTTTTACTTGAAAAAATTTCTTAAACATTTCTAAAGTATAGGTCTACTGGCTACAAAATCTTTCAGCTTTTGTTTGTATGGAAATGTCTTTATTTCACTCTTCATTTTATCGTACAATTTTTCAAACCACACAGACTTTAAAATAATTGTAGAATATAATTTCACAACATTTTGTTCTATTTGTTATTGTCTTCTATCTTGTCCATCTATCCATCCTGTCTTCTTCTAGTGTCTTTTTTTATGCTTTTCAAAGTAAGTTGCAGTTGTTAGTATACCACACCCTTAACTTGAGCATGTATGTTAACTAAAACTTAGTAGTTTAGTATTTTTAACTAGAATTTACTATGCTGTTCCAGTTATTTATTGCTGTGTAATACATTGCCCCAAACTTAGTGCCTTAAATATCAGCAACTATTTATTTTGCTCATGAATCTCTCATTTGGTCAGGGATTGGCAAGGAGAGCTTGTCTTTGACAATACATTGTAACAACTGTTTACATAGCATTACATTGTATTTGGTATTATAAGTAATCTAGAGATGGTTTAACATATTTGAAGATGCATGTAGGTTATATGCAAATACCATGCCATTTTATATAAGGGATTCGAAGCATCCTTGGATTTTGGGATCCATGGGAGTCCTGGAACCAGTCCTCTGTAGATAGTTGAGGTATGACTGTAGTCTTTGGATTGAAAGACTCACTAATTTCACTCAGATTCAAGGAGAAGGGCCATAGACTCCACCACCTGATGAAAAAATGACAGTGTTACATTGTTAAGAGCATGTGGAATGGCTTCTATTGTGACCATCTTTGGAAAATACAGTTGACCACATATACCATTTCATGAGCTGTGACAAATGTATACACCTTTGCCAGAAAGTTCTATCAGGGTATAGAACCTACACCTCTTCCTAGTTATTCCTTCCCCCCACACCACCCCTAGAACCTAACATTGTTCAGATTGTTTTCATCTTAGTTTAGCTTGCGCAGAACTTTATGTAAGTAGAGTCATACAATACTTATATGTTGTAAAAAGTTTCTTTTTGCTCAACATAATGTTTTTGAGATTCATCCATATTGTTGAATGTTTCGGTGGTTTGTGACTTCATCTGTTAAGGGACACCTGGGCTGTTTTCAGTTCCAGGCTGTTTTCAGTTCCCAGCTATTATAAAAAGGTACAATGAACATTTGTGTAAAAAAAGAAGTCTCTGTGTGGACATATATGTTTCTTTTTTCTTGGTTAGTTGATGTGTTTTTCTTTCAGCATTTGTTTTTGATGAGAAGTCTGGTTATACAGTCATGTGCCGCATGCTGACATTTCAGTCAACGAGATCATAGTTGACAATAGTCATTTAAGATTATACCACCATATTTTCACTGTACCTTTTCTAGGTTTAGATGTATAAATACTTACACTTTGTTACAGTTGCTTACAGTATTCATTCAGTATAGTAACATGCTGTACAGCTTTATAACCTAGGAGCACCCGGGCTATACCATGTATCCTAGTTCTGTAGTAAGCTATACCATCTAATCTAGATTTGTGTAAGTACGTTCTATGATATTTGCACAATGATTACCATGCTGAGAGTTGTTGGGGTTTTGTTTTTTTTTTCTTTTTGAATCTGTACATTTATGGTTTTCCTTAAATTTGGAAGATTGTTGCCATTGTTTCTTCTATATATATATTTTTTACCACCTTTACTCCTCTTTCATCATTTCCTCTTTTTCTGGGACTCCAGTTACACATATGTTAGACTGTTTGGTATTATCCACAGGTCATTAACATCATATTCATTATTTTTCAGTCTTTTTATTTCCCTGTGCTTCAGTTTGCTTTGTCTTCTATTTTACTGTTTTTTCTCCTCCCTTGTTAAATAATTTCAGATATTTCGCTTTATATTTCAAGAAATTCCATTTGATTCATTTTATTCATGTATTTTTTTGAATTCTTGAGCATATTTGTAATAGCTGTTTGAAAATCAGGTTACTTATTGATTTCTTGAATTTTTTCACTCTGAATTTGTTGGTTGGTTTTTTCTCTTGGTCATGGGTTGTATTTTCCTAGTATTTATTTTATTTTATTTTTTGTTTTTTACATATTTAATGATTTTTTAAGATTGGATGCTGGACATTGTAATATTTTGTTGTTGGGTGTCTAGATTTTGTTTTCTTTTAGAGTGTTTTGTTTTGTAGCCACCTAAATAACTTGCTGGTCAGTTTTATCCCTTCAGGGCTACATTGGAGTTTGTCTAGAGAAGGCTTTGCTTTAATGGTAGTAGCTCCTACCTAAGGCATGATCCTTCTGAGTCTTTACTAAATGCTCCCAGTGTCACCGTGTTCTCTTCACTCAGGTTAGAGAGAATTTTAGGAGTCTCCCAGTCCTTTATAAGTACTGGGAATATTTCAGCTTACTGCCCCTCTTTCACTAGCTTCATGGAGTCACTTACCTTAATCGTGTACAGTTAGTACTCAGCAGTGGACTCTCAAATGGCAGATTTCTGAAGCCATTTCTCTGCCTTCTCAGACAAGCACTTGTCTGGCACTTGTCATCAATTTTACCCACTTCAGCTTTCTCAGCTCTGATCTCTTGATTCTGAACTCAGTAAAACTGCTGTCTTCTCACTGGATTTCCCCTCCATTGACTGCAGGTTGGAAATTACCTCCAGGCAGACATCCAAGCAGTGGATGGCTCACCTCCTTTGTTTTTGTCCTTTCATGCATTATAGTCCTCTGCTGCCTGTTATCCAAGGTCTGAAAATTCTCGTTTGAGAAGGAGCAACTGTCAGATACTTTCGGATCTTTCTCTGAAATTAGCTTTCTGTTGTGCTTGTTGTGCTTACCTCTTTGTCTAATGCTAATACCATATGAGGTTTTTTTTTTTTTTTTTAGAATGTTTTAAGCTATACACTTCTAAGTGTATAGCTTGTTGCACTTTCACACACTGAGCACCCGTTTAGCTAGCATTCAGATCAAAAAACAGCAGCAGCTCCTGCGTAGCCCCTTGTGCTCTGTGTCACTACCCCTTTTCTTCCATGTGTAACCACTGTCCTGACTTCTCATAGCATAGATTAGATTTGCCTGTTTTCATCCTTTAACTAGAATCAAGCACATTTAGTTGTGTCTGACTTCTTTTAATGTATTTGTGAGATTTATTCACATTGTTGGTTGTAGTAATTGTTTATGATAGTCGCTGTATATTCCATTTTAAGAATGGAAGTGATATTCCATTTTAAGAATATGCCATAGTTTAATCTGCTGTTACGGACATTTAATCATTTTTGGTTTGGAACTGTTAAGAATATTGCTGCTGCTCTAAACATTTCAGTGATTGTCTTCTTGTGAATATGTTTACTTCTGTTTGGTATACTTAAGAGTGAAATTTTTAAGTCATAAGGTATGCATATATTTAGTGTATACTCAGTTTTTTAAAGGCATGCCGATTTTAATTATTCCATTTAAGTTAATATGTTTTAATATCTGGTAGAGAAAGGAACATTATTAGAAACAATTGTTTTGGTTATTCTTACATATTTAGTCTTTGAAAAAACGTTTCTTAAATTGGCATTTACTTATATTTGTGTTAATTTGGGAAGAAATGGTATCTTTGTTCATCTATGAGTCACATTTGGAACTAGCTCAAAGGCCATGGGTCCTGATTCCTTTTTTTTTTTTTTTTTTTTCTTGTAGAGGGGAGGTATGGTGTCAAGAAAACATAGTCACCATTATTACGAAAAGTAAAATATGGAAGAGATGATCCCTACCATCAATCAGCTTACAACTAGAGGCACTGACAAATGTATACAGATAGCTGTAATGTAAGGTATAACATAATAAATATAAGGAGAAATTAATAAATTATTTTATGGTATTAAGAATGTATAATAAGACATGAAGGAGATGGTGATTATGTATAAGAGTTTAGATAACCCTGTGAGATACAGTGTTTAGAATGAGGCCAGTTTTTAACATGGCATGATAGGTGGGTGGGGGATAGAGGTTAGTAATGGATAGAGGACCATTTCCGAGTGAAGTCTCCTCAGAAGCAAAAGCATTGAAGTCAGAAACACAAATATCCAGTACATTATAGCCAATAGTCAAATGATGGGACTAGATCTGGTAACTGGTGATGATGTCATATAGTGGGCAGTAGTGCTGGGATGGCTGGGGTCAGGGCCACATGGCAGGGGCCTCAAATAAAATGTGAAGGAGTTAGAAATTTATTCTGTTGGCATGAGAAAGTGTTAAAGCTTTTGAATATAGAATGATATGTGTAACTTTGAGTTTTTAGGAAGATAATTCTAGTGGCAAAGTTGAGGATAAAGGCAAAAGGGAAACCAGATGAAATAATGGGGCACTGTAGTAGGACAGTGTTGGTAAGTTTGAGGAAAAAAGGAGTAAGAGATATTTTTAAGGAAATTCATAGGGTTTGAGTATAAATTAGAAGGCAAGTACAAGGGAATAAGCGTGGTCTTTAGAATCAGACAAATTAGGGTTTGAATCTTAACCTTGCATTTACTAAAGGACTGAAAGCTAGTTCCCTAAGAGAAAAATTTTCTCTTTTGTAAGATGCTTATTCTATAAACATTTGCAAGCACTGGAAGTATAAAAGCAAATGATACACATGTTCTCTTGAAGTCTGGTCTAGTCTGTAAGAAGAGGCTGCACTGGCAGGTTTTGACCAAATTGTGTAGAATCTCATCTGACGTGATTGGGAGCTTTGGCTTTATTCTGGAAGCAACTAAAAGCAATCAAAAAAGACTGGGGAATAATGTGAGAATGTAGAAATGTAGGGGAATTTCTAAGGATGAATTGGTAGCAATTGGTAAACAATTTGATATACTGGGAAAGAGAGAGACTCTTTAGAATATGACTGAGAATCTTCCAATTTGAGCAGCTGGACTGATAGTGCTACCATCATTACCTCACAGGGTTTTTCTTAGTGTGTCTTGTAAATCTTGCTTGTCCCTCATAAAGAATGGTTTTCCTTTTCTTCAGACTAAGGACTTTTTATTACAGTACACAACTTAACACCCCCTGTATCTCTCCATCACAACACTTAACTGTGCATTGTTATTGCATAATTAATTGTGGTTTTTATTTGTGCCCATTTCCTTCACCACATGAGGGCAAGAAATTATGTCTAGTTTTTCTACCTCTGCATCTTCATCCACCTAGTAGGCACTCAAAATCTAGTAGACAGTTTTTGAATTAATGATTATGAAGAATTTGAAGGCTGAACAAGTATCAACCTACACAGTGGTTAGGGCAAATAAAAATGAGGGGGAGAAAGTAATGAATGGCACCAATTTTTTTAGTCCTTAACCAGGACAGTGAGATTAGGCAGAGTGAGTTCTTTGGGAAAATAATTGAGTTTGATATTAGATACGTTGAATGTAGATGTTAATGAGACATCCAAATGGATGTGTACCGTTGGTAATATGTAGTTGCAGGCATACCATGCCAGACATAAGGACTTAAAGATACAGAGTTAGGGGTTTGTAAGCATAGAGGTGCTATGGGAATGGATGACATTGCGCAGAAAATTGGTTTAGGTTAAGAAAAGTGGCTATTGACAGAAACTTGGAGAGAGGCCATGTATGAGGTAGGAAGATGAACTAGCAGAAGACCTTATTGCCTTTAGAGAGATGGAAGAAAATGAGTGGATACAACATTAGGGAAGCCAGAGGAGGTGAGGAGTCATTAGCAGTCTTAAAAGCTACAAAAATTAAGTAGGATTAAGGGGCCAAAGCACTGGGAATATACAGAAATGATGGAAACTTTACAAGAAAAATTTCAGTAGATAGAAAAATAGCAGCTGAGCTAGTGGTTTTCACGTCTTTTTGGCAGTAAAAGGAAAGAAGATAAAGAAATGGTACTCTGAGGAGCTAATGGAGTTGAGGGAATTATGTTGCAAGTATTATTTGAAAGCAGTATTTAAAACTTTTTAAGTCTTAACTGCAGAATGGACTGGAATAAGGAGAAACTAAAGCAGGAGGACTTAGGAAAATTGTTGTAGTAGTCCTTTAATTGTGAAATGTGTAAACGGACAAAACTTAGACAGTTTTAATAAGTAGCATTATCCATAAATATAAGACACCATAAACATGATGCAAAGGAGAACAGAAGTGTTGGGTGTTATAATAAAAAGTGATAGAAAAAAACAGTTTGTGAAATTAAGTTTTGAAACAGCTTTAGAAGGAGGTGAAGGAAAAATAGAAATGAATAAAATGAAAATTTTAGGGAGGTAGATATAGATCAACATAGGCATTTATTATTAGACTATACTTATTTATAAGATTATTAGACTGAGCCCTCTGTTGAAGAGATAAAGTAAGAGAACTATGTCTGGTATTAGGATTCTTATGGTTAAATTGGCAAGTGAGTGTGCCTAATATTTGTAGTGCTTACAGTTTTTGTTATTCTGTATTTTTATAGATTTGGTATATTTCCTCCATGATTATGTGTTCCTAACTCATAATTTGGAAGGCAGGGCTTCTTAAAATGAGATCTGTGTGTCATGTGAAGTATATGTTAAAATGCAAATTCATTTCTGCGTTCTTGGGTTGGTCTGAAAAAAATTAAAAAAAAAATTCATTTACCCCTACTTCATGCACTGAATGAAAATCTTTGCGAGTAGAGCCCAAGTAGTTGCATTTTTAGATTTCCCCAGGTAATTCTATTATAGACTGAAGTTTGAAAGTCAGTCTCTAAAACCTTAAAAGTTGGTTAATTTTATTTCAAAATGTTTTATATGCAGTGTATTCACTTTCTACCATCAACCTCTAGGACACTGGATAGGTTTCTTAACCTTTGAGATTTGCTTTCTTTATATGTAATGCAGTACATGAAAGGACTTTATTTTTGTTCCATTGAGGAATGTTCTGATTGTATACAAACAAGTTAAGAATTTACAGTGATAATTTAGGGGCTTGCTTTAAGCTTCAGGATTTTTTTTTAAGAGTTAAGTTTTGATATATATTAAGTGGTTGATTTAATAAATTATAATTATCGTCGTATATTGAAGTCCTGTTTTGTGCCAGGTAGGCATTATACTATAACTTTTTAACGCATTTTCTCTGCTACAATAACCTGACATTGGAGACTCAAGGGTCAGAGGGTCGGCCCAAGGCTGCTACTCTAGAAAGTGGTAGATGCCCAGATTTGTACCTAACATAGCCGATGCTTAGCATATAGAATTTAATTAAAAACAAAATTGCTATAGGTATTTGAAAGGATTAGAGGGATATAGTCAAATAGTTTTCATATGTGTTTAGCCCTTTTGGAGGGAGGATAGAGTAAATAAATAGAAGGCACTAAGCTTTATGGATGAATATGGGAAATATGGCTTTGCCTGCTGAAAGCACTCAGGCCACAGGGCCTGCCTACCTATGCTTTCCTCATCCCGGCAACAGCAGTAATTTGTTTCTTGATACGTTTTTGGATGTTCATAATTATAGAAAATAAATTTGCCTTTATGATGAAATTTAGTACCTTTTTTTTTGAAAGTTCATCCAGTTGTTTATGTAAAAAGAATTGAGTGAGGTGTTTTATATTTTAGGTTAAAAATCTGTAAGAGCCTGATTTTAGAATTCACCAGCTCCTCAGAAGTTTGGCGAAATATGGTATGTTTTTGTTTTATTTTTTGGAATTCGTATTGCATGTGTATCTTAATGTCATAATAATGACAGATGTGTTCAGCAAATTTGGGCCCCTGCCATTTTTAAAGCATTGTGTCAGGTGCTCACTAACTACACTTCCAAGACTGTATGAGGGACCCAGGTAGGGTGCTGAAAAAATTTACAAGAGATTAGTGTGCTATGAGAGGTAAAATAATATGCATAAAAAGATTGAGAGGGCAGGTTTGGATTTTGGGCTATGAGTATTAATAATAGCTTTCATTTGTTGTTGTTGTTGCTGCTGCTGCTGCTGCTGTTGTTTTTGAGACAGAGTCTTGCTCTGTTGCCCAGGCTGGAGTGCAGTGGCACCTTCTTGACTCACTGCAACGTCCATCTCCCAGGTTCAAGTGATTCTCATGCCTTGGCCTCCCAGGTAGCTGGGATTACAGGCGTGTGCCACCACACCTGGCTAAGTTTTGTATTTTTAGTAGAGACGGGGTTTCACCGTGTTGGCCAGGCTAGTCTCGAACTCCTGGCCTCAAGTGATCCACCCGCCTTGGCCTCCCAAAGTGCTGGGATTACAGGCGTTAGCCACCACGCCCAGCCATTTGTGAGCACATTATGTCAGGCACTGTTCTGAGATACTTAGATGTTAGCTTGTTTATCCATGACAGCTCTATGGAATAGGTACTATTATCCTAGTTCTACCTATAAGGAAACTGAGACTCGGAGAGGTTAAGTAACTTGCCCAAGATTTCTCAGCTAGTGAATGACCAAACAGAGACATAAGTCCAGCCTGGCCTTGGAGCCTTTTGAGCACCGGATCTCATAAAAGAGGGGACTGGAAGAGAGGACTTGACTCTAGTTTTCAAAATACATATAGCTCTTTAATTACATTGAGGTCAATTAGTCAATTAAAAGATATTTTAACTTTATTATTTTTGTGTTTACAAGATGGAAAGTTAGACTTGTTTGAATCTTCTAATTCCACATACCATTAGTCTCTTGAGAACCCAAGGGGAAGCTGTATCATGACCACATTGTTTATTTTAGGGAAGGTGGTGTTTCCCATATGACCTCAGCAATGTCTAAGTTCTTATTAGGCAATGTATAGTTAGGATAGGAGTATCTGGGAGATTGCGTTATTTCTTACAGATACTATAAATCCCATTTATTGGAATCCCCTGCAATTATTTTTATATATTCAGGCCAATCCTCACCTAATCTGGATTTTGAAGCCCTGCGTTCATAGCTGCATAGGTATGGGCTCAAACATTCATGTTTTAACCGTTGGTATTCGCAGATACCTTGCTGTTTTATATTGGGTTCTGAATCCACACTGGTAACCACCTTTTACGCTTGACTATTGTTGCTTTGAGGATGTTAATTATGAAAGGTTTCTTCCTCCTAATTTCCTCATCTTTCCGTAGTTGATGCCTCAGATTTGGCCTGGATAGGGGAATCGTGAGGGGAAAGAACTAGTTGCACAAAATGATCTTTTGATACTGGGATATTTCAGATGTATGGTATCTTTGCCAGAACTACAGTGTCAGTAAAGAGGCCTGCTAAATTTGAACTGTGACAATCAGAAAAGTTCAGCTAAGGCCATGTAAGGGGTTAAAAAGATATTTGGTTGAGGGAGGAGGATATGCTTTCATCTTTTGCCATACTTTTTCATGAAATTAAATCTTAGTAGATTTATGGCCAAGAAAGAGTAGAATATATTTTTATGCAGTACTTAAGGGGTTTTGACTGATGTTTTTTATTATTATTATACTTTAAGTTTTAGGGTACATGTGCACAATGTGCAGGTTAGTTACATATGTATACATGTGCCATGCTGGTGTGCTGCACCCATTAACTCGTCATTTAGCATTAGGTATATTTCCTAATGCTATCCCTCCCCTTCCCCCCACCCCACAACAGTCCCCAGAGTGTGATGTTCCCCTTCCTGTGTCCATGTGTTCTCATTGTTCAGTTCCCACCTGTGAGTGAGAACATGCGGTGACTGATGTTAAATGACTTTACGTACATACAGAATTAGTGGGACTAGACTTTGTGTTTATGTGTGTGTGTTTATGTGTATGTATATAACTATTCCATTAAGCAGTTGCCCTCCTTGGTGACTGATTGCTCTATCAGCTTAGGAATCTTTTGACTGAATTTGTCCGTATTTGAAAGATCTCAATCTGTGTTCTGAATCTTTACTCATTTACATATACTTAAATCTTGAAACCCAGTATAGCAAAACTAAGCCAAAACAAACAAAAAAATCCATCCCTTGATAGGAAGTCAGTATATCTGGGTTTTAGTCAGTCCTTCAACACTAGTTCCAAAATCTTGGGCAAGTCAGTTAATCACTCGGAGGCTGCTTAATTTTTTTTTTTTTTAATTCTTAGTATATTATCTGTCTTGATTAGGTAAAGCCAAAGTTGTTATAAGACTCAAGGTACTATTGACCAAAATGCTTCAGAAACTATAACATTACATAAAAGTACAAGGAATTATTACATTTTCTCAAATGAAGAGATCATTTAAGAAAAACAAAATGCTGGAAAATAGTCCTTAAAAACTTTTCTATAATAATTACTCTTCTGATGAATTTTACATTGACACCTAATTTGAAGCTTTGAATATTATTTTTTGAACAATGAATTGGGTTTATATATTAAAGTGTTCTAACCAAAGGTTTGTTTAATTTATTAGAGTTATTAAGCCTACGCTCAGATCAAGGTAGCAGCTAGACTGGTGTGACAACCTGTTTTTAATCAGTGACTCAAAGCTGTGATCACCCTGATGTCACCGAATGGCCACAGCTTGTAAAAGGTAATTTTGAATTATTTTACAGCCTTTAAAAGGCTGTCATTGTAAAGTGAAATACATACTGTAAAAATGAAGACAATGTATAGTTGGCAGGAATACTGCTAAGAATAGTGGGCCTGAGAGTTGACCTACTTCATTTAATCTCCTTAAAATATTTTAGTGTCTTTTTTTCTCATTAAAAATATCAGTAGCCACTATCAAAGACCTATCTGTATGTATAAACAGGAAAGTATTTCTCAAAAAAACTTCAAGGTTTTAAACATTTTACTATAAACATTATAGAAAACATTAAAAATTTCTTAATATGCATTTTAAAGTATGCCTTTTATGTGGTGAACGTTTTAACTAAACATTTCTCTAGAAGTTTTTATAACATTAATAAAACTAGTATACTTTTCTCTCCTAGAGAGTTACAGTGGAGGTAAAAGGAGTGGCTTGCAGGATGGAGAAGCTGCACCAGTGTTATTGGAAGTGAGCCACCATTTGAATTTGCTAGCTCATGCTGCAGTATTCAGATTAGTGGGTGTTTTGTGATCATATTTTCTGCGATTCAAATCAAGACCTAAAATTGATTCTCATTCTGAGATTTACATTTTATTATCCAATGTTATTTGGTTATTGTTTCAGTTTTAAAATTTCTGACTTGTTATTCTGACACACTTTAGGATAACCTAAGTCAATAGTTTAATACAAAAATTTCCCTTTGGTTATATGTTTTGAATTAGGTTATATGTTCTGCATTTACAAGCACATACAGGATTCTTACTTCCAGCAACTTGGCAGTAAAAGAATAAGTAGACTCTTTAGGAGCCAAAGTCAAGCTTGGGAACTGTTGCTAGGTGGTATATATTTCATAGTTTATGTTTGTTTCCAAGACAAGGTCTCACTCCATCGCCCAGGCTGGAGTGCAGTGGCACGATCACAGTTCACTGCAACTTTGACCTTCTGGGCTCAAGTGACCCTCCCACCTCAGCCTCCCAAGTTGCTGGGACTAAAGGCACCCACCACCACACCCGGCTAAGAGACGAGGTTTCATCATGTTGCCCAGGTTGACCTTGAACTCCTGAGCTCAAGTGGTCCTTATGTCTTGACCTCCCAAAGTGCTGAGATTACAGACATGAACTACCACACCTGGCATATGTCATAGTTTTGAGAGTTTGAATTCTAACCTCGGGACTTTGGTAACTTATTTATAATATTCTAGAAATATACTGTTATTAGGATGAGTAGAAATTCATTCAGACAGAAACTATTATAAATTACTGCAAGAAAAATGTCTGCTAGTTCTGCATATATTCATTTTTCTCTTGATTAAAAAACAATTTCCAATTTGAGTAGAACAACTTTGCTATGTTTAATAGACCCAGGACAGATTTATTTTAAGGTAATAATCTTTCAATCCTTCTTCTTCTATACTGGATTGGTTTAAATTACTTAGCTTGTCTTATCAATGGTTTTTAATAGCCTACTTTAATATATGTAAAAAGTAGTAATTAATATGTTACAGTTTGGTGGCAAACATTTTGATGCCAAAGTTCACATATTCTCTTGCTTAGGGAACAGAAATTGGGAAGATAGATGTAGTTATCATTTGATAATGTATTTAAACTCTATCCCATTTCAGGATCTCAAAACTTTGTAACAGTTACATATTGTACTTCTAAGACTTAGATTTGTTTTTCTTCTTGTGTCTTACCTTTTTGCAGTAATATTTTTATTTTCCTATCATCATGTCCTCATTTTTTCCCTCTCTTCTCTTTCCCTGTTAATTTTGAAAGTTTTGCTGCCTACGTGTTTGAAAACTTCTAATCTGCCTCTCTTCCCTCAGTGCCAGCAGGTTTATTTTTTGTTTTGCAAGCCAGCTCTGCCTCCTTACAGTATGACATCTGATGCTGGAGGGTCGCACTTTCAAAAATGAGTCAGCTGGTACATGGGGTTATCATCAATTTTTAGCTCTTCTGTCTGGGAGATACAAGTTTGGAAGCAATCTTGGGGTACTTACCCACAAGGCTGGTGGAGACCAGGTGTGTCACATAGGTGATTTGCTTGCTCCCTGGGGGAGAGGGTGGAGTGAAATTTTTGCATTTGTGTCACAGCCAAGTCACTGCCACCTCCAGCATGCCCCAGTTTTTAGTTGTTATGTAATTTTGTGCAAAATTGAAAATTTAAATACATTGCAAAGAAGATCTAAAATAAATATTTGAGCTGCTGGAGTCTTTTTTTTTTTTTTTTTTCCTTTTCCATTCTTGTCCTTGGAATCTGAATGAATTGCAGTGAGGGTAATTTTGAGAGTCTGATAAAGAAGTGAGGGGTTGTTTTTTGTTTTTGTTTTTGTTTTTAGCTAAGAAATTTAGAAAACAGGTTTGTGTGTGTGCGTGTGTGTGTGTGTGTGTGTGTGTGTGACTGATTTTAAGATTCTTGTTAGAGTTGCTTAAAGTTGGAAGCCTAAAGTCAGTGAGAAGTTCACAAATCAGGACTTTGTAATGCCAATTTGAAAATTTAGCTTTTGACCTCAAAAAACATTTTTTATCTAGTTTGGGAATTTCTAAGTGTTAGAAATCAATATTATATTGACTCATTCATTGTTGCTGATGCTGTTTATAAAAGTGAATAGATAGGGAAATACTGATTCATATCTCGTGAAATGAAAATGAAAGGCTTTTTAGTGACTTAGAATTTTAAATATTTCTACATGAGAGAGCAGTAGTATATTTAGAAATAACAAAGTAACTGGCAACTGTTTAAAACTGAAGTTAATTCACAGCTATCCAGTGCAAAACTTCACCTCAGGTGATACACTTTTGACAGGTAATACATACAGTAAGTGTATTTTTAGGGAAACAGTTTCATTGTTGAACCAAGATAATCATCATTAGAATGTTGTATCTGATTTAAGTGTCTTTAAACTTACCAAGGTATTAGATTTTAGTTTGAATTGTCTGGAGTAGCGGTAGCGGTTGGCACATTTGTTCTTAAAGGGCCAGAAAATAAATATTTTAGGCTTTATGGGCCATGTGGTTTCTGCCACAAGTCCTCAGCTCTGTTCTTTTAGTGTGAAAGCAGCCATAGATGATACCTAAATGAATGAGTATGGCTGCATCCCAATAAAACTTCATTTACAAAACTACATGGCTGGCCTAAGCTTTAGTCTGTCTGCCTAGGGAGTAGTTTACTGAGCCACTAATCTAAAGTTTAATACTGTGAGTGAATACCAGTGAGTACCTTTGTTAATGTGGATAACCAATACTTGGCTATAGGAAGTTTTTTAGTTGTGTGTTTTATTACACGTATTTGACTTTGTGAATAATTATGGCTTATAATGGCTTGTCTGTTGGTATCTATGTATAGCGTTTACAGTTTCCTTTAAAAAACATGCATTGAGTTTTTTAATAGTCCAACCCTTAAAATAAATGTGTTGTATGGCCACCTGATCTGACCACTTTCTTTCATGTTGACATCTTTAATTTTAAAACTGTTTTATTTAGTGCTTAAATCTTGTTTACAAAATTGTCTTCCTAAGTAATATGTCTACCTTTTTTTTTGGAATATGGAATATTTTGCTAACTGTTTCTCAATTGCATTTTACAGATCAGGAGAACCTCAGTCTGACGACATTGAAGCTAGCCGAATGTAAGTGTAACTTGGTTGAGACTGTGGTTCTTATTTTGAGTTGCCCTAGACTGCTTTAAATTACGTCACATTATTTGGAAATAATTTCTGGTTAAAAGAAAGGAATCATTTAGCAGTAAATGGGAGATAGGAACATACCTACTTTTTTTCCTATCAGATAACTCTAAACCTCGGTAACAGTTTACTAGGTTTCTACTACTAGATAGATAAATGCACACGCCTAAATTCTTAGTCTTTTTGCTTCCCTGGTAGCAGTTGTAGGGAAATAGGGAGGTTGAGGAAAGAGTTGAGTTTAACAGTCTCAACGCCTACCATATTTAAGGCATCAAGTACTATGTTATAGATACAGAGATGCGTAATAATTAGTTTTCACCCTACAGAAATTTATATTATACTCAAGAGTGAAAGATGCAGAAGCAAATAATTTCAGTCACTGAGGTAGAATGGTATCCAAAATACAATAGTAACATGAAGGAGTACTGGAGTACCCAGGTATGCAATAGGAATCTAGTGTAGATGGCAGGGAAGTAAGAGTGGCCAGGAAATGCTAAGTTCAGTCTTGAAATGTGACTGGGAATCAGGCAGCTAGAAGCATGAGCGGCTTATTCCAGGCAGAAGTATGAGCCAAAGTTAGAAGCAGCATAGGGAGTAGGGGACAATAGGCAGTTGAGGACTTTTAGATCATAAACTAGCTGAGAGGTAGGAAAATGAAGAAGATAAGATGTGATAGAAGGTATTAGGGAGTCAGCAAAGAATTTGCTCAGTAGGTAGATAGTAAGTTTGTCAAACGTGTATTTTTAATAACCTTGCAAGAGAGAAAGGATTGAAGAGAAACGTGTGGTGGTAAGGTAGTTCAGTCAGTGAGAGCCTTGACAATGACAGTGGTATAATAGGAATTCAAAATAAATTTTTCTGGATTTAAGACAAATATTTAGGACATGAAGTAAGTAAGACTTTAGTGATTTATTGTGAAGACTAAAGATGTTTCAGATAATAGAGGTAGTAATTATCAAAGCAAAGTTTTTCGAGGTATTAAGGGTTGGAATGAAAAATACAGGTGTATCTCTCATACAGGTAATATAAAAAAAGAAAAATGCAGATATAGTGATTGACCTTGAATAAGAGGAAAGATGCCCATCTAATGAAATTAGAACAAGGAAGTAAAGATGGATGTGTGATATTAATTGTAATTGTGGGTGAGGGTGGAAAAATCAAGATTTTTTTACTGAAAATATTGGAACCTTATTTAAATGCCGGTATATATTGTGAATCTGCAAGAAACGACTATAAAATGTATTTCTCAAATTTATGTGACCCAACCATGTGACTTGTCTTTTAAGCTTTAAAAAATTGTAGTAAAATACACATAATGTAAAATTTTCCATTTCACCATTTTTAAGTATTTGGCTCAATGGTATTAAGTATATTAATATTGTTGCACAGTCACGATCAGAACTCTCTGTTTTGCAGAACTGAAACTCTGTACCCATTAAACAATAATTCCTCATTTCCTTATCTTCACAGCCTCTGACAACCATTATTCTACTTTGTGTCTAATTTTGACTGCTCTAAGTACCCCCTATAAGTGCAATCATACAGTTTTTGCCCTTTTATGATTGGCTTATTTTACTTCGCAGTGTCATCAAGTTTCATCCATCTTTAGCATGTTTCAAAATTTGCATCCTTTTTCAGGCTGAATAATGTTTTATTGTATGTATATACCACATTTTGCTTATCCATTTACCTGTTGATGAGCGCTCAGGTTGCTTCCATGTTGTAGCTATTACAGATAATGTTGCTATGAACAGGAGTGTACAAATATCTTTTTGAGACCCTGCTTTGAATTGTTTTCCCAGAAGTGGAATTGTTGGATCATATGGTAATTTTATTTTTAAAATTTTGAGAAACTGCCATACTCTTCCAGAGCAACTGTACCTATTTGCGTTTCTACCACTAGTGCACAAGGGGTCCAGTTTCTCTACATCCTTGCCATCACATATTGTGTGAGAGTGTGTGTGTGTGTGTACTTCAATAGTAGTCATTGTAGTGGATATAAGGTAGTATGTTACTGTAGGTTAGTGACCACGAAACTTTTTATGAAACATTTTTTAATAATATTTTGTGGAATACAAGGTTTGTTTAGAGGTTTTGAGAAGACTGAAAACTTAGGAAGCTACTGAGGGGAATGGGTGAAGAAGTGGATCAGAAGTTGAGAGTCTTGACTGGCTGGCTACCTGAAATCAGAAACCGTATCAGAGTAGGAGAATCTCATTCCACTGAGTGACTAGTTAAGATTAAAGACTTTATCACATTTGAAATTTAAAGACTTTTCTCCAATAGCCAGAAGATTATGCATGGTATTTTAGGGTTGGATATTAGCAGAGCTGATGGAACAGAATCATTAGTGGCATGTGCATAAGATGTTAACATTGGAGTATTTGAATTTATATGCTGTGGATGATGGCCATGATTGGAAAGGTTGGGATGCCAGACCAAAGTGTTGAGTTGTTTTAAGAAAAGCCTGAGGTCTAGATAACAGCAAGATGGCAGACTAGCACTTTGCAGCACTCATCTCATTGTAGAACCATCAATTTGAACAACTGTCTACACACAAAAATATAAGAGCTAAGAAACCAGACGAGAGATTACCTGAATGTGGCACACAGATAAGAAAAGACACATTGAAAAGGGTAAGAAGGACAGTTTTACATTACTTGTGTCACACCTCCCTCAGTCCCTGAGATCCCAGCATGGAGAGAGAGACTGTTCACCTGGGGGAAGGAGGGGAAGTGTACACCAGACTTAGACCCTAACATTGAGCTCGCCCCAGTAAAACTCAATGCTAGGCAGGCCCCCATGGCCCCAAACTTCAGGCCAATACCCACAAACCAAGCTTGGAGGCCCACCCCAGCACCAAGCTGGATCCCACAGCCCTAGGCTCTAAGCCTGTCTAGTGCTAGGGTGGTCCCTGCAGCCCTGCCCTCTAGATCGGCCCCTGTGGCCTCACATCACTGCAGAACAAGGGTCCAAACCCAGTACTTGGCCAGCCCCTTGTGATCCAAATTCTAGGCCAACATCCACCTACCCAGCCTTCACACTGGTCCTTGCAGATCCAAGGTTCAGGCTCACTCTAGTAGACCAGGATGCCAGGCCAGCAGCACCTGTGTACCAAGGCTCCAGGACCTACCCTGCTGACCCAGACTCCAGGCCAGCCCCGGTAGACTCAGGCTGCATAATCTCTGGACAGGCTGACTGGTGAAGGGCTTTACCCAATAAAGTCACTCTGCAAAGACTGGAACAAGTCTCAGCTTCTTCAAATGTGCAGGTGCCAACACATGACTACAGGGATCAAGAACAGTCAGGGAAACGTGACACCAGTCAAAGGAACACAATAAGGCACCTGAACCAACCATAAAGAAATGGAGATATATGAACTGCCTGACAAAGAATTCAAAGTAATTGTTTAAGGAAGCTCAATGAATTTCAAGAAAATGCAGATAAACAATTCAACAAAATCAGGAAAACAGCAATCAAAATGAGAAATTTTGAGATTGAAATTATTTTTTAACAAATTCTGAAGCTGAAAATGCAATAAATGGAATGAAAAATGCAAAAGAGCATTAAAAGCAGAATTGAGCAAGCAGACAAAAGAATCTGAACTCAAAAGACAGGTTATTTGGCTAGACTAAGGAAAAAAGAGATGACTCAAGATAAAAAAAATAAAGAGTTGTGTTTTTTGATGATAAAAGCAACAAGTCTTTAGCTAGACTAAGAAAAAAAGAGATGACTCAAGTTAAATCAGAAATGAAAGAGGAACCATTGCAGCTGATACCAGAGAAGTACAAGAAATAAGAGGATCATAAGAGACTGAACAATTATATGCCAACAAATTGATTACCATAGAAGAAATGGATAAATTCCTAGACACATGCAACTTGTCCAAGCTTAATCATGAAATGAAAAATGTGAACAGTCCAGTGACAAGGATTGTATCAGTCATAAAAATATCTCCCACCAAAGGAAGCCCAAGACTTGGTGACTTTACTGCTGAATTCTAGCAGACATTTAAAGAAGAACTAGTACAGATTGTTCTCATAATTTTATGAGAAATTTAAGAAGAGGGAGTAATTTCAAACTCATTTTGGGAGATGAGCATTACCTAGATACCAAAGCCAGACAAGAACTCTCCAGGAAAAGAAAATTACAGACCCGTATTCTTAATTTAGATGCAGAAATTCTGAAGAAAATAATAACTAAATTCAACAGTGTATTAGAAGGATCATTTACTGTGATCATATGGGATTTACCTCAAGGGTACAAGGATTATCCAACAGACCTGAATCCATAAAATGTGATATACAACATTAGGAGAACAAAGGCCAAAACCATGTTATCATTTCAATAGATAATTGAGATAATTGAGAAAAAGCATTTGACAGAATTCAGTATTCTCTTGTGCTACAAAATTTTAAAAAATTAAGTATAGAAGGAATGTACCTCTATAAAATAAAGGCCATATTGACAAACACACTGCTAACGTTATACTGAATGTTGAAAAGTTAAAAGCTTTTCTTTTGAGATCAGGAAGAAAACGAGAATGCCCACTTTTGCCATTTCTATTCAGCACAGTACCGGAAGTCCTTGCAAGAGCAATTAGGCAAGAGAAAGAAAAGGCATCCCAGTAGGAAAGGAAGACATTGTTGTCCCTGTTTGAAGATGACATGATCTTGTATATAGAAAAACCTAAAGACTCCACCAGAGAATTGTTAGAACTGATAAATTCAGTAAAGTTGTAAGATATAAAATCAAGATACAAAAATCCGTAGAATTTCTGTACATTAATGACAAATTATCTAAAAGAAAAATCAAGAAGACAATTCCATGTATAATAGGTACCAAAAACAAAACATGCAGTGGCTCCCAGTATCAGTGGTTCTGCATTTGCAAATTGAACCAACATTTGGATGAAAATATTTGAGAAAAAAATACAACAATAAAAATACTGTTTTCTTATACAATAAGGAAACTACAGTATAGCAACTATTTACATAGCATTTACGTTGTATTAGGTACTAAGTAATGATTTAAAGTATACACGAGGATGTGTGTAGGTTGTATGCAAATACTATACCATTTTATATAATGGACTTGAGCATCCATGGATTTTGGTATCTACAGGAGATCCTGGAACCAATATCCTGCAGATACCGAGGGATGATTGTACTTAGAAATAACTTTAACCAAAGAGTTGAAAACTATGTAACATTGATTAAAGAAATTGAAGATGATACAAATAATGGAAAGTTATCTTGTGTTTATGGATTGGAAGAATTAATATTGTAAAATGTTTTTATTATCCAAAGCAATCTGCAGTTTTAATGCAATCCTGATCAAAATTCCAATGTTAAATTTCACAGAACTAGAAAACAGTGCTAAAATTTATATGGAACCACATAAGATCCTAAATAGCCAAAGCTGTCATGAGTGAAAAGAACAAAGCTGGAGACATCACACTATCTGATTTCAAAATATAGTTCAAAGCTACAGTAATTATAACAGCATGATAGTCACATAGAAGTAGACAGGCCAGGCACAGTTGCTCACACGTGTATTCCCACACTCTGGGAGACTGAGGCAGAAGGATTACTTGAAACCAGGAGTTCGAGAGCAGCCTGGGCAACATAGTGAGACCCTGTCTCTAAAATTAAAAAAAAAAAAAATTTTTAAAGCCAGGCGCGGTGCTGTGTATCTGTAGTCCTAGCTACCCGAGAGGCTGAAGAAGGAGGATTGCTTGAGCTCAGGAGCTTAAGGTGGCAGTGAACTGTGATTGCATCACTGCACTCCAGCCTGGATGACAGCGTGAGACCCTGTCTTTTAAAAACAAAAGAAACAAAAAAACAGACACATCGACCCACAAAACAGAATGGAGAGCACAGAAATAAATTCGTGTACTATCAGTTGATTTTGGACAGGGTGCAAAGAACACAGCGGGGAAAGGGAAGTCTGTTCAATAGGTGGTGTTGGGAAAATGGAATATCTACATGCATGAGAATGAAATCAGACCTGTATCTCACATCATATACCAAATTCAAGTTAAAATGGATTAAGGTCTTAAATATAAGACCTGAAACTGTAGAACTACCAGAATAAAGTATAGGAGAAATGTACATGACATTGGTTTGGACAGTGATTTTTTTGGATATGACCCCCTCGAAGCACAGGCAACAAAAATAAAAATTGATGAATGAGATCACATCAAACTAAAAAGCTTCTGCATGGCAAAAAGAAAAAATCTACAGAATGAAAAAACTCACAGAATGGAAGATAGTATTTCCAAACCATATATCTGGTAAGGGGTTAATATGCAAAATATATAAGGAACTCAGACATCTCAATAGTAAGAAAGCACCTCACTTAAGAAATGGGCAAAGGACTTGAATAGACATTTCTCAAAATAAGACATACAAATGGCCATTAGAATGGCTATTAAAGTATGATGAGGATTTGCAGACAAGAGATATATTGCGCATGGCAGGAATGTAAATTAGTACAGCATTTATGGAAAATAGCATGACGTTTGCTCAGAAATTAAAAAATAGAACTACCATATGATTCAGCAGTCACACTTGGATATATATGTATTTTTATATATATATATATATATATATATATATATATATATATATATAAATAAAAGAATAAAATCAGTGCGCTGAAGAGATCTGTACTCCCATGTTCCTTTCGGTATCATTTGCAATACCCATGATACAGCATCAGCCTAAGTGTTCATGGATAAAGAAAATGTGGTATGTATACACAGTGGAATATACTTCAGCCATAAAAAGGAGGAAATGCTGTCATTTGTGACAGCAGGGATGAACCTGGAGGGCATTGTTGAAAGTAAGCCAGCCACAGAAAGGCAAATACTACATCTCTCTTAAATGTGGAATCTTAACTCAGGGATGTAAAATGGTGGTTACCAGGGGCTGGGGGTGAGTGGACTGGGTTGCAGAGGTGTTGGTCAGAGGACACAAAATTTCAATTAAGAGGAATTTGTTCAAGGTATCTATTGTACAACATGGAAACTAGTTAATAACAGTGTATTTTTGGAAATCACTGAGAGTAGATTTTAAATGTTCTGCCATAAAATATAAGTATGTGAGGTATTGCATGTATTAATTAGCTTGATCTAGCCATTCCACAGTGTATACATATTTTGGAACATCATGTGAATACAATAAATATGTATCCTTTTTTTTGTTTTTTGTGTTTTTTTTTTTTTTTTTTTTTTTTGAGACAGAGTCTTGCTTTGTCACCCAGGCTGGAGTGTAGTAGCATGATCTTGGCCACTGCATCCTCTGCTTCCTGGGTTCA